>NC_000016.10:49410985-49714015 GCF_000001405.40 Homo sapiens
CAGAAAAAGACTCTCAAGCTTCCCAAGCCCCACCTGCCTGTGGGGGACCTACTCCCAGGCCCTCCTCTGCTTCCTGCCCCCACAACTCAAGATCTCTGGCTGCCAAGGGAGAATGGGCCTGGTTTCTCTGCAACCAGGACCCATCTTCCCCAGTGAACTGGCCCTCTAGGAGGACAAGTTATGGGCCCTGCCCTTCTGGGAGAAAGGCCTGACTCCTGCTGGGCCCTGCCACCCACCCCAGCTGAGAGTCAGGGGACAGGGGAGTGGAGCTCTCTGTTTCCCGGAGTCACTGGGTCTTGGCCAGCCCCACCATTCCGTGCCCCTTTCTGGGATTGGTAACAGCCAGTCAGGGTCCTGCCATTGCACTTGGCCATTCCTGAGCTCCCCCAATCCCCTGCTACAACACACACACAAATTCCTACCCGCTCCAGGCCAGCTGGGATCAGCTTCAGCAGGGCCGGCTCGAGCCACTTTGCTTAAGGCATCAGCCTCCCCAGGGTGCATTAGGCAGGCTTCACTGGCCAGAGAAGGACCACCTTGTAGGGAAACGGGCTCCAGGGGTTCAAATCCCCAAAGGGAAGGGGCTGCCTGGCCCCAGCTGTAGAAACAACAAAGGAGTGCAGCACACAGTGGCCCCTCCCTCCTCACCCATGCAGGCAGTGATGCCACGCTGCATCCTAAATGTTCAAGGCCAGAGTCACGTGCATGCCTCCCATGGGCAGGGCTCAGTACCCAGGACCTCAGGCCCCCTCCCCACAGGGCCCCAGCAGTGGAGAGGCTGCCACCCTGGACCCAGGCAGGAGGGGAGGAGCAGCTGCCCACTCCCGGCATGCACCCTCTGGGCCCCGCACTGAACACCAGCCTGCTAGCATCCCCCAAACCAACCCGAATCCAAGATAAAATTCCCCCTGGCCCCCAAGCTCAGGAGGGCAGTCTGTGTCCCAGAGCCTTCAAAAGCTCCAGAAAAGTGAAACCTCTGCTTGAACAGCTCCCAGCCCTGCAGCAGAGAAAAGGGGAGAAATCACACCAATAATCACCACTGGCAGCGTTTGCCTCTGAGCTACAAAATGTTTTCACTTATTTTCCACCATCAGATGCCCACTGCAACTCTGCAAAAGGAAAGATTTTATCCTTATTTTACTGATGGGGAAGCTGATGCCCAGAGAAGGGAAGGGACCTGTCCAAGTGCACAGTTAGGAAGCTACCGAGCCAGCATTAAGCCAGGCATTTTGATGATAAACCTGGGTCCTCTTTAAATCACTCATTTACTCAAGCATTCAGTCAACTTGCAGCAAACATGCACTGAGCTCTTCCCACAGGACAAGGGATGGGCTCACCACCCCACTGCAATGATGAGCAAAGACAGACATGGTTCCATAAGTTTACAGCTTAGTTGGGGAAACAGTCCTTAAATAAGCCTTTAAAAATATGTAATTGCAAGTGAAAGAGCACTGTGAAGAAAAGAATGATTTAAGTCATTAAAAAAAAATCAGAGGAGGAGTGACTTCCCCCAAAGGGTAACCAGAAAAGAGTATTCTGAGGAGGTACTTTGAAACCATATCAAGGCACAGCAGAAATGAGTATCAGGATTGATTAATAATGTCTGCCATGGTCACTGGATTCAGAAGTGGTGGCATGCATGCCAGATACTTGTTTATCTGGTTTATGCCCTCACTAGGATCCTTGATATCCAAAAAGAACTAGACATAATTTTAATTCTCCTGGAATTCACCATGATGTAGAGTAGATAAACATTAGAGAAGAAGTCATAATACAAAACAGCTCATTGGCTTCATTAATAGAAAAATCAAGGAAGTAAAATACAGCCAGTGAGGGAGTAACTGGTACCCAATAGGGTGATGCTAGCAAGGCTTGGAGGACTCTTTCCATGGGACATGGGAGCTTGTTGAAAAGAAGGCCCTCCTTTTAAAGAGGAGAAGGCACTTAGCACCAGAGGATGTTGAGACATTTCTGTCTATGGCCTAAGTTGGGGAGACAGCTGGCTCCTGCTCTGACCTCCTCTACATTCCTAAGAATTCCAGGTACAGTCCCTGCCTGGAGATACTTCTCCACCAGCACTCAGAGCACCAGCCTCGCCTCAGACCCACCATGAGAACTGACCTTCTTCCATCAGTCCCCCTAGGCTCAGCATCCCATTAAGTGTCCCATCAAGGCAGCTTATGGCTCCTTTTGCCACTGCTGTAGGGCAGCCTGCTCAAAACCCACCAGATGTAAAACAGCAACCTTGAGAAGCAATTGTTAGGTCTATCGAAATATTCAGAGCAGCCTGCACTTAAACTGTCGTTGCACTTATTCTGACTGTAATCAGTCATTTCTGTGGCTCTTAATTCATTGTCTGTAAGTACCAAGACAATGGACTGGGTATAGGATACTCACCCCCAGATTCCCAGTGCCTGGCACACAGTGAGTGGGCCACTCAACAATTTTATTGAATGAATGAACTATTCTAGAAAAAAAAAAAGAGTTGGGACAACATAGAGAGGCTGATAGTTTGGGTCTTGCCCCAGGGGATAAGCAGGCCTCCAGGTTTCAGGGTGGTCAGCAGAGGGTGACAGCACTATGGTGGCAGTTTCTCTTGAGTTCTGCTCCTGAGCCTCAAGGATGGAAGATCTCCAAGAGAGGGTGGTGAACCATATCATGTGCACCCTCTGGTCCACAGCCTGGCCACTTCATGCTGTTTGGAAGAGGCCATTACTTTCTTATTGTGCCCACTCTGTTGGTCTTGTGCCATCTGCTGGCACCTACCAGGCAGAACCCTTGTTTTGAAAGAGTTAAAAAGTCCTCTTGGGAGAGTAGACTAGAAAGACAGTCAATGAGATGGATCAAAGGAACATAGAATTGGAACTTACAAGAGCTCAGTGAAGATGGGCTCAGAAGGCTCCTGGGAGTCAGGTTGTCCAGGATGAGCAGACCTCAGACAAGTAGACAGGAGAATCTTTGGATAAGGGGACCTCCATGGAGGAGGAAAGAATAATATGGGATCAGGGAGAAGATTGGTCCGGTGGGAGTAGGGTCTTGGGGAGGTGTGAGGACTGGGAAGAGAAGGCAAGGTAGAGCTAGCTCATGGCAGCCCTTGGCTCCTGGCTGAGAAGTTCAAAGTTGAGCCTGTGGGCACCAGGACGCAACCATGAACCTTCAAGAAAAGACGGTCTGAGCTGATTGTCTGGGGCTTTTGGGGGGTGATGGGCAGAAAACATATCTGTGCCTCCATGGCAGCCAGATTTTGTAGAAAAGGGGAGAAAGGCCCCAGGGAGCCAGCCATGGATGACTTCTGTAGACCTTGGTTTTCAGAACATGCCCCATCAAAGCAGTCGGTCATCTTGTTAGTTCTCCAAACAGCACATCTTCCCTAGATCAAGACTCCAGTGGAAACACAATGGTCACAAAAGTGGTTTTTGTGTCTTGGTTTTCTGGGTCTCCCACTCCCCCCTCCCTCCAATATCTATTCTCCATTATTGGCCAGACAAAGCTCATCCCAAGATCCCTGCGTCTCCGTTGTAGCGAACATCTGTCCTTTCTCACCTGCGCATTTACCCATCTGCGTCTCCACGAAATCTTTCATCCCATCGACAATGTAAGGATTCAAAGTAAGGAGGTTCACGTTGTCAAAGAAGCCTTGATCTGAATGCCTTCCCCCCACTTTCTCCTTAAATGAGTTGTTAACAGGAACCCAAGTGTCTGTTGAACCTAAAATACTTTTTTTTTAAAAAATAACATTTCAAGGTAACTTACGGGCGCACTTTAAGAAGCGAGGACTCAGCGTGTCCCTGGCGGCTTCCTCCTTGAAGCTCTGGTCTTCAGGGCTGTGGGAGGCATCCAATCAGACAGGCCGCCGCTGAGGGCCAGGGGAGGAGGGCTGCCGGGGTTTTATTTCAGATTCGAGCTAAGACCATGAAATGGAAGGCAGGAGGAAAAGTGAGTGAGTGTGTGTGTGTGTGTGTGTGTGCGTGTTTCTGTGTGCGTACGGCCAGAATAATGAGTCGCACTAATTCATAGAATTCCATTTTGGCCATCACACACGGCTCCCTTTTCTCTTGAAGGCCACTTTGAAAAATCCCGTTTTCATAAGTCATTTACTTCCCCTAGGAGGGCAGGCCTTCTAAAAATATTCCCCACTTCTTACACCTCAGAAGCAAATTATTTATGTTAAAGCAGCTTCGTTATCTGGGCCCCACCGGGCCAGCTTGGAAATGGAGGTGACTTCCAGAAGGCACCATTGTCAACGGTAAAGTCCTAGGAGGGACCCATTGCCGGTGAGGTGAGGCTTTCTGCCAGGCCCATGGGGCCCAAAGAGCACTTGCGGGTCCATAAGGGGAAGCTCTCTTCTATTTTTCTACAAATATTTACCTACGAGGCACTGCCCTAGACCGTGAGTAACCACCGAGCAGACAAGGCTGCTCTCACAGAGCTTGCATTTCAGTTAGGGGAGACCGACGCTTGATAAAAATGCAAATAAATATACTGAGAGTGTGAGGGCAAAATGATGGGAGAGGCCTCCAAAGGATGCACTGGACATTCTGCAGGGTGAGCAGTCAGGGCCCTTTGCAGCCACACCTAGATAACAAGGAGGATGCCCTACAAAGATGGAGGAAGTTGTGTTTTCCAACTAGAGGGCACCGCTCAGGGCAGAGGCCCAGAGGCGAGAGGAGCTGGGTAGCCCAAAGGAGCACGAGCGGCCTGTGTGGCCAGAGCAGAGGGAGCAGGTTGGGCTGCAGAGGGAGGGGAGGCCAGAGGGCCCAGGAACAGAACCACGAGCCTTGAGCCCAGGGATGAGAGAGGGGAGTTTTTGTGTGCCTATTTGCTCTCCATGCTTCCCTGGACGACAAATTTACTGCGATTCCAAGCCCCACAGGAACAGCGTGCCCCAGTAAGAACCAAGATGCAGGGGCCGCTGTCGAATGTGAAATTCCCCGCGCACCCCTCATCTCCACTCCCTCTCTCCACCTGGGAAAAAGCAATTAAAAATCACCTCTGAAAAGTCGGTGGGAGGAGGAGTGGAGTTGAGGAGGGGGCATGCTTTAAATGTAGGTGGAACCTGTCACTGGCCCCCCAGAGGGGAGTTTGTCTTCCCCCTTTAATCAGTCATAAGTCCTGTCATTATCCAGTGGGGGAGAGAGAAAGCACGAGGCAAGGAACCGCTCCCTGGAGAAGCCCCTCCATTCTTTCCATGTCCATAAGGCAATTAAGTCTTCACGTTCTCAAACCTGAAGGCTTTCATGGGCCGAGCCAATTGGTGTGTCTCCATAATGAGGGGGGCCTTCTGCGCCGGGGGCACATTTTCCTGGTAGCTTCCAGGCTCATCCTGGCCTGGCGGAGAGGCATCTGCTGCAGGCTCTGAGCTCTGCTGCCCACCCAGCCCTGGGAGGAGAGGTCAGAGCATGCTCTTTTCTCCCCGGGTTTACCTGGGACCGCAGACACAGCCCAGGACACCTCAAGGCCAGGGGGTGGGCTGCAGCCAGGCTAGGGGTGCAGGGCCGAGGCCCCGGTGAGCAGGAGGGTGGACTCTGACACATAGCCAAGGCGGGGGCTCTCTGAGCGGCGCAGGGCTGGGGCCTGGATGAAAGGCCTGTGAATAGGCTCATTACCAACGAGCCCCAGATTAAGCCTCTATTATGGGCCTATAATTGGAGAGTTAATTATTCAGCTGCCATAGTGTGCTGCAATGGAGCCAGGATGGTTCACCCAGATACCAGGCCTCGGCTCGGGGGTCTCCTGGGTTACCTGGCAGGACAGGACCGGTGTCAGGTGGGGAAGGGCCTCCCTAGACCAGGTCTTACCCTGGAAGCCAGGGGTATAGTGGGGAGCAGTGCAGACCCTCCCTGCCCTTATGGGGTGGGCAGTCGCACAACAGAGAGGGAGGCGGGGGAGATATGGCCACACAGATAAGAAAAAGTATGGCTGGGTGCAGTGTCTCACGCCTGTAATCTCAGCACTTTGGGAGGCCGAGGTGGACAGATCACCTGAAGTCAGGAGTTCGAGACCAGCCTGGACAACATGGTGAAACCCCGTCTTTACTAAAAATACAAAAATTAGTTGGGCATGTTGGCACACGCCTGCAGTCCCAGCTACTTGGGAGGCTGAGGCAGGAGAATCACTTGAACCCAGGAGATGGAGGTTGCAGTGAGGCGAGATCCTGCCATTGCACTCCAGCCTGGGCGACAAAAGTGAAACTCCGCCTGAAAAAAAAAAAAAAAAGAAAGAAAGAAAAAAAAAAGAAGAAGAAGAGAAAAGGTACTGGGAGGGGATAGTGCAAGGTGGCCTGTGGGTGGCTGCGGAGGCCACAGCTTCAGACCCCCGCTGGGAGAGCCAGGTCAGGAAGAGGCATTTCAACCTGGCAGAGTTGAAGCAGGAGAAGAGAGGCTTCCGGCAGAGGGAGCAGCAGGTGCAAAGGCCCAAGTGAGAGTTATGAAGAATGGGTTCGGGGTATGAGGTGGACTCCCAGGCAGAAACCAGACTAGTCAGGAGTTTTGTGGTTTAAAACAGAGGAATGACCAGGCACAGTGTCACATGCCTATAATCTCAGCTCTCTGGGAGGCTGAGGCAGTAGGATCACTTGTGCCCAGGAGTTTGAGACCAGACTGGGCAACACAGTGAGACCCCATTTCTATAGAAAGCACAATTTGAAAAAAACAGCTGGATGTAATGGCACACACCTGTAGTTTCAGCCACTTGGAAGGCTAAGGTAGGAAGATGGTTTGAGCCCAGGAGGTTGAAGCTGCAGTGAGCTATTATTGAACAACTGCACTCCAGCCTGGGCAACAGAGCAATACATTATCTCTAAAAAAAATAAAATAAAATGAAATAAAATAAATAAAACAGAAGAGTGAGAGGTTCAGCTTGGCATTTCTTACAGCTCATCAGGGCCACCATATGGAGAGAAACAAGGCAGGGAACAGAGAGACTTAGCAGGAGAGAACCATGGGCTCACCAGAGCCACCATCTGTAGAGAACCCAGGGGTGGCAGGGGAAGGGAGAAAAGTAGACACTGAGGGCTATGCTGATGTTACTAAGGCCAGAGACACAAGAATACCCAATCACTTCCCTGTCAATTACCACCAGCTCTCCACTCTGCCAGGAGAGCTGCGCACAGGGCCAAAGAGCAGGGTGCCTCAAAACCCACTCCCTCTTGGGCATGGGGAGGAAGGCAGAGCGCAGAACCCGTGGGGTAGTTGAGGCTTCACTGATCCTCTCAGATGCCTTCCTGGAGGAGGCGGCAGTGAAGGGGAGACAGGCAAGTCTCTCAGAGCAACCAGAAGACCATAGCCACCACCTCAAGTCTTCAGGAATCCCAGGGGCTGGGCTTTCTGTGGTCTCAACCGTGTGAGTTTCAAGGCAAGGGTGAGCCATCCTAGGATGGCTGCCATGGCTGGCAGTGAGGAGCGGGGAACTTGGAGACCCCGAAGGGCCTTCCAGTCCTAAAGTCCGGGGATTCCCCTGAGTCTGGGGGTCAAAGGATCTGGGAGAATGGATTTGAACAGCGACTCTCACTGCTAGGGAAGGGGCTCCATGGTCACCCGCCTTCCACATGCCAGAGACAGACCTGAGAAGGGAAGGAGCCCAAGCCAGTGGCTCACACAACCCCAAAACCCTCCTGGCTGAGGTTTTTCACACCCAAGATCACTGTGGTGGCAGTATTTGCCATGCTGTTCTTCTAGGACTCCTGGGGAGAAGCCTACTGTTTATTGATAAGGATAGAAATGATGCACAGAGAGCCCAGACATGCCGCTACCCCTTATGGGCATCCTTTTCCTAGCCCCATTTTACAGATAAGGGACAGGCTTAGAGCAGTGATGGAAGCTGACGATAGCTTCAAAAAGTGAAGCTCTCTGGTGCCAGGGGCTGAGCTCTTGGCTTCCTCAGTGTGGCACAGTGCCAAGATGGCATTTGGTGTCGGGGGATGCATGGAGCCACTGTGGCCACCCTGTGAACTAAGACCACCAACTGGCACCTTCACAGAGCCAGCAAAGAGCTGGGGCCCCTCTCAGATGGTCTCCACGCCAGAGGCCCCGGGCCCCCATCACGGGCCCCGGCTCTCATCATGCCTGCCCAACACCCCATGCAGGCGGGCATCTTGGCTGGGAGTCATTGTCTCTAACAAGTTAATTGTGATGGTGGAGTGCGCCTCCCCCTCTCCCGCTTCCCGGCGCCCGATCAAAGCATTCCCATAATGACAGGAGACCATGAAAGGAAACTTGTAGGTGGTTAAATGCGGTTTCTTGCCTGTGCAAGGCAGCAGGGAGGGGAAGGACTGTTTTGTTTAAGGAAAGCTGCCACGCCACTTTGATGTGAGGTTCGTTCTCTCACAGAGAAGATGCTAGTGAATGAAGCCAGCACCAGGGCGGGTGGAAGCTCAGAGCCTCACCTTCCATGGCAGACAGAGGTAACAGGCAGAGACAAGGTGGCAGAGCCGGGCCAGGGTGAGTGTGGGCAGCCTGCTCACTCTTCCTCCAAGAAGCACCATAGACATTGTCTGGAGTGAGGCTCAGGGCTGGCCACTCAGCTCAAAAACTTGCAGCAGCTCCCCATCCACAAATGGGTTTTCAAACTCCCAAGCAGCCAATATATTACAGCCATTAGAACTCCTTTGGTTGCAAGTGACAAAAACCACAACCCAAAGTGCGTAAGCAAGGAGGGAAATGTGTTAGCTCTTGTTAACTGACAGGTCCATGGCCAGCCTGACATCAGATAAGCTTGATCCAGGAGCTGGATGGATCAGCTCAGCTCTCCTTCCTTTGCAGGCTCTCTTCTCTGACAAGTTCTCCCCTCGGATAGTAGAGGGGCTGTGCCACCCTGAATTTACACCTTTCTGGCTTCAAGCCCAGAAAGAGGGAGCCAGAATGCTGCTTCCTGGTCATACAAATGCCCCTTGACTTGCTCTGACTGGCTAGGCTTGGATGACAAGGCCTCCTCCACATTGATCACTTTGGCCAGAGCCGTGGAAGGCATCTAAGAATTAGAGTAGGGAGATGATCTTGGAACTGCTAATCTAGTGCTCCTCCTGGGATGCCACACAGCCCTAGCCATGCCTAACTCTGCTCTTACTGTGACACCAGGGAGCAGCATCACCTGCTGTTCAATCACAAACCACTGTATGCTTAGGAAAACATTGTTTTCCACGGGGTCAGGCAGGAGTTCTTTTATTTGTCCTCAACAGTCCTCTTTCCAGCCCCCACGGGAAAGGCACAGACACTGGCTGCTTCATGTCCAAGGCATAAAACTGGCTGCTTTTATGCTGTCAGCCTTCCAAGCCCCTGTAGGGTTGGCCCCCACGGGCTGAGTCTCCCCTGTAACTTAGCCCAGATGATAGACAACCAGTGATTAATAGCTCAGGTTCTAGAGTCAAGTCTTGATTCTACCAAGAAAAGTTATTTCACCTCCAGAAAGCTTAGCTTCTCCATGTTCAAAATGGTGATAATAAAAATACCTAATTTATAGCATCATCAGGAGAATTCAGTAAGGTCATGCATGCAAAGTGCTTAGCCCAGTGTCAGCATGTCTATTGTGCGTTTGATTCTGTGCTAAGTGCATTTCATGCACTAGTCACTCACTCTTCAATGAGTTCCACAAATATACGTTTTTAATTCTTTAATATGGAAATATTCACACCTACCAAAGGTAAGAGAATAATAGAATTAACCCAAGTGTACTCATAACTTTCATCATTATCAACATTTGGCCATTGCTGTTTTGTCTCCTCTCACCCCCATCATACTTTTTTCTTAAACTGGACTATTTTAAAGAAAATTCCATTGGCTGGGCACAGTGGCTCATGCCTGTAATCCCAGCATTTTGGGAGGCCAAGACAGGAGGATCACTTGAGTCCAGGAGTTCAAGACCAGCTTAGGCAACATAGAGAGACTATCTCAACAACAACAACAACAAAATTTAAAAAGGAAAGAAAATCCCAGACATGCCATTTTACCCGTAAATACTGCAGCTTGTAACAAACAGCGAAGGCTTCTTCTTTCATCCTAACCTGAATGCCGTTATCACACTGAACCAAATTATTAATTTCTTCACATTATCTAACACCTAGTTCTTATTTGATTCTTCTCAATTCTCTCCAAAATGTCTTCTTATAGTTAGCAAATATTTTGGGGTTCCAACTATGAGCAAGGCTCTCTAGCAGGCGCCTGTAGGAGCGGCAAACAAGAGACAGAGTCCCTGTGCTCGTGGGGTGCCCCTGGCAGTCGGCAAGGAAGATCACACACAAGAACGTAAATAAACACTGTCATTTCAGAGACCATTAGGATCAGGAAGAAAACTAAAGCAAGGTGGAGGGTGGAGAGATGTGAGGAGTCATTCCAAGCAGATCGGTCCAAGAGGCCTCTCTGGGAGATGATGTTGGGCCCAGAACTAATTGATGAGAAGGAGCGAGGCATGAGGCACAGGCAGGGAAGGTGCTCCAGGCAGAACGAGCACAAGGGCACTGCTCAGGCATAGGCTTAGTGAGCACTTGGAAAACGTGGCTGGAGGGGCTGTGAACGTGGGTGGGGAAGGGGTAGGAGGGAGAGGGCCAGATCACTGAGGACTCTATAAGCTGCTGCAAGGAGCTGAATGAGATGGGAATCACAAGATTCACAACAGAGAAGCAGTGTGATTGGACAGAGGCAGGGTGAGTCTGTCAAGAGTCCTGTATGGGGCAGATGACATTTTTGATGCATATTAAGCATTCAGGATGAGCTATCAAGCACATTTCTAATTCACACAACAGCCCTTGAGAAATATGGATCATGAGCCCATTTCATGGGCGAGAAAACATGGGCTCTGGGGGTGAAGGCCACGGTCTCTCAGCAAGCTCGTGGTGGGGATGGGCCCTCACCCTCATCACAGTGCTCTGCGGGCTGCTGATGGTTTGGGGGAAAGGTAGCAGAACAGACGAGGAGCCCAATCCATAGGTGGAAAGATGGAGGCTTGGAGGGCTTGGGTCAAGGCCACATGGGCCAGCAGCAGCAGAGACCATGTCTGCTGCCTCCATCAGCACCATTTGGAATGGCTGGGTTTGCCCACTGAGTGTGTCTACAGGGAGAGGCGCCGACAGTCCAGGCATCGATTCCATTTTCTGGAAAGCCAACCTGGCCACAAGAGTGGGTGTGCACCTGGGTTTGTTCCTATCGATCCTTGGATTTCAGGAAGCTGCTCTTCACTCCAGATGGATTTGCCAAAGGCAAGGAGAATGCCTCAGGAGGCCTGGACTCTTAGGAGCAGTGGCTGCTATTCAGGAGGATGTCCATGGCAGTGCCCTGGGTCACATGCTAAGGATGGGAAGGAGCAGCCTGGGAAGCCCTGACAGGGAGGGCCAGCTGGAGAGGCAAGGTTCAGGAGGGAGGCGAGGTTTGCCATGAGAAGTGGAATTCAACTCTGGGTTACTCCAAATCAGAGCACCTCGCCTGGAGCCTTCACCTGGGTCTTGGACAGATGATATCAGACCTTCGAGATGAAACATCAGATTTGTTCCCCAATCTCCTAACAGCTCTTAACACGATACTATGACCCACATTTCAATATGAGGAAACCGAGGCTCAGATTCATGGAGTCTGTGAACTAGGATATTAAAAAAAAGGTGACATCTTTATTTTCACCCACCTCTAACTAAAATTTACTATTCCCTTAAATTACAAATTTAGTAACAAATTAAAATAGTCTGATCAGTGCCTTCCACTTCATCACCGCAAGAAAGCACAGACATTTTCCTCATCATCCCACAGTGTTGCAGATACCTCTAGACAGAACTTATGCTTATCACTGCTGCAAAATGATAGTCACTTGACACGAGGTAAGGTGCTAACAAGGAAACATATTCCTACTTCACGATTTAAAAAATATTTTAAAAACTGTGCTTCCATATAATTGGCTTCCTTTACAATGCCATATCTTTTATTTTATGCATTTCAAAGCATTGTTCTGAGACTGCTAAGTGTTCCATGGCACAATAAAGGTTAAGACCTCCATCCCCCATGATGAGTGAATGCAGTGCCCGGTGCAAAGTAGGGACCCAAGGATAGTTCACCCATCATCCTTCACAAGGTGACAGAGACAGATGGTGGCTCAGTGCAAGAATAACCCGATTGCTCCTCTTCTGGAGGACCCTGGAGAGCTCCAGAGGAGACTCACCGAGCCTTGCAGATCAACCTGAGCCTCTGCTCCCTCTGCTAGCACTCCCTTGCCACTCAGGGCTCTGCCTGGGGTCTGCTCACACCACAGTCCCACCTCCCAGCTCAGTGCAGACCACCACTCGGTGCTGAGCTCCCAGCAGAGCCCAAGCCCTGAGGCAGCCCCCCGGACCTCCCTGTACCCCCTACCTTGTCTCCCTGCTTCTGTTCTGCCTCCCCTAGCCCCACCCCACCTTCAAAGCCACCTACCACATTACAGCGTAGTGAGGTTTTAAAAACATCCCAGCACTCTGGGAGGCCAAGGCGGGCAGATCACTTGAGGTCAGGAGTTCGAGACCAGCCTGGCCAACATGGTGAAACCTCATCTCTGCTAAAAATATAAAATTAGCCAGAAGTGGTGGTGCGTGCCTGTAATCCCAGCTACTCAGGAGGCTGAGGCAGGAGAATCGTTTGAACCTGGGAGGCGGAAGTTGTAGTGAGCCAAGATCACTCCAGCCTGGGTGAAAGAGGGAGACTCTGTCTAAAAAAAAAAAAGTCCTGTCTCATATGTCCGCACTCCACTTTCAATGCTCCATCACTGTCCTTGCTCTTAGGATAAAGACCTAAATCCTCAGTCTGCTCCATAAGCCCCTGCCTCATCCCACACCCATGCCCCTCTCACTCCCACTCCCTCTATTTTCTGTTCCTCAGATGTACCCCCAGTCCCTCCCAAGTCGGTACCTCGCAGGTGCTGTTCCCTCTGCCTAGAATGCTGTTCCCCTTTCTCCTCACCTCCTTAACCCTTGCTGCTGCCTCACTGGGCCAGCTTCTTCTAACATGTGCTGTCATGGCTTCAGGGACCTTCCATCAGAGCACTTGCTGTGGCTACATTTTACACATTTTATTTAGACATATTTATAATATGTAATTCTGGTCTCAGTGTGTATTAGTCAGCTTTAGCTAAGATATGCTTAGATAACAAACCAGCCCCAAACCTCACCAACTGACAACAATAAGGATTTACTTCCTGCTCTGGCCACACATCATCCCTGACTTTATTCTGCATGTCATTTTCCTTCCAGGATCAAGGCTGAAGTAGCATCTCCACTCGGGACATGCATTTCCCATGGCAGAGAGAACACAGCAATGGCAGGACCACGCGATGGTCCTTCTGTTCACAGTGGCCACACCTTCCATTGGTAAAGCAAGATCCATGGCCTGGCCAGAGGGTAGTGTAGAAGCCTCAACCTCCTGCAGTGTGAGACACTGCAAATTCCAAGCAAAGTCCCAGTGGGCAAAGGTCTTCTGATCTCCTTCCTGGAGGCAGCCAATAATCGGGGACAGAGGACAGCCTGGCACATCTCACTCAACAACTGTGTGCTCCTTAGGGCAAGATTGAGACTGCGTTTCCTCATCATCGAATCCTACAGGATGTGTGAATGGGTGGCAGGCAAAGGAAAGAAAATCATGGAGGATGAATTCCAAGTTTTGTATCCACTGAGGACAGGGGCCCAGCCCAGGTCGTCAGGGGTGAGGAAGGGAACACACGGGGACAGCTACACTAATTTGTGGTCTCCTGGCAGCCGCCATATAGACCTGAAGAAAACTGGGGTTCTGGAAGGAAAGGGGCAGAGAGAAGCAGTGAAGAGATGAAGTAGCCACCACTGCACCAGCACGTCCTGAGCTTTTTGCTCAGAGCATCCCATAGCACTTGTTATCCCTTGTCTGGCTAAATGTGTGCAAGCTCCCTTTCCTCCCCTTCACTCTGGGCTTTCCCTTCTATTTCTGTTCTGTTAAAATTATCCAAGACTTCCTGCGTTGTTGGCTGACCCATATCCTTTTAGGAATGTAATGGAATCTTTTATTTTTTTTTAACCAAACTTATAACAGAGGGAATGGAATTTCTAACCTGATTTTACTTAGAGAGAAACTGACAGTCAGAACTTATGAAGTGACTTTGTCAACCTGTCACATCAAGTAGGAGTGCTCAGAGCTCAGTGTTCCTTCTGTGGCTCTGTCCTGGTCAGGGGGACGCACCTTCGCTCCACCCCGCTACGTCCCGCTGGAAGCCGAATTCAGCTGGTGTGGCCAGGGTCTGACTCAGGGCCACATGTCCCAAGTTCTCACTACTACTTTGGGGTCCCAAAGTATCTGGGAGTGGGAAGAACCAGCCACTGTCCCCTTCCCCACTTCCACCACCAGATTAATCCTCTTGCCACAACACAAAATCAGAACCAACACCTGGCTTAAGGATTGTGTATTTCTAAATCTTTCCACTCCTCAATTCTAACAATCAGTGGAGGCCAGACATGGTGGCTCACACCTGTAATCCCAATACTTTGGGAGGCTGAGGTGGATGGATCACTTGAGGCCAGGAGTTCAAGACAAGCCTGGGCTACATAGCAAGACCCCATCTTTACAATAAAAATTTTAAAAATTAGCTGGGCACAGTGACATGTGCCTGTAGTCCCAGCTACTTGGAAGGTTGAGGTGGGAGGATCACTTGATCCCAGGAGTTTGAGACTGCAGTGAGCTATGATTATGCCACTGCACTCCAGCCTTGGTAACAGAGTGACACTTTGCCTCTAATAAATAAATAAATGAATAAACACATAAAAGTAAAAGTCAGTGGAGAAATCTGATCTCAAATTTTCTGTGATTCTGGAAGCTGTCATATCTTTGGCCACACACTGACCTGGGAGGCGAATGGGGATGGGGTGGGGCAATAGGAGGGTGATGCTTTGGACTAGATTAGACAGAAGGGCACCCCAAATCATAAAGCTGCAGAGCAGCCGCTTATGAGAGGAAGCACAACCTTTGAGAGTGTGGCCTCCTAAAAGCTTTGACAGTTCCATCTCTCCGAGCTCACTTTGGGAAAGTCTTCTAAATTACCAAGACAATACTGTATTAAGAGAGATTTTGTATTTGGTGTATTTAATGAGCAAGCAACTCCCAAAAGACCTTTCAATAAAGCCAGTAAATTTAACAGGAGAAATGCATCAATTGGCTCTGCTGTGCTGGTTAAGAGGCCGCCGCTTTCTGCATTTACAGACCCCAGCGTGTATTATGCTAAGAAAGCCCTGGAATCAGTCTCTGAGAAGAGGGCTGAAAGGTGGGTGCAATTAAGCAGCTAACGTTCAGCCCCCCGCTGCCCCAGCTGAAATGATTATTTTAATGTAAAAGCAATGAAGTTGATGAGAAGTTGCTCAACTTAGGGAGCCACCTGCTCACCATCAGAATGTCCCTGCTCTGAAGAGTCTCTGAGAGTCAGGCTGTTCATAAAGGCAGGCCAGAGACCAAATCAAAGACTAAATACATAAAGGCATGCCGCACCCCAGACAGAGTGCACAAGTGAAATTGATTTATGGAAAGCAATATTGTGGGTTTTGACAAGAAGGGAGAGAAGATAAAATATTCATATCCATCATCTTTTTAATGTGACTGCAGGCCATCTTGGTGCCCTTGGGTGGAAGTTAAATATGGGGTAGAGACTTTGGAGGGTGACCAGGGCTCCGCATTGGGACAGAAAAATGGCCCTGTTGTTGCCCATGAGCATTGCAGAGCCTGTGCCAATCACTTCCCCCACCCAGCTCCCAAAACTCAGATGAAAACTCTGCTGGTGGTTTTATCGTCTTTTTTTTTAATTAATAAACTTTATCTGTCAGAGCAATTGTAGATTCACAGCAGAATTGAGCAGAAAGTACAACAAGAGTGTCCATATACCTTTTGCCCCATCTGCACACAGCCTCCCACTATTGACACCTGCACCACAGCTGCACATTTCTTACAATGGATGGACCTGCACTGACACATCATCACCCAAAGTCCATAGTCTGGTGGTGTTTTGTAAATGGAATTCAAACACTCATTCTTTCAACAGATGTTTACTGAGCACTTACTACAGGCCACACTCCAGTTAAGGGGCTGAAGAAACAGAAGTAACAGGCAGCTCCCACCCTAAAGTAGTAGACATCAAAAGAGGAAAATTTGGTGAGCTCAGGCCTCCAGTAAAAATCCACAGATAATCTGTTCATCATGAAACACCTGGATTACACAGGCTATATCACTTAGCTTTTTCTGCAAAATGAAGTACCCCAAAATGCAATGGCCTGAAACAAGTATTTATTTAGCTCCTGATTCCAGAGGTTGGCTCGCTGGGCTGGACTCAACAAGGCAGGTCTTTTGGGCTTGGCTGGGCTGCCTCTGTGGTCAGCTACAGGCCACAGGTTGGTAGGGCGGCTCCACTTGTAGAGTCGGCTGGCTATCAACTGGGGCAAGGTAGGGCTGGAAAGGGGTCCCTGGCACACAGGTCTGCCATCACCCAGCAAACTAGCCCAGGCTTGACCACAGGCTGTCTCGGGGTTCCAATAGCAAGGAGCGGGCAAGCCCCAAGCACAAGCCCTTTTCAAGTTCTTGGGTCAGGTTCACCCAGGCCCACTGGTGAAAGCAAGTCAAAGGGCCAGCTGGTTGAAGAGGTGGAGAAAGACTCTCCCTCCCAGTAGGAGCTCCAAGGTCTTTTTGGATGGGCACAAATACAGAATGGGGAAGAATCTGGGGCCACTTTTGCCCTCTGCCACATAGATGTGTCTGGTTGGAGAGAAAACACAGAAGCAGGAGAATCATTCAAATCCCTCTCCTGTTCAGCATTTCTTCTCAGCTACCACCCTCCTTACCCATCTTTCTTTACCTTGCAAACTTCCCAAAAGAGCAGATGACTCTTGCAGTCTTTGCCCTGGCTACTTGCCTGTCTCTGCTGCAGTGGGGACACCACTCCACCCAGCCTGCTCTCGAGGAGTCCGGTGGAGATCCTGTGGGGACACCACCCCACCTAGCCTGCTTTTGGTGAATCCGGTGGAGATCCATTAGGGACACCACCCCACCCAGCCTGCTCTCGGTGTGTCCAGTGGAGATCCAGTAGGGACACCACCCCACCCAGCCTGCTCTTGGAGAAGCCAGTGGAGATCTGCCAATTGTAACCCTGGATGAGGTTCTTCCATCTTTATCATCCCTTCTGTCTTGGCTACATTTTGCACTGCTTGTCTCCCCTGTCTTCAGCATTCTCTTTACCTGTGCTCAAGTGTATGCCTGTGCAGGACATATGTGCCCCCACTATGGGAAGGATTATAATTCCCTCTCTTGTGGACCCCAGGCTTGGCCTGGGACTGGCTTTGGTCAATAAAATATGAGCAGGAGTGACATCTGTCACTTTGGAGCAAAAGTCTCAAGAAGAAGTGCACGGTTGTGATTGCCCCTTTACCTCTGCCATGAAACAAGCAGCATCATAGGGAGAAGCTATGTTACCCACACAATGACTGGGCTTTCTTGCTTAGTGGGTGACAGTCCAATGACCACAACCAAGGAGAACTTAACAAGGGAATTTTATGACTTACAACAAGTAAGATGGACACAAGGGGTAGTTCCCAAAGCAGTGCCTCCCAGAACACAGGTAAAAACAGGGCTCTTGTTGGGCTGGAGAGCTGAGTCATCGTATGCAGAGGTGGAATAAAGTCAGCACAGGTGCAGTTGCAGATCATGCTTCTACATAAGTCACATGTATAGAAAATGGTGAGTAAGTTCCTTTCTGGGCAGGGTTTTTAGTATGGATATATGGATAATTCGTCAAAGATCACCTCCAACTCAAGCATTTCTGCATCCAATCAGTTTTTGTTTTACCAGGGCTGGGCTTCTTCCTAGAACTTTTCTGAAACAGCAAGAAGTCAAGGTGTGACAGTTGCAAGTGGGCCTTTTTTTCACAGTGTGTACCCAAAAAAACAAAACCCAGGGACCCTGGGTTACAGCTACACCATCAGCCTGGACCCTGGCAAAAGGCACAAGCTATCTTGACATGGTTGTTACTCCATCTCTGTTTCTGAGATTTGGGGGCTGTTTGTCACTGCAGCACAACACAGCAGACCCTGACTGATACAGTATTCTCATGGTTTCCATTGCACCACTCTTCTTTGTTTCCGGGCTGCCACTCTTGCTGCTCCTCTCTTTCTGCCCATCCCGCAAATGTTGCTGCTTGTGTTCTGTATTTGGCCTGCTATTTCTCACTCATTTACTCCCTGGTTTCACTATCTCTCAATGACTCCCAGGTCCAGATCTTCAGCCCAGATCTATCCTTCAAGCTTCTGCCTCATATGTTTAGTTGTTTCTGAGTGTATCGTCTGGATGTTTCATGGGTACCCCAAGACCTGCCCCACTGCTGCATTCCAGATCTCCATTGTTGGCCCCTTGTCCATTAGCTCACCAAATTGTCTTGTCCTTGACTGCTCACTCTTCCTCAGTAGCATCTCAGCAACAGAACATCACACTCAGTGAATGCAATATCCTACATCCATCCCCCAACTCCCCTCCTATTCATTCTGCCTCCACTTCCTCAGTTCCAGCTACCAACCACTATTTCCTGAACCATGGCTACAGCCTCTGATAACCTTTATTCTTTCCTCAAGCCTTGTTTCCCACTCCCTCCATCTGCCACCCAGCACAGACCATAGCTCATCTTGGCAGTGTGTGAGAACTATCAAAAATATACATCTGGCGAGGGTGACCTGTTTGCACCTGCCAAGGTTCCCCATCGCCCAAGACACAACCCAAACTCCTCACCAAGGCCTACAAGATCCCCACCAGTGGGATCCCTACCAACCTCACTCACCCACCCCAGCCTACGCATCTGCACAAGCCAGGATCCTTGTCGCATTGTGCCTTCCTAATGCTAGCCTCTCTAGCTGGCCAGCATGCACTATCCCCACCCCATACTCTGGATAAGGCCTACTTACTCTTTAACACAAGCCCAGATGTCATCTCTTCCAGGAAACCGTCCTTTACCACCACCACAAACACATACACACACAGTGGATTAGCACCAACCCTCCAAGCCTGTCCCCACCACGCAAATCTCCAGCACTGTGTTCATCCCACTAAAATGTACTTCACTGTTTGATGTCCCTCTCTCGTCTCTGATGATGCACTTCCCTACCATGCTGGCATTTACAACATGTCTTCCCTGTGACAGCTAACATGTGGAACTGGTCAAATGTCTGTCTTAGTGAGGGTGAGGGCAAATAAAACAGTAACCATTCAGGCCGGGCGCAGTGCCTCATGCCTGTCATCCTAGCACTTTGGGAGGCTGAGGCGGGAGGATCACTTGAGCCCAGGAGTTTGAGACCAGCCAGGGCAACATGGTGAAACCCCATCTCTGCTCAAAATACAAAAATTAGCCTGGCGTGGTGGTGTGTGCCTGTAGTCCCTGTTGCTGGGTGAGGTGTCAGAGCCCCAGCATCAGGAAGTAGTCGATTTGCAGGTTGGTAAGAATAATTTACCAACAACAGTACAGGTTTGAAAAAAGGAAGACTTTTTTTTCTTTTCTTTTTTTTTTGAGATGGAGTTTTACTCTTGTTGCCCAGGCTGGAGTGCAATGGCGCATTCTTGGCTCACCGCAACCTTTGCCTCCCAGGTTCAAGCGATTCTCCTGCCTCAGCCTCCCAAGTAGCTGGGATTACAGGCACCCACCACCACACCCGGCTAATTTTTGTATCTTTAGTAGAGATGGGGTTTTGCTGTGTGGCCAGGCTGGTCTTGAACTCCCGACCTCAGGTGATCTGCCCGCCTCAGCCTCCCAAAGTGCTGGGATTACAGGCATGAACCACTGCGCCCAGCCGAAAAAGAAAAGTTTTATTAGAAAAACAGAACAATGCAGAAGTATGCAGCAGGACACCTTGGCAAGCAAAGACCGCGTGCGTTTACTTTAAATCCCTCATACAGGAGTTTCTTGTGTGTGTCTGGATGGCCTACTCGATGGCCGCCAGGTGGTCTTTGCTCCCTTCATTACACCTGGATGTCGCAGTGAGCTGTGACCATGCCACTGCACTCCAGTCTGGGTGAGAGAACAAGACCCTGTCTCAAAAATAATAATAATAATAATAGTAATAACCCTTGTATACAATGTCCAGTTTTCAGCCAGTCTATGAATCCCGGGTTCCAGCTCCATGCAGCACCCTTTCCATCCTCCAGGTCGGTGTTCCCACAGTGGTGTGCTACCCTCGACATCCCGAATCCTGATGTCACCACTCTAAACAAAACATTTACCAGCACCCTCCCATGGCGGCACCGTGACTGCCCGCACAAGGGCCCCCACGTGTGAGTTCTCCCACCCACGGGGTTGCATGCTGGGTGCATGCCTGCTGCCCAGCTCTGATTCAGAACCACATGTATGAGATCTGCTGTGCCAGTGCTGTGTGCTTATCTCATTAATCCAGAAGCAATCCATCAGGTCAGCTGGAACAGATCCCTTTCACAGTTAGGAAACTGAAGCACAGGTAGGTGAGTAAGTTTCCCCAGGGCACACAGCTTCTAAAGGGTTGAACTGGGTTCTGACCCAGGTAGGTGTGGTCGGCCTCCAGGGCTTGCTCTGAACCATGTCCCACCGAGCATGAAACATCTAAGAGCTTGAGTCCGGGATGGACTGATTGTTATTCAGATTTAACTTGCCCCATCATTTTGGTCTAATATCTGACCATATTATTTTTCTGAAAATTCAGCACCTGAGACACGGGTTGCAATGAAAGGAACTGGCTGCAAGTCTCAGCTCAACTACACTGTCCATGTGACTAACCCCTCTGACCCTCGGCTCCCCTTCTGCAAGACGGGTGGTATTGCAGATGCTGGAGCAAGAATTCCCAGAGGTAGCAGGGGCACCCCATTGCCCACCCAGAGTTCTTCTGGGGGAACCTCCACTATTCATTTCCACTGGAGAAAAGCCAGGGACACAGTGCCCTGGCCACACTTGGGCTGTCTAGGGGACAACAAAACACAACCAGCCAAATGGCAACAGGAAAGCACCAGTTGTTCCATCTACCCAGCACTGCAAATGGACTTGGCCATTTCAGTGTCTTTCTCGGCTGAAGTGATTGATTGTTTCGGCATCATAGGGGCAACCTGGACTGGATGCCAGAGTATCTCATCAGTTCCGTCAGACCAGGTGTCAGGCTGCCGGGAGCCAGCCACCAGCGCTCCAAGGATGCTTTCCCTCACAAATGGGTCACGGTGTGGAAGAACCGGTGGAGCTGAGTCGGTAACCAGGTGCTAACCAGCTGTTCAACTGGAATCAGCTATTTTTGTGTGTTTTCTGAATCCATTCATGCAAGATATTTGATCAGCCCTACTCTGTGCCTTGCACTAAGGATTCACTAGCCAAAAAAACCGGGCTCTTTCCCCAAGAAGTTCATCATTCAGAGAGAAGTCAAGCAAATAAAAATGCAACCGATGCACGCACCACAACAGAAAAGATGCAGCCCCATCTCGCCCGGTGGCAGCATGGTTCTGACCAGCATGGCATGCACACTGTGCCCCACCAAGGACACAATCCTCATGGCTCTGCTTCTCTCCTTCCTGATGCTTCCTCCCCACTCTACCCAAAGCCCCCTCCTCCTTCCAAGCCCGCCTGCCCTAGGAGCCCGCCAAGGACTCTGTCACACCCATAAGTCCCCCTCCTCTGAATGTTTGGCTTACTGCTTGCTTGGTTTGCCCAGTCTCTTAGAAGGGAACTATGCTGCCCCGTATCACAAACTATGCTATGTGCAAACAAACACACAAACAAAGCCTGTTTCAGGTAGCCCAGATCATGTGTCTTCATTTTATTACATGTAGGTAAGCAACAACAACAAAAAAGTCACCTGTTACTATGAACAATTTGATGTCTGATCTTCCAGTCCTTTGTTCTGTGAATACATTTGCTTGTCTGGATATTTCACTGGTGTTGTGTTGTTTTGTAACTGCTTCTTGAATGCAGGAATTATGCTCTCCCGATCTCTGCACCCCCGAAGGACCTCACTTCCAGTGCAAGCTCACAGCCTTGTTGGGTGGCTATTTTCAATGACAAGAGCTCACAAGGCTGAGGACTTCTCATGCCCAGGCCCGCTGCCACTCAAGTCTTCAGGGCCCTTGAGAAGGAGCTGCTTCTGGGCATAGGGCACTGGCTACCCAGTGAGGGGCCTACCAGCAGGCTGCTGAGCTCTGGTTCCCCTAAAAAGGGCTCCTCTCAAGGAAATCTCACCAACCAGACTATCAGATCCACAGCTCAGACATATCCTCTATGCCTGACCCACTGCGGGAGGGTGAGCTAAATGATTGGTGGCCCCACCACCTTCTCTGGAGGAACTCATTTCTCATGGGTGATACAGACAAGGGAAGCTCAAAGAGGAACACCAAGAGGAAGAGAAGGGAGGGGTGGTGAATTTAACCTGTGGGAGCCTCCAGCAGGTGTAAAACTCAAGGTCTTACACTGTCCCTTTAGAATCAGATCCTGTTCATTCATTTATCTGCATCCTACAAGTGTTCTTGGAACACCTACTATATTCTGGGTCTTTTTCTAGTCTCTGGGGATGCAGCAGCAGACAGCACAGATAGAGGCCCTGCCTTCATGGTGCTCATATTCTCATGGGAGTACAAACAAGTGAATGGATAAGCAAGCTGAGCTCCAGAGGGTAGCATAGGCAATAAATGGAGAGACAGGATAGAGTGGCATATGGTGGGGAGAGGGAGGCTGCTCTACATTGAGTGGTCAGAGAAGGCCCTTCTTAGGAAGTAAAACGTGATCTCTTACAGAATAAGAGATCAGTCCTGCCAAGCAAAGACAGGGGCAGAGGCTGCAGTAAGCACAAAGGCCCTGGGGCAGGAAAAAGTTCTGCATCTTTGAGGAGCAGAAAGTAGGCTCCTTTCTAGAGTAAAGTGGGGTGGGGAGCATAAGATGAGGTCAGTAGGGGTAAGGACCCTACAGGCATGCTGGGGAGCTGGGATTTATTCTAGGAGACATAGAACAGGACTGGAAGGTGTTGTTCACCAGGGGCTTCACAGAGCAGAACATCCTAGAGCTGGGCCAGGCTTGGGTGCAGCCCCAGGATAAGATCTAGAGACGATGAAAGTGGAAGGCAGATTGAATGGCTACACATAGTTCACCAAATATCTTCATTTTCTCCCTTTAAAATAGCACCATAACCAGGCACAGTGGCTCATGCCTGTAGTCCTAGTTACTTGGGAGGCCAAGGTAGGAGGATTGAGTGAGCCCAGGAGTTCGGAACCAGCCTGGGCCACATAGCAAGACCCTATCTCTACAAAAAAATACAAGAATTAGCTGAGCATAGTAGTATGTGCTTGTTGTCCCAGCTACTCGGGAGGCTGAGATGGGAGGATTGCTTGAGACCAGGAGTTTCAGGTTGCAGTGAGCTATGATTGTGCCACCCTGCACTCCAGCCTGGATCACAGAGTGAGACCCCATCTCCAACAAAATAATAATGATGCACTTTTTTTTAATGGCCTGACAGCTAGAAATGTGGGGCACTGGCTTTCCAAGCTATAGATGCCCCAAACTCAGTGACCTCCCATGGGATGCTGACCCCGCCCCACCCCCCACCTTCATGCCACCCACCTCCACTCATCAGTGGCTGGAGGGACTGTAGTTCATTCTGCCAACAAGTCCTTACTGAAGGGCTTCCATGGGACCTATGATAACCAAGCCCCATCATGCTGAGGTCATGGCCATGGCCTCTGACCTCATGAGGCTATACTTTGACAGGAGAGCCAGATACTAAGCAAATGCTCCACATATGCATCATTTCAACCCAGAAGAGTGTGAAGAAGAAGATGAAGGTGTTAGGGGCACTTTATTATAGAGGGCTAGTGTAGACTAGGGCTTAGGGGAGGAAGTTTTTCATCTGAGATGTCAAAGCCCAGTGGGAATGAACAAGGTGAGGCCAGAGCAGGGCGGGGACAAGTACCAGAAGAGAACAGCATGTGCAAAGCCCTGAGGAGATCATTTGGTGAACAAGACAGACATATCCCCTGCCCTCCTGGAGCCGACAGCCTACCGAGAAGAGGAAATGAGTTCAAGTCCAGCCCAAAGGCAGATTCCAGCTCCCACCACCGGCACGGAGGCCCACAGTTGGCCTGGATATCAAGGCCCAGCCTCAGTACAATCCCGTCAAGACTCTTAGAAGCATGTTCTTTTAAAAAAAATTAAAAAGGCTTTGGGCAGAGCAGTTAGATGCCCACAGCACAGTGGGGCGACCACCACCTGAGCCCAGGGTCTTCCTAGAGGTTTAGACACAGAAATTCTTTATCAAGCTCAAGCTTTTCCTTCCACTCAGAGGGCAGCCCTTTCTGGGCTTTGATTTCCCCATCCCTCAAATGGACAAGGCAGCCTGACCTACTCCACAGGTATTTCCTGGGGGCCAGATAAGATAATAGTCATGAACACACTTTACAAATGCACCTTTTTGAAAAACAGCCCGGCAGCTGGAATGAGGAAGGCACAGTCCTTCAGTGACTGGGGCTCCCAAATCTTCCTGCAAATATCCACTGAGGAAAGAAATCCTCAAGGGAATCAAAAGTCACTATAATATCGACTGCTTAGGAGCATGGGCCTTAGAATCAGAGCAAGGTAACACTGGGCCAGCGCCTCTACCCTTCTGAAACTCCATTTCTGCAACTATAAAGTGGAGATGGTAAGAGTGCCCACTTCATGGAGCTTTGGTGAAGATTACATAAAAGGGTGCATGTGATGTATCTAGGACACTAAGGCCTCATTGATACCGGCAATTGGTATTATGATCCAGGTTCCCCCAGATCTGACATTTCTAAAGCTGGCAGAGCCATCAGTCCAGAACTACCACAGTGCTCCTTGTCCCCTGCCCCTCAGTGTCACAGTCAACATCAGGAGTCAGGACAGAGGTGGGCGAGGGTCAGAGGGGTGCCTGGGAAACCGTATTTCAAGAAAGCTGAAGAAAGGGGATGATTTCAAGTTTTCAGCTTCTAGAGAACCTGGCCTGCTCCCCATCTGGCCTAGCCTTACTCTGGTACCCCAGGTTCTGGGCTTCCCATGGAACCAGCCTCAGGCTAAATCTACTGCAAAAATTCCAGAAGCCAGAAACAGAGAAGTGTTGGTGGTGGCAGGTGAGCCCACCAGCAACAGGGGACACCTACTGAAGAGGACAGTCCCAGCCACTAGGTACAAAACCGGACTGAAAGGGGTCCCAAAGCAAATGGAAAGAATCCAGGACCCACGTGCTTATTGTTTGTTAAAATCAAAGATAACATTCCAAGCCTTGTTAAGGTGAGGGCACACACTCTCTAGACTCGAGCAAAAGAGTTTCAAATACAGATGGGACAGAAAAGAGCATGAAACCCAGGGGAATCAATGATCCTGGGTTTTGGGGGAGCAGACATGTGCCTTGGGACATGGTGAGTGTGTGCACCTGTTCGTGCACACGTAGGTACCCGTGCATGCCCGGGGGAAGGAGGGGTTGCTGGAGAGTGTGTGCTGGAAGTGGCTGCAAAAGAAATAACTTTTTCCCAACACAACCTTGGAAGACAGTGCGAGCTTTATTTCAGGCAAATGGCTGTAGTCAAAGGGGTCCAGTTGAGACTTTTCACCCTTGGCCTTCTCCCTTGCTCTGTCTCTGTGTCTAGTTTTCTTCGCTCCTGTCTCTCTTTCTGTGCCCCAAGGTCTTTTATTCTCAGTTTCTTTCTGCTTGTCTCTGCCTGTCTCAATGTCTCCATCTTTCTCTGTCTCTGCTTCTCACTGTCTGTCCATCTGTGTGTGTCCCTGCCTCCTGTTTCTTTCTCTCTCTCCACACACACACTCCTTTGGGATTCCATTCCTCCGTTTCTCGGTCTCTCTCTCCCTCCACGTGTCTCCTCTCATCTCTCCCCCTAACAATCTTATATCTTCCTTCATCCCAGGAACTCCTTTTCTTTCAGCTCCATCAGCTGCTTCCTCTCCCTTTGTGCTAGGAGAGGTGCTGTCTTCCAAAGGAGCAGAATCCTGGGAGAAACAGGATTTCCAGGTCTGAATGCTTAATTTCATATTCCCGTCCAACAAGGGCAAAGATTCAAGCCACATTGTATCCTGGCTTATCACACATTCCCCACCAGCCCTGGTGAAATCACCCTCTTCTCCTCCCCAAACGGGTGCCTGGCTGTTCCTCCTGAGAAGGGGGTACATTGCAGGGCTCTTTTCAATGGTTTTGGTCCCCAGAAATTCCAGGCAGGATCCTCTGCCACTCTCCAGAGAGTGGGCCTGGGACTCGGGCAAGGTTCAGCTGGCTCGGATTTCCCGAGGTTCACATCTAGGCTCTTTATTTTGTTCTATTCCATCCCAAGAACAAGTGCTTGCTGGCTTCCAATTGTAACCAGTGATCACTGGTTACAACTTGTAAAAATGAAGACCTAAATAAAATGTGTACAAGTTCCTGGACAATTTAGTGAATGAATACACACACATAATTCTAAACAATGTGCAATATGAACTCATGTACTCTTTATAATGTATCCCCATTTTTCAGATGAGGAAATTGAGGCACAGAGAAGTTAGAAAACTTGCCAAGGTCACACAGCCGCACAGTGTATTTGAGCCCAGCCATCCACCCTGGGGCTCCGGCTCGGAAGTGCCGCCCTCTGCTGCCTTCCCGTGGCCTGCAATGCAGTCCTTCTGGTGAGCACAGTGCCCTCCTCACCTTGGTTCCTAGAACAACAAAGCCCTTCCCTCCCCAGAGCTTTGGGGCTGAGCTTCCTTCCCCCCACTTTTCTGCAGGTCTTGTTGCCTCTCATCCTTCAGGTCTCAGCCCAAATATCATGCTCAGGGACCCTCCCTGAGACCCCCCCAGGAAAAGAGCCCCTACCCCAAGTTCCCCAAGACATCACACTACTTATTTCCTTCAAAGTTTATCACCTTGGGATGTCCCCGCTAGTTTTTATCTGTTTTCTTGGTTACTGTCTTTTTCCTTTCCTGGAATGGAAGCTCACTATGGATAGAGACCGGATCTGTCTTGTTCCTAGCAATAACCACAACAGAACAGAATCCAAGCTGCAGAAAGGTCTAGTAAACTAGTAAATGCAAGTAAATGGAGCTGGCACAGCTCAGAGGAGTGAGGTGGCCAGGGATGTTTCAGGAGGAAAGGATGGTGAGCAGAGGCATAGAGGTACAAAAACATGATGTGGGACAGGCACAGTGGCTCACACCTATAATCCCAGCACTCTGGGAGGCCGAGGCTGGTGGATCACTTCAGGTCAGGAGTTTGAAACCAGCCTGGCCCACATGGTGAAACCCCGTCTCTACTAAAAATACAAAAATTAGCCAGGTGTGGTGACAGTTGCCTTTAACCCCAGCTACTGGGGGGCTGAGGCAGGAGAATCACTTGAGTCCAGGAGGGGAGGTTGCAATGAGCCGAGATCGCACCACTGCACTCCAGCCTGGGTGACAGAGAGAGACTCTGTCTCAAAAACAAACAAAAAAATGTCATATGTACCAAGGCGTGCAGTCCGTCTGTGCCACACACTTTCAGGGGTTGTGTTGGCAGGAAAGATCCATCAGCTCCGATCCTGTATTTGAGGATGCAGATGAGCTTGAATTGTGGGCCTTGAATGCCAGGCTTAGGAGTCTGGGGTTTACCAGCAGGCAATGAGGAGCCAGTGAGGGAACTAGAGAAGCGCCGTCTGCTCTGGTTTTGGGAGCTTGACCCAGCAGGGTGGTGGGGCAAGGAGAGGCTGCAGCAAGGAGATCCCGTAGGACCTAGAGGAGGACTCTTCCTGGCAGGAAAGATCCAGGATCTTGGGGGAGAGGCAGTGGTGGGGGAGCAGAACTGAGAGGGAAAGAGCCTCCCGTCGCCTGAAATTGCCCAGATGTATTTTCTAAAAATCAGAGCAGGTCGGGATCTTTGTTTTCTCTTTTCCCCCTGCCCACTTCAGGGCGATGAGGAGTAGATTGTGTTTCCAAACACATCAGAAGAATCTGCAGTGGAAGTTGGAAGAATAACCCCAGGCTTCTTGGTCTAATTCTCAAGGTCAACTGATATCATTAGAATAACATGAACTCAATTTGAGTTACAGCAGGGAAATCATGTTAGGAAATATGGGTCACTCATCACTGAGTAATGAAGCTGTTACCTTGCGCGATCGGAAACGCGCTTGCACAGAAACCTGTCAACTGTCCTCGTCCCATTGTAGGGCTGGCTTTTAACAATGGAGTCGCCCACAAAAACCAAAGCCCACTCCGAGAGGGAGGATTGAGCAGGGACAGCTTTGGTACCTGCAGCCTCAGAGCCAGCCAGAAGGGCAGGATGTCCTGGAACAAAGGCCGGATTTGTTCCCATTGGTTTTCATTGAGAAGCTTTCTCTGTGATTCTTGAGATTCTCTTTAAAGGCCACAGTGGGAAATGGGGTCAAGGGAAATGCCCTAAGGTCGAAGAACAGGCAAAACCCTGTTGGTTGAAGAGAGAAACA
The DNA here is from genome assembly GCF_000001405.40 of Homo sapiens. Classification (NCBI taxonomy): domain Eukaryota; kingdom Metazoa; phylum Chordata; class Mammalia; order Primates; family Hominidae; genus Homo; species Homo sapiens. The sequence goes on from NC_000016.10 coordinate 49,439,374, forward strand.
CCAATGCTTAGCACAGAAGAACTAGGCTCCAACAGTAGCCCATGCAGAGAGTAAGAGTCATGACATGGATGAGTAAATGAGGGTGGTGGGTTAGGCATACAATGGAGTGGTGAGACACCCCCCTCAACACACACACCTACTTTGCAAAAGGGATCGCTCCTGCACAGCTAGAAAGTGTGCCAGCACAGTCAGGTCTCCCAATATTTCCATGAAACCTAGGAATTCAGAACTTTATGTAAAAATCTCCTTATTTTAGAACAGTGGTAACTCACTAAAAATAGTGGTACACAAAACATGAATCGGTGCTGCCAGTTTGTGGCTTATGGGGTTAAGAAATGCTGATGGTACTCTGTCAGAGATTACAGCCCTGGGTTAGGAGGCCTCAGTTTCCACAGACTTCCAATGCCACCATGAGGGAGGGGGGCGGCCCAGCTAGGGAGCAAACCTGGGCAAGCACTCGAGCTCCTTAGAGTGGACACCGAGCTCTGCCCAAATCCCCAAAAGCCTCCTGGGAACAGCTGCTTAGGCATGCTGGTGGCTCTGCTCCTGGCTGAGCCCATCTCAGAGCCTTACCCTCAGCCAAGAGACACTTCACACACTGACACCCCCCACCCTGGGGTGGCCACATCTAATGGTCAATGTTGGGGGCCGGTAGAAAAGCCTGGATTCTTCACCCCAATTTGGAACATCTCTGAATGATCACAGCAGTGCCAGGGCTCCCAGGGGATCAACAGAGGCCTTTGCTATGACTGCATCACCGCCCATCTCCTTCTCTGCCCCATCCTGAGTCCCTCTCTCCCTACAGAGGCTGGTTCTGCATACAAATATCCACCCCAGAGCCTACCTCCCAGGACACCCAACGGTGACACCCTCTAAACCCTCATGTTCTCATGAGTCCTATGGAGAGATTCACCCACTTTACCATGCCTTTGAGAGTGTAAGGAGATGGCACAGGCAGGCAGCCTAGATGGGAGTGTGCCATGCGTGTGGGAGGTGCTCAGTGACTCCTTGCTGAACATCATGGACCGAGAGCTTAGAAGAAGGCAAGAAATATGTGGCGATAGTTCCTAACCACCTGGAGTTCACTCCCCTAAACCAGAGCTTCTCACCCTTGGCACTGTTGACATTCTGGGCCGGATAATTGTTTGTTGCAGGGCAGGAGGGGCCTGTCCTCTGGGCTACAGGGTGTTTAACAGCCTCTACCCACTAGATGCCAGTAGCAACCCCCAATTGTGAAAACCAAAAATGTTTCTAGACACTGCCAAATGTCCCCTGAGAAACAAAATTGCCCCTGGCTAAGCAGCGCTGCCCTAAATCATTAAAGTTCCCTGAGCCACCTCTGAGAGAGAGTCACGGTTTGGGGCCAAAAGTCAATCAGGGGCCCTTCCTAGGCCCCTCCACAGGGAACAGGGAATCTCAAGTAAGGCCAAGGGGAAACGTGAGAAACGTGGGGCAATGGCAACAGCCCACGCACGGGGGTGGGGACGCTGCTTCAAACCCCAGCCACGCATCCTGCAACCCGCACAGGCCGGTCCCCTTCTCCCAGCCTCAGCGTCCTGAGATGGGAAATGGAGACAGCAATTCCATTCCTTCGACCTGCCAGGGAAGTTTCCCCAAACAATGGCTTGGTGCGTGTGCGTGTGAGAGTGTTCTGACAGCAGTAAACGTACTGTGCAGAAGTACAATGGGGTTGGCTCCCACAAACAACCATCTTACCCAAATTCAGCTAAGTGAGTGCAGACAAAGAGAAGGAGAGAGAAATAGGCAGGCAGAGGCGCATTTATTGACCCTGTCACTGTTCCCTCATCCCCATCGCCCCAGGGACAGGGAAGGCACAGCTAAAATGCCCAAGAGACAAACAAACAAACAAAATAAGTGAAATTCTCAGAACCCATCAGGTCCTAATGATTCACAGGATTTTTGAAGGTAAATTTTACTACAGAAGATGTTGCTGTATTGGGCAATTATCCAAGCCTTGAGTAGGGATATGACTGAGTTTTGTTTTTTACTCCAAAAGCAGTGAATAAAAAGCATTTCAAAGAAAGTAATGCCAACTTGACAAACCCATTCCACCAGCAGTGGGCAGCAGAAACAGGAGGAAAAAGAAAGTTTGCCTCTGAAACACCTGGTAGATGTAGACCCGGGCCTCCGCCTCCTCTCCACTGCCCGCCCTCCATCCTGCCCTCCCCGGAACAGACGGAAGCAGCGAGATCCTGAAATAGCCTCGCTCTCAGCGGTGAGACAGGAAGCCACCAGCCCCAGGCCTGAAAGCCATCATGCAGTTGACACAGGGACCCCGCTGATGCCGCGTCATTTACCTTCGGGGGACTCGCAGCCGCCCCCGCAGCCTGGGTTGGCAGGCCGGTGGAGGTCGGCCAGAGGCGTGCTCCCTGGGGCCATCCCAGGGAAGGCCCAATGATCACTTGCTCCAGAGCAAGTGGCTTCTTCCCCACTACCCTTCTCTGAAACCCCACACTCTGGTTCTTCCATCCCAGACCCAGAGGCTTGATTTACCCCATAAACAGTGTGGGGTCTATAGATTCTTTTCGGGGGCCATTAAACATGCTTGAGATCTAAAAAGAAAAAAATAATAATAATTGTGACTGTAAAATACAAGAATAAAACTGAAAAATCAAAATTACTAACAAGTTCAAAACCACAATTCTAAAACCCTTTTCACTTTTTAAGCAAAATAATTGTACAAAACAATTGCATTCTATGTAAGCTGAGTCAATTTTTTTTAGTCTATTGTTGTAGTGTGGAAAAGGTTCTCACACAGATCTTCAGTTGACCCCCCCAAAAAACTTACTCCTTTCACCTCCTAGAGGTAACTTTCTCTTGTCTTCCTGTGTCTAAATGGGACGGTGAGACAGAAAATCTGCAAGTCCGTACAACACCTCTCTTCCTGAATCTGCAGGACAGTCTCTGAGACTCCAGGGCACAGCCACTGTAAAAGCCAGTCTTCTGGAGCTATAGAGAGTTTTAGCACAGATCTGAATTCCTGGATGCATCCAGGAGCTAATTCTAAACGTCTGTCCCCCCAGCCCAAGATGTCAGTCACCTGTTTCATCTCTGCAAGTTTAATGGAAGATGCCAGGCTAGGAGTTAGGGGTGGGGGTTCTTAGACAAGCCTGGCCCTCTTTCTTATAGAAAGCGGAAATGCCATCGTTCTGCTCCAATGTCACCACCAAAAGTAGAGAAAAACAGGACAGACTGAGAGGGCCATTTTCATTAAGAAATAAGAGCTAGAAATAGCACCTTTCACCTGGGTGAAAGAGATCCAGTTCTTTGTGGAAGAGAAAGCTATTCTCACTGATTTCAGATGCAAACAAAGCGTGCCTGTGTCTTCCATCTTGACATCCACTTCCCTCACTTCCCTGACCTACAAGCCCTAAGCTAGGTCCATCCCAGCCCTGCCACTCTGCCCCTTCTCTACTGCCCCTTCTCCTCCAGGAAATCACATGTGGTTGATGGAGGGCAAATGCCTGCCCACTACCTGCCGGGTCCCCCAGTTGGCAGAAATCTTTCTCCACAGTCGGTGGGCAGGGTTGTGTTTATTTTGCAATTAACAAAGAACAAAGGAAGTGGCAGGGCGCTTGGAGGTGGTGCTTCTGGCTTGCTTTTGGGGACCTGAATTCCTGCCTTGCTCTTGGCTCTGTCGGCTCTGGCTCCTGGGGTGGGAGGGGAGTCACTGCCCTCAATCATTTCACAGCAGTCTGTGTCTTTTTTGGCCAGGTCACTAGCTGCAGCAGATGGGCCCTTTACTTTAAAAGAAAAGCAAAGAGCAAAGCTCTGCCCAAATGGGGCCCAGGGCGTGCTCAGGTCTGAGGTGATGAGTAAAGGTATCCCCCTTTACTCATTGATTGTGTCATTGAGGGACCAGCGGACCAAGAAATTCCCTGCCATGCGAGTGTCGGAGAACAGCCCCTTTGTCACGCCCTCTTCAAAGCGTGACCCGTGTCCCCGTGCACTACATTGGGATGAGACAGACCCCTGCTAACAAAAACAGGGAGATTTGGGGGTGCTTAGGGGGTGTTGAGATAGCAGATAGGGCTCCAAGTTACCTACGGTAAACAAAGCAAATTATATTTACTTCCATGGGAGCCTGAGATTTTGACAGCAAAGAGAGACTTATGGTAGAGTTGTTGCTGCATTTATATTTAATAAATTTAAGAGAGAGATGAAATAGACTTTAGCAAGGCTAGTGAAATATTTATAAAAGCACACCGAAGCCGTGTAAGGGAGAGAGAGGGAAATAAAACAGCTCGCATGTGGGATCAAATCGAGCAAGCCAGCTTTTAACCTGACAGCTCCCTGTGCACTGCGGGCAAGAGAGCTGCCAATGGGCCACAGATGCACCACACCTGAGCTAGCCGGGAAGACAGGGAGGTGTAGGGAGGGGAGGACGGGGTGCAGACGGGTGTGTGTGCACAGGCACAGCCAGCTCCATGCAATCCAGGGCATCTGTCACACCTGTCCAGCTGCTCAGGTGCGCCTGGCACCTTACAATGCCAAGCAGAGCACATTCCCCCACCCCTGGCCTACATCCAGTTAAGCCTATGGTCTGGTAGGAACATATGGGGCTCCTGGAGTTGGGGGGCCTTAGACAGTGGGGGCTGAACACCCTGGGCTTCCATCTCTTAGGAGAGCCTGTCTGTCTTCAAGCCACTGTCCGAAAAAGGTCTAGTCTTGGGATGATGAGATTGAAGGGAAATGCATTAGATTTGTTAACTTGCAGATTTATAACATTTTTTAAATGCACAAGTACTACATATTCATAGTGGAAAGATAAAAAAGAAAAACAACAGATAAATTAACAAACATGCAAACCCCATCACCTATATGCTCAATCACTGTTGGCGTTTCCAGACTGGCTGCACATCTTTTATCAAGGGTGATTTTAATATTATGCAGGATCATTTCAGAGCAAGCTCTACTCACTACTGACATGTTACAGAATGTGCTGCTCTTTGTGCATCTCGTCCTTACCCTCAGATCAGGGCCTTTCTCTCTTTTCCTGTCCTGATCCAAAACTAAATTTATCTTGGAGACCCATCTCAGTCCTGTCTCTCCAAAAAGACACTCACAAGACTTGTGCTTCCCTCCCCGTTTGTTTCTCCCTCCCTGCAGCCCCCATGTCATCTTTTAAGTCACCATGTTCATTCTTAGACTGTCTTGCTTGTTGGCCGTGCTGTGTGTTGACCTTTCTTGTCTTCCTATCCTCATGGAAGTTCCTGCATGATCTTTTATTTCTCTCTCTGCTTTCATCGAACATCCCCAGTACAGCTTAGGCCCACTGTGGGCTCAAGACAACACCCAACACCGCCTATAAGCACATCTTCTGGCTTCTGTAGAGTGCCGTGAATGACTTCTGTCCTCCCTTAGGGATTGCGATGACACTTGTCCTCCCAAGTGGCTAGAGAACAGGGCCTGAAATGGGGAGGTGGGAGACAGGAAGAGAAGTGGAAAACTGCTTTGCAGAAATCCCTTTGCCAAAAGCCAATCTAGAAATTCAGTTCACCAAATGACTGGCTGACCAGGCTACTGTGGGGTATTTTGGAAAGTTTTTGTTCTCTCACCCCAGTCTCTGCCCCTACCTCTGCCGTTCTCATGCAAATACACAAGTTGTCCCAAAACTCTGCCTCTGCACCTGGCTTTTGGACTTACAGTGGCTCCAGAGGACTCTGCTGGATGGAGGCTAAGATGTGTGTCTGATAGTTCACTCAGCAAAGGGGACTCTGCTCAACAAGTTTTCTGCACATTGGCTTCGTGAATTGACCTAGTTCCCCTCCTGGGTTGGAGTGTTGACTCTTCTGTCTTCTCATCCTCATGGAAAAACCTGCATGGTCCTTTATTTCTCTTTCTCTCTCTCTCTCTCTCTCTCTCTCTGTCCCTCTCTCCCTCTTTTTTCCCTCTCTGAGGGAGGCTCGGGGGCCCATCTCCCTGGCCCCTAAGGCCTCCACCTCCAGCATCTGGCCTTGTGGACCTGGGATCCTGACACCTTCTCCTTCTTCCAGCTGACAGCCTCCTTTCTGCAGTCCCTGAGCCCTGACATACAGGATCTGGCTCATTTGAACAACTGCAAGGAGGGGCTGAGTGTTACAGGCACCTACAAGAGGCAGAAAAACAAGATAGAATTGGGCCAGGCCTGGACACTGTCTGAAGCTCCCTGGAGACTTCTGAATGAGGCATAGAACACAGGGTAGGATAATCAGCTTCCTTCCTGTCTCCCACCTCCCCATTTCATGCCCTATTCCCCAGCCAAGCCAAGACGCCCTGTTCCTTCTCACGTCTAGGCCTTTGCAGAAGCTGTGACCTCTGCCTGGAGCACCTCCACTCCTCTCTCCCTCTCTGCTTTCTACTTTTGTTAACAGCTCTAGTGAGACTCTATTTACACACAATAAATTGCACACTTTTAAAATGTTCAATGTGACAAGTTTTGACATATGTATACACCCATGAAACCATCACCAAAATCAAGGTGGGAAACCTGTCCATCACCACCAAAGTTTCCTCCTGGCTCGGTAATCCCTCCCACTCACCTCTTGTCCCCATAGCTAAGCAACCACTGATGGGCTTTCTATGCAGATTAATTTGCAGTTTCTAGCGTTTTATGTATATTGAACCATATGCTATGCACTCTTTTTATCCCTGAAATGCTTCTTTCACTAAGCATTTATTTTGAGATCCATCCACATTCTTGTGTGTATCAGTAGCTCATGCCTTTCTTTTGCTAAGTGATATTCCATTGTATGAATGCCATGCAATTTGCTTATCCATGAATATGTAGGTTGTTGACAGTTTGTAGCCATTAAAAATAAAGCTGCTATGAATACTCATGTACAAGTTTTTGGATGTACACCTGCTTTAATTCAACTTAATAAATACCCTAGGAGTGGCATGGTTGGATTGTACGACAGGTGTATGTTCAAATTTCAAAGAAACCACCAAACTGTTTTCAAATCAGCAGAATAAAAGAGTTCTAGTTTTTCCACACCATGACCAACAATTGGTCTGTCTCGTTAATCTTAACCAGTCTAATAGATGATCCGTGGTAGCTAGCTCCTAGTGATATGAATTTGCATTTCTCTAATGGCTAAAGATGTTGAGCAGCTTTTCATGTGTTTATTGCCATCCATGTATCTTCTTTGGTGAAGTCTCTGTTCAAATCATTTGCCATTTTCCATTGTTTTGTGTTCTTATTATTGAATTTTGAAAGGTCTTTATATATTCTAGAAACAAACCTGTTACCAAATATATGGTTGAGAATATTTTATCAAATTCTGTGGTTTGTCCTTTCATTCTTCTAGTGGCAGCTTCTAAAGAGCATCAGTTTTTCATTTTAATGTAAATGTATCTTTAAAATGTAAATTTTAAAGTCTAACGTATCTTTTTTTTTTCTTTTAGGAGTCATGATTTTTGTGTTCTCTCTAAGAAACTTTTGCCCAATCCAAAGTCACAAAAGCTTCCTCCTGTTTTCTTAAAGAATTTGTATGGCTTTATATTTTACATTTAGGCTTATGATACATTTTGTGTCAAAGTCTGTATGTGTAAGGTATAAATCAGAGTTGACTTATTTTGTGTATTGACATCCGTTGTTTCAACACTATTTGTTGAAATGACTATCTTTTCTCACTGAATCACCTTTGCACCTTTGTCAAAAGTCAGTTGTCCACATGTAGAGACAGAGCTCTATTTCTGGGTTCTCTATTCTGTTCTATTCATCTCTTTCTCCGTCTTTACTCCAGTACTACAGGCTCTTGATTACTATGGCCTTATTCTCAGTCTCAAAATCAGATAACATTGGTCCCAACTTTGTCTTTTTCAAAATTGTTTTGGCTATTCTAGCTCCCTTTACATTTCCAAATCAATTTGAGAATCTTCAAAATAGCCTACAGGAATTTTGATTAGGGTTGCTCTGAATCTGTAGATAAATTTGGGAAGAACTGACATCTTAAAAATATTGAGTTTTCTGACCCATGAACAAGGCATGTCTCTATTTATTTAGATCTTCCTTAATTTCTCTCAGCATTGTTTTAGAGTTTCCAGTGTACAGATCTTACACGTCTCTTCTCAGACTTATCTCTAAGTGTTTCATGGTTTTTGATGCTACGGTAAGTGGTATTTAAAATTTTAAGTTCTGATGGCTCCTTGTTAGTGTATAAAAATACAACTGATTATGTATATTGATCTTGTATTCTGTAACCCTGCTAAATATCTTCATTAGTCCTAGTGGCTGTTTTATAGGTGTCATCAGATTTTCTATATAGACGATCATGTTATCTGCAAATGCAAACGTTTTTACTTCTTTCTCTCTTTCTTTGTCTTCCCCCTATTTCACTGGCTAGCGCCTCTAGTACAATATTGAATAGAAGCAGTGAGAGACGACATTCTTGACTTGTTCCTTAAGAGAAATACGTTCAATTTTTCATTATGTATGATGTTACCTGTAGGTTTTTCCAGTTAAAGAAGTTTTCTTCTATTCCTAATTTGTTGAGATTTTTTAAAAAATCATCAATGGGTATTGAATTTCATTGAATGTTTTTTTCTGTGGCTATTAAAGTGATCATACCATTTTTTCCCTAGTTTATGAATAAAATGAATTGCACTGATCAATTTCCTAATACTAAACCACCTTGGTCATGATATGTTATCCTTTGTATATGTCACTGAATTCAATTTCCTAAAATTTTACTTAGATTTTTTGCATCTATGTGCATAAAGGATATTGGTCTGTAGTTCCCTTTTCTTGTAATGGCTTTGTCTGGTTTTGAAGACAGGATAATTCAGGCCTTATAGGATGAGATGGAAATATTCCCTCTTCTTCAGTTTCCTGGAAGAGTTTGTGTGTAGTTGGTATTATTGCTTTTTTAAATGTTTGACAGAATTCACAAGTGAAGCCACCTTGGCCTAGGGCTTACTTTATCAGAAAGTTTTTAATTACAAATTCAATTATTTTAATAAACATGGAGCCATTCAGGTTTTCTGTTTCTTCTTGGATGAGATTTGGTAGTTTGCAATGTTCAAGGATTTTGTCCATTTCATCTAAGATAGAGAGATGTTCATAATACTCCCTTATTATCCTTTTAATATCTATATATTATGTAATGTTGTCAACTATCTCATTGTTGATATTTGGTCCTTTTTTTTTGAGATGGAATCTCACTCTGTTGTCCAGGCTGGAGTGCAGTAGCACAATCTCGGCTCACTACAACCTCTGCCTCCCAGTTTCGAGTGATTCTTCTGTTTCAGCCTCCCAAGTAGCTGGGATTACAGGCACCCACCACCATGCCCAGCGAATTTTTGTATTTTTAGCAGAGATGGGGTTTCACCATGTTAGCCAGGCTTGTCTCGAACTCCTGACCTCAAGTGATCTGCCCGCCTCAGCCTCCCAAAGTGCTGGGATTATAGACATGAGCCACCATGCCCAGCTGATATTTGGTAATTTCTGTCTTCCCTTTTTCTTGATCAGTCTGACTAGAGGCTTACTATTTTTATTGATCTTCTAAAAGAACTAGCTTTTGGTTTTATTGTTTTTCTGTTCTCTATATGCTCTATTTCATTAGTCTACTCTGATCTTTATTTTCTTTATTCTGCTTATCTTGAGCTTAATTTGCTCTTGTATTTTCTAGTTTTTTTAAGGCAAAAGATGAGATAACTGATTTGAGAGCTTTATTCCTTTCTAATGTCAGAATTCAGTATTATAAATTTCCGTGTCAGCACTGCTTTAGAGATATCTCACAAATCTTGAAATAATGTATTATCACTTCCACTCAGTTAAAAATACTCTCTTTCAGTCGGGTGCGGTGGCTCACGCCTGTAATCCCAGCACTTTGGGAGGCTGAGACAGGCAGATCACTTGAGGTCAAGAGTTCGAGACCAGCCTGGCCAATACAGTGAAACCCTGTCTCTACTAAAAATACAAAAATTAGCCAGGCATGGTGGTGCACGCCTCCTTGTCCCAGCTACTTTGGTTCCCCCTCCTTGCCCCAGCTACTCAGGAGGCTGAGACAGGAGAATCACTTGAACCTAGGAGGTGGAGGTTGCAGTGAGCTCAGATCGCACCATTGCGCTCCAGCCTGGGTGTCTCAGCGAGACCCTCTCTCAAAAAAAAAAAAAAAAAAAAAAAAATATATATATATATATATATACACATACATATATATATATATATACACATATATATAAAAGAAATCAAAAGGGGAAAAGAGAGTGTATATATATATATATATATATACACACACACATATATATATACACATATATGTGTGTATATATATATATGTGTGTGTATATATATATATATATATATACACTCTCTTTTCCCCTTTTGATTTCTTTTTTGAACCATAGCTTATATAGAAAGTGTCACTTTGTTTCCAAATATTTGGAGTCTTTCCAAAGATCTTTCTGTTATTCATTTCTAATGTAATTTCGTTACGGTCAGAGAACATACTCTATGGTTTAAATCCTTTTAAATTTATTAAGGCTCATTTTATGGCCAATAATACGGTCTATCTTGGCCAAAGTGTATTCCGTGTGTACTTACAAAGAATGTGTATTCTGCTATTGTTGGGTGGAATGTTATATAAGTGTCAATTTGGTCAAGTTGGTTAATAGAGTTGTTTAAGTCTTCTATACTCCTATTGATTTTCTGTCTATTAATTATTGAGAGGGGGTATTAAGATCTCTGTCCATAATTGCAGGTTTGTCTATTTCTCTTGCAGTCTTATTATTTTTTCCTTCATTATTTGAAGCTCTGTTAACAGGTATATAAAAATTTAGAATTGTCATATCCTCCCAATGTACTGACCCCTTTAGTTTTATAAAATGACCTTTTTACCCTAGTAATATTCTTTGGTCTGAAATCTACCTTATCTACTTTCTTTTGATGACTGTTAGCATGTTATACCTTTTTCCATCCTTTTACTTTTAACCCTATTTGTGTATTTCCATTTAAAACGGAGTCCTTAAGCTTTTGTGTGTCTGAACAAATCTTTATTTTGCTTCATTTTTGAAAAATATTTTCACTAGGAATAGAATTCTGGTTTGACAGTTCTTTGATACTTAAACTTGATGTGCCACCATTTTCTGCATGTTTTTGTGTTTGGAGTTCATTGAGCTTCTTGGATCTGTGGGTTTATGGGTCTCATAAAGTTTGGAAAAATTTTGGCCTCTATTCCTGCCCTGTTCGTTTTGGGCCACCCCAATTCCATGTATATTAGACCACTGAATGTTGTGCCATGGCTCACGTATACTCTTTCAATGTATTTTTTAAAATTATGTTTGCTCTCTTTATTTCATGTTGGATAGTTTCTATGGCTATGTCTTCAAGTTCGCCAGGCTTTTCCTCTGCAATGTGTCATCTCCTATTAATTCCATGCAGTGCACTTTTCAGTCTCAGACACCGTAGTCTTCATTTTTAGTAGTCTGATTGCATCTTTTTCATGTTTTCTCTATTTCTAATTAACTTCTTGAACATACAGGATACAATCATAAGATCTGTTTTAATGACCTTGTCTGCTAAGTCTAACATTTACATCAGTTCTGGATCAGTTTTGATGGAATGATTTTCCTCTTCATCATGGGTCATATTCTCCCACTTCTTTGCACAGCTGGTAATTTGTAAATGGATGCCAGACATAATGAATTTTACCTTTCTAGGTGATGGGCACGTTTGTATTCCTATAAATATTCTTGAGCTTTGTTCTGGATGCAGTTAAAGCACTTGGAGACAGTTTCATCCTTTGGGGTCTTATTTTCTAGATTTGCCAGGTGGGGCCAGAATAGGGCTCAGTCTAAGGCTAATCATTTCCCACTACTGAGGCAAGAGTTTCCTGAGGGCCCTACTCGATCCCTGTGAATTATTAGGTCCTCTAGTCTGGCTGGCCGGAACAGGCACTATTCTTTGTGTGAGCACCAGATACTCTTCACTCTGATCCTCTGAATGATTAATTCCCAAGCTCCAGATAGTTCCCTCACATGCACATGCTGACTGATTTTCTGCCGAATACTTGAGCAGAATCTCCAGAGCTCTTTCTGAGTGCAGCTCTTTCCTCTTAGACCTTCCTGCCTGCAGACTCTCACCACCTTGGTCCTGACTCTCAGCTCTGTCCCCTCAACTCAGGAGGCCTGCCAGTCTTCCTCTTTGGTTCCCCCTCCTTGTGCCATGGCTCAGAAGCCCTCTCAAGGCAGTAAGCTGGTGCAATCACAGGGCTCGCATCATTTGCCTCTCTTCTCTCAGGGAACACTGTCCTGTATTCCTTAATGTCCAGTGTCTTACAAACCACCGTTTCATACATTTTGTCCAGTTTTTTCAGGCAGAAGGGTAAATATGGCTCTTGTTACTCCATCTTGGCTGGAAGTAGAAGTTCCCTCACTAATAGCTCATAAATCTTCACAATTCAGCCCACGTGTCACCTCCTCCAGGAAGCCTTCCCTCATGGCCTACAGACCAGGTTAAGTGTTCCTGCTATGGACCCCCCACAGCCATAATGCTTCATCTATCACAGTTCTTATTCATCTATATTGTTATTGCTTATTTATTTGTCCACCTCCTCAACTAGACTAAAGGTTCCTAAACATAGGGGTCTGTGTTTTGTTCACTAGACTCTGTCTGGCACATAATAAGTGCTTGACTAATGCTGACAATTTTGAACACGTCTTTTAGCTCCAGAAGATTAAAACAACGTTATCAGGGTTTTTCCCCCTGTGTACAGTCAAATACTGGGGACAGGGAAGTTTCATCTAGAAAGGTAGGGGTGTAAGGGGCACCTGCACCCCCTGGGGCAGCATGCTAACTCACCTATTTGTGTCTTCAAGACCCCAGAAATCACAGCTGGTAGGTGGTCAAGCAGCAGTGCTCTGGGGCGATTCTGAGGTAAGGATTGCAGGCAGAACCAGGGAGGAAGTTAAACAAGGGCTGGGCTTCCTGAGGATGCAGGGAGCTTCCCGGTCTCATAGTGAAAATCCTGTGGCTATGCAGCCATGTCATCCCCGTTTCCCCCCAGACATCAGGGTTCCCAAAGTCTCAAGGTTTTGTGGAGGGCCCCCAGCCTAGGTAGTTAGGGAGTAAAGCAAGTTTGCCAAATGACGGGATTTCAAATAATATTCAAGTCTATATTTGGTGAGGGGAAAAAAACTCACTCTTTTCCAAAGAATGAAAGGTTCCCCCACCCTCCCCTTCCTTTCTCTTCAATGATGGCATTTCCATAAGAGAAACTGCTTGATAGGCCTGTTCCCTTTAAATTATTTTCTAACGATCCAGGCAGTCATACGCACCGGCTGCCTCTCCTTGGCTCACCTTTCCTTTCAATTACTTTCGTTCTTCAGCTGAACAATGGCAGCGTCGCAGCCCCTCCTGGCTGGGACTGCTACCACTCAGCGCCTCTGCGGCCAGGTGGCCAGGCTGGGCTCCGGCTTTGTTCCCCTGGCCAGACGGCCGTCGTTTCATCTTCCTGTCTCCCCTTTCTGTGCCATTTAAACTTTAACCTGGTAGTAACTTTGCCCGCCTTGATTCCCGATTCAAAGGCTGGCAGATGAAAAGCCCTCCCCTTGGATGTGGCTTGAAAACTTCATCCTCAGTCTCTCTCTGTCTTTGAACTGCCTTGGAGCCTTTTTGCTCAGGCTGTTTTATTCTCCCTGGGACTCTAGCTTTTAGGCCTGGGGGCTTAGGAAAAACAGCAATAGGGGCTTCGCAGTTGGGGCCCTGGAGGACCCCCAAGTTCCCCTGAGGTGGGCAACTCAGGTGCCCCCAACACACACACCATCCCACCCCAGGGGCCTGGGATCTGTAGCCCAGGAGATCGTCTCTGGCCTTCAGGGCCAGTCCCCTGCCTCCACGCAGCCCTCCCCCATTCCGGCTTCCCTTCACAAGCCCCAGACCCACAGCAACTTCAAGGCTTCTAGCCCCAGGTGGGTCTTCCAGAAACTTTTTCCTTTTCAATGCCAGGCAGACCACTCACTGCTCTCAGATGTCGGGCAAGGCACAATGGGAGAATTCTGCAATCACAGAAAAATTCAGGAAGTCAAGACCAAATGGGACAGTGGGGAAAATAAACCACGGAGAGGGTTAGAAGTAAACTCAAAAGCAGACACAACTTTTCCTCCTCCTCCTCCTCCTCCTCCTCCAAGCAGGCCCCATATGACCAGGCCAGGCAGCACTGCCAAAGTCTCATGTGGCCCTGCTGTGTTGGATCCTCAGCTATGCTGGCGTTTGTCTACCAAGAGTAGTCTGTGTGCCACCCTTGTCTCTGCTGACAGAGGTAACGAATACTGAAGCGAGTTAAATGGTGGCCCTCAAAAAAATATGTCCCCATTCTAACTCCTGGAATCTGTGAATGTTACCTTATACGGAAAAGGTGTAATTATTTAAGGATCCTGAGATCATCCTGGGCTAAATTCAATGACAAGTATCCTTATAAGAGACAAACAGCGAAGAGACACAAAGACAGAGGCAGAGATTAGAGGGATGTGGCCATGAGCCAAAGAACACCTGGTGCCACCAGAAGCTGGAAGAGGCAAGGACCAGATTGTCCCCGAGGCTTCAGAGGGAGTGCAGCCTCACGGATACCTTGATTTTGGATTTCTGGGCTTCTGTTACTTTAAGCCAGCAAGCTAGTGACAATTTACCTTCAGGAAACTAATGTAAGTATGCAAAGTGCGGACAGGAGTTGCTATGGTCCTCACCGGAACCTGGTGCTGGGTGATGGCTCAGCCCCTCCCCACCCTGAGGACAGGCTCCCGCAAGTCTCAGCCTATCACAGTTGTCCCAGGACCCTTACCAGTGATTGGCTTAAGGGTGGGCATGTGACCCCATTTTAGCCAATGAGAGGGAAGGGGATGGTGTCCTGGGGAAAAATGGCTCCTCTTCCTTCCTAGAGTGTGACCATCTCTACCTGTGCGCCCACACGGCTGGCCTGAACATGAGGGTGAGAGGGAGCAATGGAAAGGCCTGCAGAAGGTGGGGCAGGAACAGGTTATGATGCAAGCCAGAGCCTAATCTCAACTGCAAACTTCCCACCAACGTAGAATATAGGAAAATGCTTCCTAAAGATGAAACTCTGATTCAAGACACTGGGGTCCCTGAAGGGACAACCTGGGCCTGAATCATGTCTCCTGATAGAAACAGAATATATCCGGGTATTGGGAGTGGAAGGAGCAGGACAGGGCCACCAGGAGTCTCCCAGCATGACGGGTTGGGAAGCCCCCTGGAATAGAGTGCCTTCTAAAGGGAAAGCCGGGAACACCAGCTTAGCTTTAACAAAGGTCTGAGCTCGGGGCAGGGAAAGGCCAGGACTCTAGTGTCTGGCAGGTATAGATTTGTCTCCTGACCACACCTCCTGGATTCATGCTCCAAGTCCTTGGGAGTGAGAAGAGCTTCTCTACAAAAATTGAAATTTTGGTTTTCATCAAAATTCAAAAGACAGTGAGACCAAGTAGCCTCGCCATGGGGGCCACTAACAGAGAGCAGCAGTGATGGGAAGCCCACTGCAGCTCCAAAGTTTGGGAGTGTCAGCCCACCAGCACTGGGGGCGAGGTGCTCAGAGACCACTGTAGGGTCAGCGGGGAGGACGGCCCAAAGGAGACAGCCAGACCCGGAGGGCCCAAGGCGTGGCTAGCTGACATCATGGTGCCTGAAACAGGTGCGGGATCCAGCAGAGCATGGGGACAGGAGCCAGGGGACCCCAACAACTGCTTAGGCAGCAGACATAGGTGCCCCTTGGTAGCTGACAGACATGTTTGCGAGTCTACAGGAGGCAAGCCTGGAGTAACCCCAAAATAATTGGGTGACAGTTTGAGGGGGTTTCTGGGAGTCTTGCAATATTTAGTGAAAGCAAAACCACACAAATATATGTCACTGCTGTGGATGCCCCCTCTGTGGCCCTAGGTTGGTGTGGCCAGGCAGACGGAGGTTGCTTTGATGGCAGTTCAGTCCCCAGCTACTCCTTTGAACCACCCCGTGGTTGCCAACCCTGGAGTACCTCAGAGCCACGTCACCTGGGGGCCTGTGAGAGACAACGAGGCCCAGGCCCCACCCCCACCAGTGAAATCAGGAGCTCTAGGCAGAACCCACGCTCCTATTTGTTCAAAGCTGCCCAGGAGATGCCACACAGCCAGGGTTGACACCCACTCTGTTCTGGTGCCCTCTGTCCACCTCAGCGGGAGGCGGGACAGAATCTCAACCTGCTTCCCAACCAGGGACTGTCAGCTTCTCCAGCTCTAATGTGGGATGTTGGGCTCAGCAGCTTCCCAGGACCCATCTGGCTCTGCTGCATCGTGAAGAGTTGGAGAGCATGAGACTTCTCCAAACTGAGAAAGAGAAAGAACGCTGGGGAGAGGGAGGCAGGAAGAGGGTGGCAGGGACAGGGACTGCAGAACCCCGTCCTCCCAGCTTGCATCACAGCCACTGCCCATGCCCTCCTCTCTGCCAAGGCTGAGTCCTCTGCAATGCCCAGGCCTTGGATGGGAGGGTGGGGATAGAGTGGTGGGATGTCCCCCACCAGGGGGAGGAGTTGCCCCTAGCATGCCCATGCAGGAGCTCAGAAACCGCTAATGGGCCTGCATGGTCATTAAGCAGAGGACATACCTGCTCATGGTGCCATCTAAACCCCATTTAACTCATCATTTAAATTTACTAACAGATGTAAATCCCCCTCAATGAGAGAGAGATGGGCCATCAGCACCCTGCTTCTGACACACTCCAAGGAGGCTGGGCTTTAATTTCAGGGCGGACGACCTTCTGGAGAGCTCTGGGCCCTGTAATGGCCATTTGCAGGAGATGATGACAGGCAAAATGGAGGGCAGGCAGCCTTGATGCTCTCCCTGTGAGAGGCATCCCCCATCGAGAGTCTCCCTTCCACCCCACGAAGGTCTCAGTGCCCTTCACCAACCTCCCCCAAGGCCTCCCCCATGCATGGCAGCAGCCCTAGGCTCAGCAGGCTTCCTGGTCCCAGGGCAGTGATGGTGACATCCAGCCCCCTGGAGTAGAATCTGTCTTTTCCCCACGAGAGAAGTGGGGGTCCTTGGGATGCCTGGGAGCCCCTGAGCTGTGCCCCAAGATGCTTGCTCCCTGAGGGACTCAAGGGGCTCAAGGCGCCACTCAGGCAGGGCTTGAAGAAGGAGCCATTTGCAAGCTGCAGCATTGCTTGTCGGTTGAGGTGGAGCCACTGGCCATTTTGGAACGGTCTTCTCTGTTCAGGAAAGGGCCTTTGCTTTAGTGGGCACAAGTTAGGTGAGTGAGCCACCATGGCTATGGGAAGGATGTGGCCCCAACTTTGGGAACCTGACAGGGGCTAACCCCATCCATCTGCACTGTCTACTTGCCATGCTGTGACACAACTGCCCTGGGGCCAAGAAGCCTCAAGGGGAGAGAATTGACACTTGCCTTCTTTCCCAAAGCAGTGACTCCCGGCTGGAAGGGACCCCGAGGACAGCAAATACCGAGAGGAGGCTCACCGCAAAGAAAGGGGAAGTACAAACTGTCCAAATGGCTAGGAGGGGAGGACGTTGGTTCTGACACAGCCTGGGACCTACTCCTGACCCAGACGTGTGGCTCGGAGGATGGGTTTCAGGAAGCCTGGCTGAGGGTGAGCACAGGAGGGTGAGCACAGGAGGCCGAGGCAGCTGGCTTGCTTGAGCCCAGGAGTTAGAGACCAGCTTGGGGCAACGTAGCAAGACCCCGTCTCTACAAAAAAATTCAAAAATTAATCAGGCATGGTGATGCATCTTTGCAATCCCAGCTACTCAGGAGACTGAGGCAGGAGGGTCACCTGAGCCCAGGGAGGCCAAGGCTGCAATGAGTTCTGATCATGCCATTGCACTCCAGCCTGGGTGAGTTAGTGAAACCCTGTCTCAAAAAACAAAAAACAAAACCAAAAAAACGCTGGAACCAGAGGAGACCAAACAAGTGCAAAGGAAAGTAGGAACACCCTTCTTTACAGAGCCTCTTACACCTGCTGGGGCTGGAGCAGCCACAGCCGCAGCCTTAGCAGACAGGGACACAAGTCGTCCACGGCACCAGGGGCAGCGGCCCGGGAGCCTGGGCAACCTGTTACCACCATTAGTCCTGCTCATTACCTCTCACCCTCCACTAGAGACCCGTGAAGACAGGTGTCTTGTCCTGTTCACTTCTGTCTCCCCAACACCTAGTACATAATTAATAATTCATAGCTTTGTATCAAACAATGAACAAATGATACATCTGAAACCCATTTAATGTGCAGACACACCTTGTTATCCACGTGCATCTCCCACTCTGGATTTTCCACAGCAAACACCTCCTCCTCCTGGCTCCTAGCCCGCTCCTGGGCCATCCCACCCTCGCTTTCTGTGAGCTCAAGGATTACAAACTAATCCTAATATATTTGCCTGAGCAGAACCTAATTAGGAAGGTAAATCTGCAAAAAATAAAAGGTAAAACAAAATAAAAACCCAAGGAGAGTGGCCTCTAACCCCTGGAGCAGAAGGAAAGGTGGTTTGGGCTTCCTTGTTCTATAGTGTCCCTCTCTCAGCCCAAATAAGGGGAAAAGCCTTCTCTCTCCAACAGGCAAGGCCAAAGGGAAAAGCAGAGGGGGGGTTTGTAAAAAAGGCAGCTGCACCTGCAATCCCACCATGGAAGTGGCCTTGGGGGTACATTTTACCTATCTTCCTGCTTCCAGGGCTTAGAATTTCAGATCCACCAGAGACTCCAGCAAATGGTTAGATATTTTTATTGCAAGGTAACTGAAAACCCAATTCCAAGTGGCTTAAGAAAAAAAAAAAGGCAGGTATGTGTGTATGTATGTGAGCGTGTGCAGACAAGCAGAATTTGTTGGTGCATGTAACCAAGAAGTCCAGGGGTAGGTAGAAGTGGCAAAATACAGCGACTTGAACAAATTACTTACTCCCCATCTCTCCTCCATATCTTACAGGCAGACTGTCTCCAAACAGTGTCTCTGCCAGCAACCAACCTCGACCCTCCCCACTCCACGGCCAATGGTCAAGAGTACCTTTTCTAGTCCAAGGAGCAAAAGTCCCAGACTAGCAGTGATTGGGCCTGATTGGCTCCTCTTCGGCCACATGGGCATCCATGAGCCAATCATATGGTCAGAGGGACTTACTACTTGAATGGGTCAGCTCTCGGTCACACGTTCTTCCCCTGGGAGCAGGGTAGTGTTCATCCACCTGCTGCCCAAGGATGGCAAGTAAGAGAGTGTGTGGCTCCTAAAGGAAGATGAACAAACAGAACGTGCTTGCTCCAATAAAGGGAAATGGAGGCTGCATGACAAAGAGGAGATGTCCACCATAAAACTGAATAGTGAGAAGGACAGGGGAAGTTTTAAAGTTCTATGGGCAGGCCAAACAATGGCCTGGAGATGGGAAAAGAATGACATGTGTTGAGTAGGACTGGTGGAGCTGGGCTGATGAGGGAGGAGCGTTCCAAAACTTAGATCCTCAGTCTCAGAGTGTAGCCATCATGGGCACATGGCCTGAGGTGCTCCAGGGCCCCGTGGTGCTGTGGAGTCCTGAAGGGCCTGGGCTGGCTGTGGAAAGAAGTATCTGAAAATCCTTGCTTTGGGGGACACCAAAATGATGTGTTAGCCTATGTCTGCTTTCTAGGGTAAATAAAGGTACACACACACACACACACACACACACAAACTAGCAAAAGAGAAGAGGAAGCAGCAGAAACATCAATCATAGGGCTGAAGCTGGAGCTGAGGAGCTGCTCTGTCTCCAAATCCATATCTACTTTGGGTTTTCTGAGGCAGAGGAGCCCACCAAGGAAAGCATCAGAACATAACAGAGAGCTGATCCCAAGGCACTGGGGATTGGCTAAATTGTGGGGCAGCCCAACCCGGGGCAACTCTGAAGGGATGAGTTTCCAAGGATCAGACATAATTCAGTCCAGGGGCATTTAGTAGGCATCTAGCGTGTGCAGGCCCATGGGCTGTGTAGTACAGAGTGAACAGTCAAGAGAAGTGCCATACGGCCTCTGAACCTTGAGCCAGGCTCATCACAGGACATCCTCACTCTGCCTGCATCAGCTTGTCAGTGGACCTCTGCAAGGGCAGAGATGCCTCTCATTCCTCTGGGAGGTCTCCTTGAGTCTGCACACAGCAGTTACTCAATATTTGCATCTGTTGACAAATAAGTGAATGAATGAGTTCCTCAACAAAAATGGACATGATATAAAGGAAGTTGCCATTTATTGAGAACTATTTATATGCCAAGTAGTCAAGAATGCTCAGTGATCATCTATGGTCAGGTTTATTGAGTGCCCACAGTGTTCCCATGCTAGAAATACACAGTGCATTTCTAGCCACTCTCAAGAACTTATGCTATAGAAGGTATCACCACCTCCATCTTCAAATGAAGGAAACTGAGGCTCAGAGGGATTAAGGAGAATGCTCATGGTTGCACAAATATGAAATGGAAAAGCTAGCACCTGCCAAAAATTAGATTAAAATATAAATCTCTTTGATTCTAAAGACAGACCAACCCAGCACTTGCTCCATTATTAAGTGAAATAAAAATCAAATTCACTTATACAGGCACTGAAGAAGGCCAGGTTAATTCTTATTTGGGTTGGGGAGGTAAAGGTATCCCAAAGTGGGTGGCATTGAGCTGAACCTGAAGGATGGAGGAGTCTTCCCATATAAGGTAGCATGAGAAGGGTCCCAGGAAGAGGGACCAGTGTCAGCAAAGATCCAGTGTTGCAAAGTTGCCAGGTGAGTTGTGGCACTACTGGGATGGCACTTTGTAAGCAAAGAAAATTCCAGATGGGCTAAGAAGCTGATGAGGCTGGATACAGAGATAATGGCCAGCTCACAGGGGTCTGAGAGCCCAAGGGCTTGTCCTATTATAATAGGTTCTATTTATTAAGTCTTCACTCTGTGCCAGGCACTATGCCAAGCACTTTCCATGTATCATCTTATAGCACTATTACTTATACTATTTGTAAGTACTTATTACTATTATCTTACAGTAAAGTATTACTTTCTCTACTGTACAGATGGGGCAACTGAGGCTTAAAGGGTACAAGTGGCTGCCCTAAGTCATGTGGCTAGAGGCTGGAACTCAGGCAGCCTGCCTGCAACCATGAGGTCTACTGCTGCTGCATGGAGAAGGGGAGGTTTGAGGGAGGCAGGAGGATGAGGACCCTGCCTCTTTCTCCAGCCGCACCAACCCAGCTGGAGGGGAGCTGAAAAGGAGGCTGTCGATTCAAGGCCCGCCCCAATCCCTGAAAAGGGGCCGTCACTTCGTGTGCCCCTTCCAAGCAGACAAGCAGAGCAAGGAGCAGATGGGAAGTTGCCCACCCAGGGACCAGCTCCAAACCTTCCAGAAACCTGCAAACATGAAACAATCATAGATGAGACGAGGCTTGAAAGCCACCATTTTTAAAATAAAAGGAAATCGCATAAAAGCTCTGGCAAAGATGACAAAAAAGAAAAGGAAACTTGTTAAGATCAAAAATGCAGGCAAACCTCAAAAAAGAGGCTTGGGATAAAGGAAGTGGGGGTTTTACCTGGGGGCTTCCAAGGGGGCTTCTAAAGTGGGTGAGGGTGGGGCTGTCCCCAGCCGGGGCTTGGGCGAGCTGGCGCCTCTGTCCTCCACGGGCACCTTTCATGTTACCCCCCTGCCAGGATCGTGAGGCTGGAGGACAGTGTAGAGAGGCTGGACACCCATTAAGTTTTCCAACTTGAAACTCATTCCTTTCCCTTTAAACTCAGGAAACTTGGAGCCCTTTCAAGGCACAGACAGGAATTCAAATGGCGCCCATCTCTGCCTTCTCACCCCTGCACAGGGAGGTCGGGTGCTTTTCTGTCCCTGCCCCGGGAGAAAGTTAATTCTTCACCCAGGTGATGAAGCGCTAGCCTGGTGGGACACCTCTGGCCAGAGTCACATCATCTGCCCCTGATGAAGGAGCTTTAGCAGGGCCTTTCTTGTCCTCAGACCCCTAAGGTGTAGATGGCAAGACAAGGGGCCAGCACAGCTGTAACTTCAAGCAGGCACCCTGTGTGGATTTGCTGAATAACATTTGTAAAGAAGAAATTCGCCATGCCACAGAGCAGAAGGCAGAGGTCAGGGTGCAGGGTAGGAGAAGGGCAGATGGCACCTCCAGGCCTCAAGGCTTAAGGACTCAGAGTGGCCCAGTCCTCCCAGAGGGCCAGGGGGGTCAGCAGGGGTTTGCACAACCTTTGGCTGTGATGGCTGACATGTTTGCTAAGCCCCCCTTTATCTCAGCACAGAGACAAGTCCACAGGGCCCACTGTATGCCAACAGCACCCACTCGGGGCCTAGCCTGTCGTGCAGATCAGGGAGGACCTGGAAGACACAGGTGGGGTGGAGGTGGGGGCCACAGGGACTTGGGGATGTGGCAAACACCTCAGGGCAAACTCGGCCACAAGCACACAGACACAGGGGCCCACACTCACAGGGACCACACAGGCTGGGGCTCTCATCCAGGTCCTGCCTGTCGGCCGGGGATAAGGCACACCTCACCTCACACCTCCCAGCTCAGCTTCCCCAGCCTGGGCAGGGACCAGGCCCTTGCCTTGCCTGCTGTGTGGGACGATGACATGAGGGTCACCCGGGGCTGGTCTGTCATGATGTGCTGGGCTTGCTAAGCCTGGGAAGGGGCCACAAACAGTGCATGTTCTGAGAACTGGGGGAGGGGGAAAGGAGAGAGACAGAGGTGGACAAAAAATTAGAAACGGGCTGGGCATGGTGGCTCACACCTGTAATCCCAGTACTTTGGGAGGCCAAGGTGGGCAGATCACTTGAGGCCAGGAGTTCGAGGCCAGTCCTGGCCAACATGGTGAAACCCTGCCTCTACTAAAAACACAAAAGTTAGCTGGGCGTGGTGTCACACGTCTGTAATCCCAGCTACTTGGGAGGCTGAGGCACGAGAACTGCCTGAACGTGGGAGGTGTAGGTTGCAGTGAGCCAAGACTGCGCCACTGCACTGCAGCCTGGGTGACAGAGTGAGACCCTGTCTCCAACAAAAAAAAAAAAAAAGGGAAGAACTGAGAAAGAGAGCAAGAACCCTGGAAATACGGAGGCAGAGACACACAGTCAACAAGACAAGACAGAGAATCTAAACGGAGACAAAGCAGGAGAGACATAAAGGAGATGCAGTTGTGGGATATCAAAGACGGAGCAGAGACAGAGAGAGAGAGGCAGAGCTAGACAGAGAATCAAAGACGAGAGGAAGACAGAGAGAGGGCACAAGATGTAAAGAGACAAAGGGAAACCAAGACAGAAAGAGACAGGGACAGAGGAACAAGATGGAGACCACAACAACGAAGAGAGAAAGACAAAGAGGTAAGAGTGAGAGCAAGTCCCAGAAACCCAGAGAGAGAGGGAAGGATTCAGACAGAATGCCAAGCCACCTGCTTCACCCCACAATACACACACTCACAGGGACAAAGGTCCAGGGAGCAACAAACACTCACGCTCAGTGCCCGTCCATCCCTCTGTGCCTGCATCCAGTCAAGGGACCCAGGCAGAGCGCTCACTACTTCCAGGGTCATAGAGCACTGGACTGTGAGTCCTGGGCTCCAGTGAGATTGGAAGCAGAAGGCTCTGGGACAAGACTGCCTGGGTGGAAAACCAGCTGAGTGCCCCTTAGCTCAGTCTCTGAGCCTCAGTTTCCTCATCTGTGAAATGGGGTCGCTGTGTGCCTCCCCGGATGTGGTTCAGCACTGGCCGGGCCTCATGAACATGGGCCTTCACCCCCATGGTCTTTGGCGGCCCTTTCTCCTTCTCTTCTCTGTCTCTCCAGTAGGATCCTCTACAGCCCTCACCTGTGCTTGCCAGGAAGCAAGGGAGTCACCAGATCAGCAGCTGTTTCCACTCTGACAGACACCTGCCCACTGCCAGCAACAGCCAAAGGCCTCCAGAGGGGGCCTCACCTCAGTGCACTCTCCCTGGGACCTGTGCCCCTCCGTGCAGGAGACCTCCTCCCCCAAGGACAGCCATCAGTGCAGCCCACGACACACCCCACAGCTCCAGCCCCTCAAAAGCCAGGAACATATATGCCAAAAATCGTACTTCTCCCATTAAAAAAAAAAAGTGGTACATTAACTGGCAGGAGGGAGGGATGGCAAGGTAGGGGGAGAGTGCAGAGCATGTGGGCCTCACTAAACCTTTGAGCTGCTTTCATTCAGGGATTTCAATGCTCCAGTTACAAGAGAGTTGTTAACCTCGTCATTAAAACCTCCGGACCCAAGGCTGACGAAAGGGCCAAGAGGTCAGGATGGCTCAAAAGTACAAGATTCAAAAAGGCGAGGGAGGGCTGCTAAGGGACCTGCAGGGAGATGGTGGCTGCAATGTCATCCCCTCAGAGAGGCCTTCCCTGGCCATGCTCCCCAAGGGGGCCCCCTCCCCTTCTTCTCTGAATGTCACCAAGGTAACGCATGCATTTCATGGCACACCTGGCTTTCTGTCTGCCCTGACAAGATTGCGGGTGGGAACCACATCCGGTTTGTTCAGTCTTGATGCTCTGTGTCTGGCTGTGGAGATGTCCTTGCAGTATTTTCTGAAAGGAAATGTGTGTTAATTCTGGCTAACAGGGTAGCTTGCAACAGATGAGCAGATGAGTTCTAGAAAGGGAAAAAATCAGCTGAATGTGGTGGTGGGCACCTATAACCCCAGCTACTCGGGAGTCCAAGGCAGGAGAATCGCTTGAACCCAGGAGGTGGAGGTTGCAGTGAGCCAAGATCGTGCCATTGCACTCCAGCCTGGGTGACAGAATGAGACTCCATCTCAAAAAAGGAAAAAAAAAAAAAAAAAAAGATTTAGAAGTCAAGGGGAAAGTTCCAGGCAACGAACCTCAATCCTAGGGGACAGGCCAGCAGGATCTCAGCCCTCTGTCACTGCCTGTGCAGCCTGGGAGATCCCCTGACCTCCCTGTGCCTTGGTTTTCCATTCTGTAGAAGGTGGGGGTGGGGGCTGGCACATAAGTAGGGTAAGTCCCTGGGAATGCTCTGGCCCTGGGATTGGATGGGGTGTGGCAGGTGTCATATAATTAAAAATTAGCATTCTATTGAACCAGGTGAAACTGACTTTCTTGTGGATGAAAAACGGTCAAATATAGGCAATTTCATATGGTTCAACCTACACAATAATTCTAATAATCGGGCTTTGTAGGGACCGTGATAATAGCGTTGAGCCATACAGTAGATCCATTTAGTACAAAGAAATGAGGGGCTGGGTAAAAGGATCCCTGAGTTCTCTTTCAGACCTGTCTATTTTGGGGTGTCGAGAGTTTGCCCTGAGTGGCACAAAACAAATCACCCTCTCAACCTGAGCCAAGCAAAGAAGGTTCACCTGCCCCATTTGGTCCACAGGGCCAAATGCTTGGGACCCCGAACTCCCACCCCACTCACCTCGCATAGGAGCAAAGATTCTGGTGTGGAGTGGAGCAAGAAGGGCGGAGAAACGCCTAAAACGGGGAGGGGAAGAAAGGAAGAGCAAATACACAGAGCAGGACACACAGAGCCACACAGGGACACAGGCAGGGACTCTCACAGGGACACACCCACACACTTGTCAGTTCATTGCTGAAGCACATAGAGTGTTCAGAAAAGAGGGGGGAATGAGACACAGTCAGGTGAAGAGCGCCGGAAACGCTGAGAGGCCCCGGGGCCCAGTAGGGGGCGCTGTGACGAGCGCCCGGTGAGGGTGAGGGTGAGGGCTGCCAGCGAGGTGGGCGCGGGCGAGGTGGGCATGGGCTGCGGGGAGGCGGAGAGGGCTGAAAAGCCCCGGGGCAGCCTGAGCGCGGGGTTCCCTCGGCTGCGGGCTGGGAGTCTGGTCTGGGCCCGCACTGTTGTCCCGGGTTCTGACACCGTAGGCTGAGCCAGACCCCGGAGACCCTGGGTTGCGGGGGAGGTGAGGCCGGACCCAGGAGTGGCGACCGGCGGGGCTGTGGCTGGTCCCTTAACGATGATGGCCACCTCACAACTGGGCCTTGTTAGAAGAAAAAATCTCCGGGATGTGAGGGCCCCGGCGGCCTCTGTGCGCTTCCCTGCACCCGGCTGTGTGAGGTGGGGAGAGCTGGGATCCACCTACAAGGAGCAGAGGCGCCAGACAGCAGCACGAGGGTCCCGCTGCAGGCGGCTGTGCACACGGCAGCCGAGAAACTCCTCTCCCCTCTTCAGGGAGTCCCCAGCTCTTAGCTCCATTTTACGTGCAATTACTGGAAGAGCCCACATCGGCCAGGAGCCCCACCTCCCAACCTCAGGGGATAGTTCAGGGGTGTGCAGCACCCCAGGGAGGACAATCGGGGTTCTTCACTCCAATCTGTGTTGAGAGGTTGGGAGCTGAACTGCGGGTTGTTGGCAGCGGGTGTTTTCTGCTGCATCAACTAAGAAGTAGAAAAGTCTGATCATCAGAGAGAGAGGAGCAAGGGCAGGAGATAGAGAGACTTCCAACAGGGTCTGCGCGCCTAACTCTTGTTCTTGAGATCAACACAGTCCTGCTTTCAGCCTCCGCCAGTCACCACAGGGCCTTTGAGCCAAACCCTGTTTTTGTTTGAGCTGGTTTGAGTTCTGTCATTTGCATCCCAAACAGCACTGATGACTACACAATACACACACAGACACATAGTAAAGTAAAACAAGAAAGGACAAATGTGAATGAGTTTTCATGGGAAGAGCTCTGAGGACCCTAGCTTCGCCACCTCCCTGCTTTGTGACGTTAGGCAACTTCATAACCTCTCTGAACCCCTGTTCCCTTGCCCGTGACATAAGAACAATAACATCTCTTTTGCAGGATCATGCAATGCCCTCCGGCCAAAGGCTACCAGGAACACACCTTTCGGTTGAACAAAGTTGGCTTTTTGAGTCACTGCACTGGAGGGGAATGCGCACCCCTGGATGTCTCGGGGAGGGGATGTTAGTAGGACTGATCATGGGATTTGGGCTCGCATTAAGTGATTTTGCAGGCTGTTTCTCTAGGCTGGATGCTGTCAGGAAGCAAGGGTAATTCTGTGATTGGGTATGTCAATGATTCTCTTCTAGACGGCAGGAGGAACTGAGCAAAGCTACAACTGCAATTAGTTAAGAAACATTTGAGCCAGGAAGGGGAACATTTGGGCAGTTTTGTCATTTGGACGATGTTCACGTTTTCGTCTGCGTTCAGGCAGGACTACAGAATGGTCTCGTCTTTGTTTTGATCCTTCATGGTTACCGAGCGGTCTTGTCTGATGTTTCTGGGCTGTAGAACTGTTCATGTCCAACAGAACACCATGGCCTGGCTGTGAATGCCAGGCCAGCCCAGGCTGTCAGAGGGCTTTCCCCTTTCTCAGTTGTTATGAGGATAACGTGCCCACACTTGGCAAACCATAGGCAATATTTCAGCTATGCTGGAGCAGTGATGATCTGGAGGTTGATACATTATGTGGCAGAGGCTGCCCGCACCACAGAGGCTCAGAGAAGGTTGAAGTTGCACAGGGATGCTTCCAGCAGCAGTGTTTAAGCTGGGTTTTTAAGGATGAATAGAAGTTGCAAGAGGAGGAAGGATGACTCCAAATAAATCAGAGCAGAGGCCTGATTAGCCCACTTTGGTGGGTTGTCATGGTGCCTCTCTGCCAAGAGGCAGTAGTCCCCCATAGTTGACCAGGGGTCCCCCATCCCCACTTCAGGCAACAGGATCTGGACTGCACCAGGAGGAACACATGACTGTGCCAGTCAGCACATCACATCCCCATGGCCCATGGCTGTTTAGGGCAGGCGTATGACTGACTTGTCCAATAAGATAAGATCTCAAAACAAATCACCCTCTCCACCTGAGCCAAGCAAAGAGGGTTCACCTGCCCCATTTGGTCCACAGGGCTGTTTCAAGGCCCTGTTCTCAGCCTCCTGTTCAGGATCAAGTTTCACAAATGGATCCTTCTCCTATGTCAGGCCTTCCTGACTTCTCCCCCTCTTGGCTACTCATGCTAATTCCATGTCTGTGGTAGAAGAAGCCCCACACAGGCACTTACGGGGCTTCTACTGGATGCATCCTCATAGCCATCTGCAGGGGAGGAAGGAGCATCCCCATTTTATGGATAAAGAATTGGCTCACAGGTCCAAGGTCCCATCGCCGTTAAGTGGTGAGGCCACATGTAGCTGATTTCAGAGATTTGCTCACTATGCCAGGCTCCTCTCGAATGCTGGCTTCTGGTCAAGTAAATTAGTCCACAAAAGTTATCCACAGACAGTTATTGAGCACATATGATTGCACCCAGCTTTGGGTCAGCCTCTGACACAACTCCTTGGAGAAGGGGCATCCTAGGATTAAGAAACCAGCTCCCCCTACATAGGACCACCCGTCAGCATAACAAAGACGCCGGGTCTGGGGTGCCAATAGCAATGGAATGGGAGCTTCACTAAGGACAAACAGCAGCATCTGCTTTACAGCGGTGGGCCCGAAGATCAGGCAGGAAAGGAGAAAGGAGAAAGAAGGTGAAGTCTCTTGAATAATAGGAAACCACTCCCTTGAGAGTCTGGACCTGACTCCTGGCTTTGGGGTCAGGCAGACGTGGGTCCCTACATATCCTTTCCTAGCTGTGTGACTTTGCCTGCCTGAGCCTCAGTTCCTCTAACTGTAGAGTAAGGATAATAATGGTGCCCTTTCCTCTGGCTATTGGATGGCTATTCTAAGCTGCTCGACTCATTCCCCCTCCCAGTCCTAGAGCCTAGCATCTGGGCTGGCATTAACCTTCCAGGAGCTGATGATGCACCCTGCTGACACCAGGGTGCCTGATGGACCGGGCTGCTGCTCGAGGAGGGAGTTGCTGGCTGTTTCCTCCTTTGACTCCCACTGGACCCATGAACTTGGGCCTTAGGTTGAGCTGATGGGGGAAGGACACGAGGCAAGGACTGAGCTTGTAGTCAGGCTCCTGGGAGCCCGCTGGCCCCAGGAACTGACCATGCAGGCCCCAGGCCCCATGCTCTTTGTAACTTCCTCTCACTATCCAGGACCACATGAATGGAAGTGCCAGGAAGACAGGGCTTTCGATTGCTTGGTTCATTGATCCATCCCAGCACCTGGAACAGGGTCTGACAAAGATGAGGTGCTCTGTACACATTTGTTGAATGAATGAATGAGCCTCATCCTGGCGGAAAGGGGGCTGTTTGGTAAGGTAAAGAAATAGAGATGTTGTTAGCCTACTGCACATAGGAGTTTTCCTAGGAGAGGCCATTGACAAGGTTTGTTTGTTTTTCTTACATGAAGAACTTGAAATTGCTAAAGCCAGGTGCTCAAAAACAAATGCCTTCAGAGGCCAGGCAGGTGATGGAAATGTGGATGGGCAAAGGTGTTGACCAAGAGGGATGTGTGGGGACTATGGGCAAACAGAGAGGGCTTTTTGCACCTAAAGACCTTCAAACTGCAAAAACTAAGCACCACTTCTACAGCCAACAAGAGGCCATCTGAGGGCCATGTCCATCTGAAGGCCTATCCCACTCAGGGCCTCCCAGGCATGGTTCCTGAATCCTGTCTCCCTCCTAGCCTAGCGAGAGGCCTGCCAGAGTACTGCCTTCATGTGCAGGATGGGGACATCCAGGCCCCAGGTCACAGCTCCAGCTCCATCTGCATCCTTCATGCTCCCTAAGAGCCTGGCAGCCCAACTCTTCAGAGGAAGCAGTCCTTCCCTACTGCTGTTGCTGCCTTCATGGCCTCAGCTGGGTCCCTGGGGCTGGCACCTGGCAACCTTATACCCCCGGGGCCAACACCCAGGCCTGCACATGTGTGCACAGACACAGGACATGCCTGCGTGCACCCAAGCACCTGCCCCCAAAGGCATACTCAGGTGCTTTTGGGCACCTTCTGCTCTATTCATAGATCCCCTTCTCCAGGAAGTCCTCCCTGACTATACTCCCTCACACTGCATGCTAGATCTGCCCCTCCTCTCTCCAGGCCTTCATCATACCTCACAGTGACCTGTGGCATCCCCTCCCCTGGGAACAGTGGCTCTGGTGGGGAGGAACTGTATATGACTCACTTCTGTGCCCCCCAGCACGGGCTTGGCACAGAGCAGGTGCCTGCAAGTGTTTTCTGAGTGCACAGGAGAAAGTTAAGAAGCATCACAGATATTAGGCTTCCTCAGTTCAAATCCCTATACGGCTACCTACTTGCTGTATGACTTGAGCAGGTAGCTCAAACCTCTCTGTCCTCAGTTTCCCCACGTGTGATATAGGGATAATAATAGTGTCGGCTGGACACGGTGGCTGACACCTATAATCTCAGCACTTTGGGAGGCCAAGGTGGGAGGACCACCTGAGGTCAAGAGTTCGAGACCAGCCTAGCTAACATGGCAAAACCCCATTGCTACTAAAAATACAAAAATTACCCGGGCTTGGTGGAGTGCACCTGTAATCCCAGCTACTCTGGAGGCTAAGGCAGGAGAATTGCTTGAACCTGGGAGGCAGAGGTTGCAGGGAACCTAGATCGTGCCATTGCACTCCAGTCTGGGAGACAAGAGCAAGACGCTGTCTCAATAAATAAATAAATAAATAAATAAATAAATAAATAAAAAATAATAGTGCCTAATTCACCAGTCTGGTGAGCATTCAGGGTTTGTGCAGCTGGTCTGGACACACAGCTCTATGCGCGAGTGTTTGCCACCATTGCCGCATTGGTTCCAGGTGGGCGTGGGAGGATTCAGTACAATCAGAAAGTATTCCTGTGGCCTTTGCAGAGAGACACCCCAGCAGAGGGGCTAGACAGCAACCTCCCAGATGTCCTGGCCCAGCAGCTGGGCTCCCTTAGACTCAGTATTGACTCCTGCTTGTCATGGGGCACGTGGCCTCTTCCCTGAGCAGCACCATGTGGCGGGGATGGGCAGGCCTCGCAGGTGGAATTGATTTTGAAATCTTGTCTCTTACACAGGAAAAGGTCATGTTTGCAGGAGGGTGTCCCGAGGCCTCTTTCCAGCAGGGCGCCCTGTCTGAGCCACGGGACTTCCATTAACATTAATGGGGGGCTCTGGGCGGAGGGCTTCGGCTGGGGGTGCCTGGGGGCCCGGGGTTGTGTGGCAAACATGAAAATCATTCCTGATGAAGCTGCTTAGAGAGTTGGTCTGCAGGGCAGGGGGGCTATGAGGGCAATTCCAGCCTTGTCTGCCTGAGTTTGCCAAGAGCAGGTGGCACTGTGATGTGGGGAGACCCTGGTAGTCCCCTCAGCACTGGGGTCCCCAAAAAGGCTGGAGCAGAAGGCTCTCCCTCCTCAGACTCTCAGGCAGGGCTGCATCCAGCTGCCTGCTGGATCCTGCCAAAAAAGAAAAAAGAAGCAGTGGTCCTGCCCTGGGAGTGGGGCACAGCTTCTGCACCCTCTGTATCAGCCTTTGCTCTCACTGGGACAGGCCTGGGAGAGGAGGCTCCTGGGAGACAGGGGTTTGGACCAGCCCTCAAGGCCCCTGAGGCTAAAGCCTCAGATTTCAGATCCCTCAGCTCTGCCCAAATTCTCACCACTGAAGACTTCATGGCCCCCTCTGGCTGTCCACTGGGAATGGAACCAACACTTCAGAATCATGCCCTGCAGGGACCTCAGAGCTGATTCCAAAGCCATGAACTGTTCGCAGGCTGGATCCGATCTGTCACTGAGTTTTGAGTAGCCAGAGCGGAGTGTTTTTAATGCCATTTTTAAATTAGCTGCCAACATTTCAAAGTTGGAGGATTTCACGTTTTAAAAGATAGAGGTTTGTAGCTTGGCTTGAAATATTAGAAGCGCTGGCTACTCCAGGCTGGCATTCCCATGTCACCAGCCAGCTGCCTGCTACAGACCTGCCTTGTCGCCCACAGTCCCCACCACTCCTTATCACCTCCCTCACAGGCATTGAGTGTAGGGCGCATTTGTCATCATGGTTGTACCTGGTTCACCTCATTCGTTCTTATTGCCTGAAGCCATGGGTGTTGGAATTCATGACCCTGGCTTGCTGCAGTGGCTGAGGGCCAGAAAAGCCAGGCCATTTGCACCTTAGAGCTTTTGCACTTGCTGTTCCCTTCACCTGTGTTTTGTTTTAATAGAGATAGGGGGTCTCCCTTTGTTGCTTAGGCTGGTTTTGAACTCCCAGCCTCAAGCGATCCTCCCATCTCGGCCTCCCAAAGTGCTAGGATAACAGGCCTGAGCCACCGCACCCGGCCATTCCCTCCACTCAGAATGCTCTTCTCCTGGATGGCCACATAGTTCGCTGCACATTTCATTCAGATTTCTTCTCAAATGTCCTAGAAGCTGTTCCTGCCCACACCCATTATTTCCCCTTCCAGCTTACCCTGCCTCGTCCTTCTCCAAAGCACTAATTTCCTCCTGGCATAGAACACATTCATCCATTTATTCGCCCCTTGTCTCCAGTCCACCCCAATGGAATAGCTCCAATAGAATATCAGCTCCCTGAGAACTGTAACTTTGTGTATTTTATTCATTGTCTTGTCCTCAGCCCCTGGGTAGGACTTGGCACACAGCAGTGTTCAATGCATACTTTTGAATGAATGAAAGGGGAAAAAGGAAGGATGTGAGGCTCTAGACAATGAGGGAGCCTTGAATGTCAGTCTAAGGAGCAGGAATGGAACCTTTCCATGAGCTATGGGCAGGAGAGGAATGGGTCAGATTTGCTTTCCTGACAATTTCTCTGGGAACAGCATTCCAGGCAGTTCTGTGGCCCCTTCAGGCACCTCATTTCCACATCAGCCTCATGATCTATATAACAGGCAGCCACCATGTGGTCAGCAATCTAGGGGGATGGGTGCACCAGCCATGGCTTCTGCCCTTAGGGAGCTTTCATTTAATTGGGCAGAGAATAGAGCACAGGATAAAACAGGGAGAGGGAGGGAAGAGAGGGAGAGGGAGCACATTCCCACCAGCCTGTAATCTCTTTGGGGCAAGGTCCCCCACATCATTCAACAAATATTTATTGAGCACCTATTATGTGCCAGGCCCCTGCCCTTAGAGTTCAGTATGATAATAGAGATAGGCATTTGTCCACTGAACACACACATTCTAAGCCAAAGAGGGCTTGGAAGGAAAGGAGAGAGGCTTTGCAGGCCTCTAGCTTGCTCTTCATTCATTGAACACACAGTAGGTGCTCATATCTATTTTCCAAATGAATTGGTGAATGAATGCAGGTTCTCTTGGGGACTAGCTCAGAGAACAAGGGACCTTGGGGATCTGCAGGGACAGTGCTCGAAGACAGGAGGGGAGGAAGATGGAGGACTAGGGAGGACTATTACCCCAGAATCAAGGGTTTGCTCTTCCCTACATGTGACCCCACACTAGGCACTGGGCGCTGGGCAGGACTCTCCTTAGGAGAAGAAGGGGACCTCCTTCTCCTTTCTCAGGAAAGCGAGCTGCCCCTACCCCACCCTGGATGGGCTGGGCACCACTTGGTCTGCCATTTTGATGCTCGCGGCGGGACCAGGATGCTGTAAACACCCATACGCGACTCTCCTGCAGGGTCTCCGGGTTGCCAGCAATCACGGCCATCTGCTCATATGGCACTGCGCCCAAGCCCCTCACCCAGGGAGCCGTGCCAGGCAGCGATTGGTTCTGAGGCATGCCCCTCAAACTGGTGGGGAGCGTCCTCTTCTGAGAGGCCCCTAGGGGAGTAGGGGAACAAAAGACAGATTTCCCTTTCCTAGGAAAAAAAAAAGATCAATTTCACTTAAGACTCAGCACAAAATGAGGAGTGGAGGAAGAACCAGAGAAGAGTGTCTATGGGGTCCTGAATATTCAGGAGCTGCCTTTGCATAGCTCAGAGTCTGGGGTGATGGGGGAGGCAACCAGGGCACGCTCCATGTTTAAAACATCCTTCGAAAGTCATGGTTTCTTCTCAGAGGCGCCCCCTTCTCCAGCCATCCCTGGTGGCTCGGCCTCTGCAGGAGACCAGGGGAGGGGAGCCAGGAGGCCTCTTCCCATGAGAAGCTGCAAAGAGTACTGGCCTGGGAACCCACCCAGCTGGACTATGCAACAGTGACATGGCTTTGCACAGTCCACTGGCTTCTGTAAGCCCCTCATAAGACAGAGTGACAGGATGGTTTTGGGGATTACATGGGACAGGAGGCAAAGTGGCATGTCTCTCTGAAGCAATGAAAGGCCCAGCAGTGGTGTGGCTCGGTGCTATGCATGTCCCTTGCATGCGTGCACACAGTTGTGCATGTCTAGTGAGCATGCTTTTCTACATGTGATGTGCTGGAATCCAGCTGTGTCTCCGTGGGCATGCATGTACTTGACCATCTTTCCAGGTGGGTCCTTTTGGGTTTGCATGTGAGAATCCAGGAGCCTATCTGGTATGTTCTGGCTCTTGCCCATATTTGTGCCCATGGGTACATGGAGGTTTGAGCATGCACCAGTGTGTGTGCACACAAAGGGTTCATGCTCTGGGCTTACCCGCCTCTGGGAGCCCCAGTGACAATGGCAGATAGGGGAAGGGGGAGCTGGCTTCAAGTGAGGTCCTGGACTCCGAGTTCTTTTCCAGCCACTCTGCCTCCAAGGTGGCCCCTCCTGGAACAGGCAGAGGCCACATCACCTCCCTGGTGGCTTATCCTCAGCACACCCTGCCTACTGCCCAGCTGGCATATTCCAGAGGCTGGCACTCATTTCATAAATCCACACCAGAAAGAGGCTGGCCATGGTGAAATCACCCTGGGCACCCCAGCTCCACACTGTGCTGTCTACACCAGGCCCTCACTACCAGGACAAGCAACCTACATCCCTTCCAGGCGACAGACACAAAGGGGTCCGACTGTGTTGACCCTGTCTCTGCGCTCCCTGGAGCAGGCTGGAGATGGGAGGAGAGCTATGGCTCAAGGGCCGGAAAGGAGGTCAGAACAAGAAGGGCAGAGAAGAGGAGGCCAAGCTGTTCACTGCATACGGCACCCAACAGTTTATCAGTTTCCTTCCCCTGCAGTGGACTATTTCATTCTCTGCCCTGCCAGGCCAGAATGTTAATCAACCCCACTGCACAGGTGAGGAAATTGGGGCTCCAAGAGGGGACGGATGCTGTTTTAAGGGCTTACTTAATCCACTCAACAATCCCATGAGGTGAGTATCAGTATTATCACATTTTACCCATTGAGACACTGAGGCCCTCAGAGGTGAATTAATTCACTGCAAGTCACATAGTGAACTTGGTGCGGGTGGTTCGTGACCACCACCCTGGGCTGCCTCCCACAGAGGCTAAGGGAGTTTGCAAACTCATTTAAAAGAACAGAGGAGGAGATAGAACCAACTTCTTGCCTCTTCTTCCCAGGTGAGGTGTGAAAGGCGCCTGTTCTGCTGGACAGAAAAGTTCCCAGCATCCAGATGCCACCTCTGCCTGTGAGCTCCAGGTGGGAATCACTCCCAGTAAGAGCAGGAGGTGAGTGGCAGCTCAGCCCCAGGACCAGCCAGGGCTTTCTGGGCACTCATTCCCCTGGGAACCTGCATCCTTCCCAGCCTGTTAGAAGGGGCAGCTCTGACAGCTGCTCTGCTCTTGGTGATGCTTTGGCCAGGGGTTCCTTGTCCACACAGCTCCAGAGTCTGTGGCAAGGGGGTGGCTGGAGGGGATGAAGGGGCAAGGAGGGTGCCAGACTGGGATGGGCATCCAGTCCCACATCCGCCAGCCCTCCACAGCTGCCTCTGCCTACACTGAGCACGCTGGATTATTCAATGTAACATTTAATTACACTGACAGTCTAACGAACACAAGGAAAGTCAGATGTGGAACTCGCGCCCCCCGCTGAGCCTCCTGGAAACCGTGGGGGAGGCAGGGTTGCTCCATATGCCGCTATGTGGGTGTGCGCGGGTGTGTGCACGTGTATGCATGTGTGTTCGTGCAGCCTGTCTCTGTGTGTACCTGTGTGTGTCCAGGCGGGCAGCTCATGCATATCTGCCTGGTGTGTGCTCGTGTGTGTGTCTGCTGTGTATGAGTGTGCACCCCTCTGTAGTCCGTGCAATGTGTGTCTATCTGCTGTGTGTGCGCCTCTCTGTTGTCTGTGTGGTGTGTGTGTGTCTCTGCTGTGAATGTACACCTCTCTGTTGTCAGTGCTGTGTGTGTACTTCTCTGTTGTCTGTGTGGCGTGTGTGTGTTTCTCTTCTGTGAGTGTGTACCTCTCTGTTGCCCATGCAGTGAGTGTGTATATCATGTGTGTGTCACTTGCTGTGTGTGTGTATGCCTCTCTCTTGTCCGTATGGAGTGTATATGTGTGTGTGTGTGTCTATCTTCTCTGTGCTCGGGCACCTCTCCGTTGTCTGTGCAGCGTGTGTGCGTGTCTACCTGCTGTGTGTGTTCCTCTCTGTTGTCTGTGTGGCATGTGTGTGTCTATCTCTGCATGTGTGTGCACCTCTCTGTGTGTGTATGATGTGTGTGTAGGTATTCATGTCTGTGGTACAGCTCCAGGCTATTATGTGCGTGCGTGTCTGGCTGTGTCTGGGCTGTGTGTCTGTGTGGGCCTGGATGTGTCTCTCCACATGTGCCTCTGTGTGCCTGCCCATCTTTGTCATGGCTGCTAAAAGCAATTTTGCTTCTAGTGACAAGTAATGTTTTTCAGACCCCAGTAAGAGTGGACTGGTTGAAATTCCTCTGGCATTCGTACTGCTGTATGACACAGTTCAGCAGGCCCTCTTGGGGACTGCCACGTCCCCAAGTATTAATAATTCCACTTGCTCCATCTTCTTTTGCCAGGGACCAGGTAAAAGTGGGCACCTCTTCCTCTCTCCTCCCTTCCCTCCCCATCTCTTCCTTCAGGACTTCTCCCTTGGCCAGGCCTAGACCTAGGTGGCCCTCTGGGTGGTCTTTTTTTCTATGTGCCCCTTTCCAGAATGTCACGTTGGGCCCTGAACTCCTCTACTGACTTCGTGCTCAGAATCAGATCAGCAGAGACTGAGTTCTGCAGGTGTCTTCCCTGGTGTGTGACCTTGGAGGAGTCACTTGACCTCTCTGAGCCTGCCTTCCTGCATGGCAGGGAGCTCCAAAGCAGATAACATGTATAAAGTGTGTTGTGTGCTATGGTGCAGTTAGGGGAGTGCCCTTACAATGGGAATGAACCAAGCTGGATCCTTATCCTGAGGGAAGAATGATGGATCCACAGGAGGACATCCCTCAGCCCTTACCACGGCTGTCCCTGTTGGGACAAGAGCTGCTGGCAGGGAGAAGGGTGCATATTCTCACATGCTGGCCTCTTTTCTGATCTCAGGGAATAAGCCTGAAAGATAGCAGTCACAAGGTGCCATCTCCTAGACATAGGGTGAGGCTGCACCAAGACTCATCAAGAATTTTCCAGAGATCTGTGCAACACTCTGACAGAAACTGAGGCAGTCTACTTGCTGCAGGGCTTGATGCATGCTCTCCCTGGTCAGTCCCAGTCCAACTCCCTCCACCATTTTTCTCTTCTTTTTTCACCAAAATCTTCTACCCCAAGAATCAAATTACTAAGTGAAATTCAATCTGCTCAGTTACAAATCCATGAAGTGTTATACATACATACAAGGACCCAAAGATCTAGGCACAAAGATGTTCACTGCAGCATTGTTTACAACACATAAATGAAGTCAATCAATTATGACTCATTCAGCCAATGAGATGTATTGTGGCCATTATAATAAAACAAGATCTGGAGAGACTTCTGCTTTCAGCAAGATTGAGTAGACATATTTTCCCTACTTTTCCTGCTAAGTATAACTAAAACCCTTGGACAGTAAATATTTTTAAAAGGAGATGAAGAAGAAGAAGGAGGAGGAGGAGGGTGAGGAGGAGGAGGAGGAAGACGAGGAGGAAAGAAGGAGGAAGAAAGGAAGAAGAGAAGAAGAAAAAGGAGGAGGAGGAGGGTGAGCGGAAGGGGGAGGGGGAGGGGAAGGGGGAGAAGGAGAAGGAGGAAAGAAGGAAAAAGAAAGAGGAAGAGGAGGAGGAGGAGAAGGAGGGGAAGGAGGAGGGGGAGGAGGAGGGGAAGGAGGAGGGGGAGGAGGAGGGGAAGGAGGAGGGGGAGGAGGGGAAGGAGGAGGGGGAGGAGGGGAAGGAGGAGGGGGAGGAGGGGGAGGAGGGGAAGGAGGAGGGGGAGGAGGGGAAGGAGGAGGGAGAGGAAGAGGAGGAGAAAGAGGAAGAGGAGGAGGAAGGGAAAAGGAAGAGGGAGAAGAATAAGAAGGAGGAGGAGGAGAAAGAAGGAGGAAGAAAAGAAGAAGGAGGAGAAGGAGGAAGAGGAGGATGAGGAAAGGAGGAAGAAAGAAGGAAGAGAAGAAGAAGGAGGAGGAGGAGGAAGAGGAGGAGGAGGAAGGAAGAAGAGGAAGAAGAAGAAGGAAGAGGAGGAGGAGGGAAGAAGGAGAAGAAGAAGAAGAAGGAGAAGAAGGAGGGGGAGGATGAGGAAGAGGAGGAGGAGGAAGGAAGAACAGGAAGAAGAAGAAGAGGAAGAAGAAGAAGGAGGAGAAGGAGGAAGAGGAGGAGGAGGAAGGAAGAAGAGGAAGAAGAGGAAGAAAAGAAGAAGAGGAGGAAGAAGAGGAAGAAGAAGAAGTAGAAGAAGAAGAAGATGAAGAAGAAGAAGAAGAAGCTGCCAAAAAGTGAAGAGACAAGACTGACTAGAAACCTCCAGACCTAAGGAACAACATGATGGTGGGTTCCTTTTTGCATCATATGTCCCAGAAAGGGCCAGCAACATGGAAACACCAATGTGCATAGGCCAAAAAGCCCCATCAAATGTCTGCTTTCTTTAGCCAAAGAACCAGTGAAGAATCAGCCTAGCAAAACAAAATCTCTTAGACAATAACAATGCTTCTCCAGCTAAATGCCACAGAAAAAACTGGCTCCACTGCACAGTGCTTTCATTCTCACCAATCTATAATGAGACTCCTCAATGCTCTTCACCAGGGTGGGAAATCAGAGAAGGCCAAACAGGAACCTAGAATTTTCATCCTTGCTGTGCAATGACAAGGCCCACTGCCGTCATCTACAGTCCCAGGGGAGCCTGAATTTCCACTACCCATTCAGTAGTATTAAGGCACCCCTGCCCCTGTCCCCACGGGGATGGTATCAGAGGAAGTGGGCTGTAGAGGCAAGACTTTTGCCGCTGCCCAGTTGTAACAAGGTCACCTGCCCCTCTGTGGTATCAGTGAAGACTACTTGGGAACCAGCAACTAGGCACTCCTACCCCTCCCAGCCAGGGACATATCAGTGAAGACCTAGTGGGGAGCTAGAGCTCCCACCCCCACCCAGCTATAGTAATGAGCCCCCCACCTAAGGTGTTAATGGTGGCTTAGTGGGGAAATTGGGATTCTACTCCCATCTGGCATTAAGGAGGCAGTGAGACCCCTCCCTGCCTACTATCTTTTCCTTCTGGGGAGGTATTACAGGAGAAAGAAAAGGTTTAAATAAGACCCAGGGTTTCATAACATAATATACAAAATGTAAAAGTTTCAACAAGGGATCAGTTGTCATACCAAAATCCAGGAAGCTGTCAAACAGAATGAAAAAAGAAAATCCACAGATGCTGAAAGTGAAATGACAGAGATGCTAGAAATGCCTGGCAAGGGTTTTAAAGCAGCAACCATAAAAATGCTTTAACAAGCAACTACACACTTGCCTGAAACAAAGGAAAAAATAGAAAGTCTCAGCACAGAAATAGAAGGTATCAAAAAATACCAAGTGGATATTTTAGAACTGAAAAATTCCATAACTTAAAAAAAATTAAATCAACAGGCTCAACAGCAAAATGGAGGGAACAGGAAAAAAATTTGTGAACTAGAAGATAGAATAATAGAAATTATCCAATCTTTTTTTTTTGTATTTATGTTTCTGCCCAACTATTAACAATCTTAATTTAAAAAGAACAAATAAACCGGGAAAAAATTAAACAGAACCTTAGGAAACTGTGAGACTATAACAACAACAAAAAAAACCCTCTAACATTAGTGTCATTGGAATTATGGAAAAAGAGGAGAAAGAGTTAGGGCGTGGTGGCTCATGCCTGTAATCCCAGCACTGTGGGAGGCTGAGGCGGGTGGATCACAAGGTCAGGAGATTGAGACCTTCCTGGCTAACATGGTGAAACCCCGTCTCTACTAAAAATAAAAATAAATTTAAAAAAATTAGCCGGGCATGATGGTGGGCACCTGTAGTCCCAGCTACTCAGGAGGCTGAGGCAGGAGAATGGTGTGAACCCAGGAGGCGGAGCTTGCAGTGAGCTGAGATCGCGCCACTGCACTCCAGCCTGGGCGACAGAGCAAGACTCTGTCTCAAAAAAATAAAATAAAATAATAAAATAAAATAAAATAAAATAAAAATAAAAACAGAGGAGAAAGAGAGTAGAACCAATAAAATACTTGAAGAAATACTGTCTAAACAAAAATCCCAATTTTGGCAAAAAACATATACCTATAGATTCAAGAAGCTGAGTAAATCTCAAACAGAATAAAACCCAAAGAAATCCACACCCAAGACACATTACAGTCAAATTTCTGATAACTAAAGACAAAGGAAAAGTCTTCCAAGCAGCAAAAGAGAAATGACATTTACCTAGAGGGGGAAAAACAATTCAAATGAAAGTGGATTTCTCATCAGAAATCACAGGAGTTAGAAGAAAGTGGCACAACATTTTTCAAGTGCTGAAAGAAAAAAAAAACTGTCATCAGAAACCTATATCCAGTGAAAATATCCTTCAGGAATTAAAGGGAAACCAAGATATCCTCAGAGGAGGAAAAACTAAGAAAATCTGTAGTGAGCTGCTCTTGTTAGGGCTGAACTTTTGCCCTAAAACATGGCAAAATGAAGTTCTCTAAACATAAGAAAATGATAAAAGAAAAGATCTGGAACATTAGGAAGGGAGAAAGAACACAGTAAGCAAAAATATGGGTAATACAATAGAGTTTCTGTCTCCTCTTGAGTTTTTAAAATTATGCTTAATGGCCGAAGCAAAATATTTAACACGGTCTAATGTGATTCTAAATGTGTGTAGGAGAGTATTTAAGACAATTATATTATAAATATAACTTATATATAAGGGGAGGGTAAATTGATATAAAGTGAGGCAACTTTTTTTTTTGAGACAGAGTCTCACCCTTGTGCCTGGGCTGGAGTGCAGCGGTGCAATCTTGGCTCACTGCAACCTCTGCCTCCTGGGTTCAAATGATTCTCCTGCCTCAGCCTCCTGAGTAGTTGGGATTACAGACATGCGCCACCACGTCCGGTTAATTTTTGTATTTTTAGTAGAGACAGGTTTCACCACGTTGGCCAGGCTGGTCTTAAACTCCTGACTTCAGGTGATCCATCTGCCTCGGCCTCCCAAAGTGTTGGGATTACAGGCATGAGCCACTGTGCCCTGCCTGGGGCAACTTTTCTATACTTCACTTGAACTGGTAAGATGATGAAACCAGGAGATTTTAATATGCCATATATATATATATATACACATATATATACACACACACATATATAGTAATATCTACAGCAACCACTAGAAATGCTATAGAAGGAGATATATCCAAAACAGTGTAAATAAACCAAAATGAAATTCTAAAAAATGTCCAAGGCAGAAAAAGGAAATCAGAGGAATTAAAAAAATAGAACAGAAAAAATATAAAATAGCAAACTTAAGTCCCAACATGCCAATAATTACATTAAATATAACTAACACAGCAACTAAAAGAGATTGGCAGAATAGATAATCCAACTCTATAGTGTTTACAAGACATTCACTTCAAATATAATAATATAAACAGTTTGAAAATAAAAGGAAGGAGAAAGATCTATCATGTAAACATTAATTGAAAGAAAACATGGTGGCTATGTTAGCATTAGATAAAGTAGACTTCAGAGCAAAGAAAACTAAAAAGACAAAGAGGGATCTTACATAATGATGAAAGGATGGATTTACCAAGAAGATACAGCAATCCTAAATATGTATGCACCAAACAACAGAGCTGAAAAATATGTAAATGACGGAACTGAAAGAAGAAATAGACATATCCACAATTATATTTGGACACTTTAACAACCTTCTCTGGACAATTGATAGAACAATTAGAAAACCAGTAAGTATACAGAACTCAACAATACCACCAATTTACAGGATCTAATAGACATCTATAGAACATGCCACCCAACAACAGCAGAATACACATGTTTCAAAGGCCCATGGAACATACACCATGATACACTATATCATAGACCATAAAACATAAATCTCAACAAATTTAAAAGAATTGAAATCATAGAGTGTGTTCTTCAACCACAGTGGAATCAAACTAGAAATCAATAACAGAAAGATAACGAAAAGTCACCAAAAACATAGAAACTAAACAACACAATTCTAAATCCACGGGTCAAAAACAAAGTCTCAGGATAAATTTACAAATACATTGAACTGACTGAAAATGACAATACACTGTATCAAACATTTTGGGACACAGCCAATGCAGTGCTGAGAGAGAAGTTTATAGCACTAAGTGTATATATTACAAAAAAGAGAAAGTGTTAAATCAGTCATTTAAGTTCCCCCCTCAAGAACCTAGAGAAACAAGAGCAAAATACATCCCAAGCAAGCAGAGGCAAGGGAAAAAATAAAGAGCAGAAGTCAATGAAATTGAAACAGAAAACCAACGGAGAAAAATCACTGAAACAAAGAGTTGGTTCTTTGAAAAGATCAATAAAATGGAAGAACATCTAACAGGACTGACAAAGAAAAAGAGAGAAAACACAAAGTACCAATATCAAGAATGAAATAGCGGATATCACTACAGACCCACAGATACCAAAAGGATAATAAAGGAATAGGATGAACAACTCTACATGCATACATTTGACAAATTAGATTATATTACCCAATTTCTTGGAAAACAAATTACCACAACTTACCCAATATGACATAGATCATATTTTAAGTTTAAGTAGCCTTACATATAACTTATACTATTAAGGAAGTTGGATTCATAATTGAAAAACTCCTCAAAAAGAGCAAGATCTGTGAGTGCTCACATGAAAAGAAATGGAATATTTATAAGAGAATGAAAAATCATAGAGTAATTCACAGAATAACATAGATTTTATGAAAAAAAGGAAAGAACTATATGGAAATGTATGTATGTGCACAGACTATCTTTGGACAGAAAGAGACTGGGAAGAGTGTAAGAGGGACAGTTGGTTTTTAGTGATTTTTTATTTTATATCCTTCTAAGCAGTTTACACTTTTTTCTTTTATTATTTAACTTTGTTTTAAATATCAACATCCACATGGTTTTCCTGGCTGCTCAGTCCAGAGTAGCACAGAACATAGGAGCCCAGCCTTAACAGACACATCACCTGCTTTCCCATCTCAACTTTACCACCCTCTAGCTGGTAGAGGTGACCCCAGCTTCCCTCACTGTCAAACAAGGACAAAGATCATGAGGAATAAGTGTCTGGGAGTGCCAGGACTCAGAAATTAGCAGAGCAGCACGGTGTACCTTGCACTGTGCTGGGTGCTGTGAAGATTTAGGAGCAAGAACAAACCCAGGAAGCACCTGAGGGGAAATCGCGGGAGGGCAGGGGGTTGCCTGAAGGTGGTGGCTCTTGAGCTGAACCCCGAAGGAGCTGTAGGATCTGTTTGGGCCCAGGAGAGGAGAAATGTAATTATAGACAGAGATGTCAGGAGGCAAGGCAAACCCACGGTGCCTGGAGACAGGGTGGCCAGGGGGCACCTGGGAACCCAGCCAGGAGTCCTCAGGCTGTCAGGGCAGGCAG
Organism: Homo sapiens; assembly: GCF_000001405.40. NCBI lineage: Eukaryota > Metazoa > Chordata > Mammalia > Primates > Hominidae > Homo > Homo sapiens. The sequence continues at coordinate 49,483,019 of NC_000016.10, forward strand.
TTCTCCTTCAAGGAGGCCGATCAGAGCTCTTACTTCGTTAAGAAGACAGTAGGGCCAGGGTAATGTCCTCGTTGTATTCTCAGAGCTGATTTTCTTTTCTGTTTTCTATGAGACTTTAAAAGCCATCAGCTAATAAAACTGTCCTTCGGGTGCTCAGTGTGCCACAAAGTGTTGCCAAGTGCAGCACATCCTCATATCCCCTCCACAGTTCAGGGTGCAGACATCCTTCTCCCCAGTTACAGATTCAGAAGCCACCCATGAGCCCCATCGCAGATCCAGGCCTCCCAAGGAAGCCTCATTCGCACAGAAAGCTCTAAAGCTAAGATCATCTCAGACAGCTGTGATTAAACACTCATTTCACAGACGAGGAAACCGAGGCCCTGAGTAGGAAAGGGGCTTGCCCAGAGTCACAGGGGGAAATGATGACAGAGAAGAGCATGGATGCCCAGCCCAGCGCCCGTGGCTCTGCATGAGAAACACACAGCAAGGCCCTGGTCCGTGCTTGCTCGGGTGATGCAGGGGTTACCATCGGTGGCTCTGAAATTCTCTCTCAGTATTTCTGGGGTTGTCTGTTTTGAATCAATGGTCATGTCATCCCTCAGAAGTGCAGGGAGAGAAACCCAAGTCCAGGGAGGTCCAGTGGCCAGGCAGAAGTCACAATGCTACTGAAAGGCCCAACTGGAAACTGACCACAGTTCCAGCAGCCCCAGTGCCCTGACTGTAAACCCCACTCTCAAGGCGACTGCATGGGTAAGGGACCGCCCAATTGGATGGGAAGCACCAGAGGTGTGGAGAGCCAGAGGGGCAGGAGTTTGGAAGACCACACGGACGCTGCAGAATGTTCTGGAGACTCTGACATCCCGGAAACCCCCAAGGGTAGGGGCTGGTGGAGGGGAGGGCAAAGCAGGGGGCCGCAGGCCACATGCTTCAGGACCCAGCCGGCAGGCTGGAGGATGGTCCTTCGCTGGGAACTGTCTCTAGGCCTCCCGAAAATGCCAGGCCAAAGAACTGGGCAGGCGCCCCTCTTCCGCCAGTGACCTTGACCCAAGCTGGGCTGGGCTTTCAGATACGACACGGCCCCTTCCCCTCTTATCCTCTTCCCAAGGTCGTAAAATGAGTCGGCTTCTGGGTGGCAGGACTTTTGCAGGGACCCTCGTTTGCAGTTCTTGCTGGGGCTGGAGCGGTGTGGGGCCCGTGACTGGGCTTGGCGTGAAACTAGAAGCGGCCAGGGCAGGTGTAAATTATGCATAGCTATTTCTGGAAACTTCTCAGATTTCTCAAGAGAGAGAAATTAATTTGCCTGTTTGGGCAAATAACACCAATTTTTTTTTCCCCTGCTTAAGGTCATTTTGTTAAAATAAAATTGATTAACGTTCTCTTTAAAGTTTAAGTAGAAACTGCTCAAACATATTTTTATGCATAGAAGCACGGTTTGCGCCCTTCAGTAATTAATAACTCCACAAATAAGGTAACACCAAGCCGCTCGCAGCGCACTCAGCCCGCGGCCCCCAGGTGGGTGGGGCCGGCCCGATGCGGGCCAATCAGGGCTCAGGGGAGGGAAGGGGCGGGCCGGCCGCGCACCAACCCCAGGCTGGGGCCGCCCCGGCGCTGTCCCGGCTCAGGCAGGTCAAGGATCCGCCCAGCTAGGAGCAGTCCAAGTAGAGGCTGACCCCAGTGGACTATCACCTGGAACCAACCCCAGTGATGAGAGTATCAGGAGCTAACCACTTCTCTCCTTCTCTCCTTCCCTCCCTCCCTTCCCTCCCTCCCTCCTTCCCTCCCTTCCTTCCTTCCCTCCTTCCTTCCTTCTCTTTCTCTTTCTTTCTTTCTTCTTTCGAGACAGGGCTTCGCTGTGTCATCCAGGCTGGAGTGCAGTGGTTCAGTCACAACTCACTACAGCCTGGAACTCCTGGGCTCGAGTGATACTCTGCCTCAGTCTCCCAAGTAGCTGGGATTACAGGCAGGGCACCACGCATGGCTGATTTTTATTATTATTATTATTATTTGTAGAGACAGGGTCTCGCTATGTTGTCCGCACTGGTCTCCGACTCCTGGCCTCAAGTGATCCCCCCATCTAGACCTCCCAAAGTGCTGGGATTACAGGCATGGGCCACTGTGCCCGGCCTGGAGCTAGCCATTTCTTATGTGCTCTGCTCAAGGGCTTCTTGGGGCTGGGAACAGGGCTTTGGAACCGGACTGCCAGCATTAGAATCTGAGCATTGGGCAAGTTAGCATCTCTTTGCCTTAGTTTCCTCAGTTGTAAAAAAGAGATAACAGTACCCACGTGATAACGTTAGTTATTGTGTGGATTAGGGGAGTTAATACACGGTGCCTAGGAGAATACCAGGCACCAATAATGTTATTAAACGTCACCGTCATTCTTATTTTAATTTCACAACTTTGTGAGATAAGTATTATTTTTTATTTTTCCCATTTACCAATGAAAACACTGAGGCTCAGAGAAGTTAAGGGCTTTATTTGAGGTCACACCGCTAGTAAGTGATAGAGCTGAGGTCTGAATCCAGGTATCATAGTCCGCAGAGCTTAGGCTACAAGTTGTCTTCATATACATGCTTATCTTCCCCTAGACCTTTTAAATTGTCATGGATTCACTTTCATACGCAATATCTGCATTCATTTAGTAAATATCTTATCTGCTCCAGATCCTATGTAGGGTGCTGGATATAAGGGCATTTACTAAGAGTCAGGCTCTGCCCTCAAAGATAGTCAGAGACAGGTGGGTGGAAGGTGGGGACAGCTTGGGTAGTCATTAGTGCAGTGTTCCAAGCCTTGCTGATTCTCACTTCTTCCAGGCACAGGGCAGGATTGCACTTCCTGGCCCTGTGATAGAATGGGGCCATGTGACAATTGCTGGCCAATGCATTGTGAGTCTAAGAGCTCTGTATTTGTGTAAGTCCCAGGCAAGAGCACTGAACTGCCAGTTCTCTCTCTCTCTCTCTGCTTGGTTGCTGACCATATTTAAGGGGGTGGCTGCTCCCTGATCCTAACTTCTGAGTGACCTTGATGTGTTAAGGAAGCCCCCTGGGTATCCAAGATGGCTATGGAATATGAGTCAGAAAGAAATCTTTGTTGTGTTAAACCATGAGAATTTGGGTCCTTTTGTTAATGTGCCATATCCTAGCCTGTCCTGACTGACAGACAGTCCCACAGACAAATAGGTATAAAAGGCAGTACTGTGCATGCCCAGGGATGGACTTACACACCAGGTAGTATCAGCGTTCTTATTATGAGAGCATTTTACTTAGCTGCGGGGGTCAAAGTGGCCTGAAGAATAAACTGGGCCAAGACTAGGGTGAGATGAATGAGGCACTTCCTTTGGGACCAAAATTTAAGTGAATACAAAACAAACAAACAAACAAAAAGCCAGAGTAATACTTTCATGTTTCTGAAAATAAAAATTAATGTAAAAAATGATGGAAAAAAATGGCAAAGTGTTAAGTAAAGACAGAATCTGATGCTACATTTGTGCCATCCCGCCTCACCTGCCAAATCCCAATCCCAGCCCTGCTTCCAGTAAAACTTTATTTTCAAAAATGGGCTGCCAGCCTGCAGGCTACAGCCTGCCAATGTGATTTTAAAAATATTACATGAAAATATTGTTTATTTGGATTACTTAGCTTTTTGGCACCCACTTAAGTTTTGCTCCCAGGGGAGTGCTTCACTGATCTCACCCAAGTCTTGGCCCCAAGAATTAGACAGCTGAGCTGGGTCTAAAAGTAGGAGTTAACCTGGGGTGAGGGAGCGGGAGAAGGGAAGGGCATTCCAGCAAGAGGAAGCACCATGAGCAAAGGCATGGAGGGAAAGGACAGCCAGGGGCATGCATGGCAAACTGTACTTTATTTGGTGCTTTTGGAAAGAGATCAAGCAAGATAGAGTTGCAAATATTCAGCCTTTATTGAGTGTTGTGAGTTTTCTCCTGTTCTCTGACATCAAGAGTACTGCACAGGGTATATAATCATGGAGCACTCTCCTGGCAAGTCTGAATGAGCCAAAATCAACTGTAAGTTGTAAAATAGTGGCACCGTGGACTTGCTTTGAAGGGTAACAAGCATATGGGGGATAAATCCTTGTAGGGTGTCTCTCTCTTCTCCAAAGGCAAGTTCCAAGCCATACCAATAAATACATAACACCACATGTCACAGGTGCTATGATAGACAGGAACCAGAAGTGATTACTGGGTTAGTCAAGTTACCTCATGGTTCAAATGGCTTCTGGAACACCAGCTATTGCAGTCACATTCCAGCCATCAGACAGATAGGAGGAATGAACTCATTTCTTCGCTTTCAGGACAATTCTTAGAATTTGCACATACTGCCGTTATTTATATCCTACTGATAGAACCTATGGCGACCAATAGCAATAGGACCACACCTAACTTCTGGGAAGGATAGGATATATAATCTGCCCCTTCCCTTCTCCAAGGTAACCTCTGCTCAGCTATAAATTGGTTACTTTATTAATGAAAAGAAAGAGAACCAGCAGTCTTTCCTGTACAGTACAATTTCACTTTATTCATCGTTGTCATCATGATTGTTATAATAAAATTAACAATGGAGTCAGACACCCCAGGCTGGAAGGTGAGGCACCCAAGTTATAGTCGCAAGTCTATCCTGAATGGTATGATCTTGGACAAGATTCTGAACTTCTCTGGGATTGTTTTAAGCCACCTAGAATTGAAACTCCATAGGAATACAGCTCTCTAAGGGTACTTCTGGCTCGTTTCCAGCTCACGGCTTCTGCATTTGCAGTGTTCTCTTCCCACTGCTCTTGGACTGCCCACCTCCCTTATTTCTTCAGGTCTCAAGCCCCTGCCTCAGCAAGGCCTTCCTTAATGCACCCCTGTGTCTCATACACGGGTCCCTCCATTAATCCCTGGCAGCTTCTGGCTTTGCCATCACGGCACTCATGACCAGGTGTGGCTATGCATTTACTGGCATGCTTGCCTGTGCCACTGTGGCCTCCATGAGGCCAGGGACCACATCTGCTGGTCATCTCCTTATCCCCAGTGCCCTGTGCAGTGCCTGGCACCTGGGGGCAGCTCAGTAAATACTTGCTGAATGGATGAGTAGAGGAAGGGATGGATTTGAGTTTTGGTCCTATTTACTGAATATTTATAGGTACAGGTTCCATCCCTAGGAACACACACCTTAGGAGGGAAGAAAAACAGGTGAAAAGTTCAATATTACACAACTGTGAATTTAAAAGGAGCGTTCTTTAAGGCTGGGGAACTCGAGAAGATTTCTCCCATGACAGTTTCTCCACTGAGACTGAAACCCTTACCTGCCTGCTTCTGGGCACTCTGGGCAGGTGTTCCATGACAGGGGCCTGTGGCCCAAGGGTCCTGGTCCATTTCCCAGCCTGGGCAAAATTCCTCTGCCCAGAGAGCCGCTAGAAACTGACAATTTGTACATCTAAATACAGCAGCAATGAACCTTAGGCTTTCAGTCACCTCGCCCACTCCCCAAAGCCAAATCCAAATGAGAGGCTGATTCCATCGCGCCCTCCTGGCTGAAAAGGTGCCCTCCTGCAGGATGCCTGGCACCATCATTGATGACCATGCTGCTTACAGGTCTCTGTGTGCAGCCCTTTGTCAGGCATCACTTCATACAAGCCTCCCAGAGACCCTCTAAGGCCCCTCACAGTTGAAAGGCAAGTGTCTCATCCCAGCTCCAGACCTTTCCTCTGGAAGGGGTTAGTGAGTTCTCCGAGGCACAGGTTTATAACCCTACACTGCTCCCCAACCCTAATACCACCTGATGGTAAAGAATGCCAGTCCCAGGAAGGGCCTCAGGGTCCCCACTGCCAGCCCCCTCCCCACACAAAGTCACGAGGGGCTCTCAGCCGTAGCAGCAGGGACAGAGCCAGCCGGAGAACAATGCGGCCGGGGTGAGGGGGGAGTCGGTGGGGTTCCCTGGCTGCCTTGTCACCGCCATAAACCTCATTACCTCACGGTCCCCTAGGCCGCCTCTCTCCTTACCCAAGGCATCAGCCGGCTTCGCTGCTGATTCCCACATGGCGTGAAAAGCTCTTAAACCCCCCGCTGTATTTTTAATGGGGGCAGTGACTAATTTAGCCCTACGCCACCAACCGTCAAATCGAATCTTCTATTGGTAGTTACTGAGGGCTCACCTGGGCTCCATGGGGTTTGGGATAAATCCAGAGCTGGAGAGGGCCCTGAGACGGAGATGTGGCAGGCCCCGGGACATACTGGTCCCATCGACAGTCCCAGCACTGCCCAAAAGGTAGGCCTGGCTGTGGATGTGTGGCAGCCTCACTCAGACATAGCCCCAGCCCCAGGCCCCAAGCCCCAGTCCACGGGTGGGCACACTTAGAGGAACACTGGTGTCTACCCTGGGGTCTTCCCCCAAAACTGCCAGGTCTCCAGGAGGCTGAAAATTGGCATTCACAGCCTTCAGTTTCCAGGAGGCAACAGCCCACTACTGGCAGGGTCTGCTCTATGATTCACATATGTAAGATGCCTTTTGAAAAACTGAAAGCCCCACCCGCGTGAGAACATTACATGAGGTGACAGAAAGAAAGGGGAACTCTTATAGGTCACCAGAAGCCCCTTGATATGGGAGTCTTCTAGAAGATGATGGGTATAATTGCTCCAAATTCCACACCCGTGACTTAGTATTACATTATAATTAGGTGCAATCTGTCTGCCTGTTTCATTTCCGCTCTGCAGAGGGTAATAACCAATTTCCTTGCCCCTTGTGAAAAGTTAGCAAGGAAGGGTTTCCCCGTGCAAGTTCTGGCCTCTGATTGGCAAGTCAGCTGAGCACCAGCATGATGGAGGTGTGGGAGGTAACATGGAGGAGGCCTGGAGACCAAGGCTGCTGGGTGGGCCCTGGGAGGCCAGCAGGGCCAGGAGTAGGTGAAATAAGCAAGGTGCCTAGAGTGTAAAATGCAAGAGGACACCCATTCCCAGCACTTGCAGGTGTAGGGGGGCCCTGAGAGCGAGTGCCCCCTGAAATAATGTACCCCAGGCCCCTGCCTGCCTCACTCCAGACCTGGCCCCCGCCACCAGTCTCAATGCTCTCACATCCTACTGATCTCTATGACTGGGAACCTGCGGCTCCTACCTGGCTCTGCTCTGCAGTCCCCAGTCACACATCTCCGTGCCTCAGAACCCAAGTGCCACCTGGAGTCCTGGCAAGGGAAGGGCTACCCACTTGCCTGCCTGTATCCAACAAAGGGGAAAGCCAACCCTGAAGGGAAAGCCAAGAAGACTTCACAATCAGCATGGTGACCAACCTGCTGCGTGGCCTTGGGAAAGCTGCACGTTACCCTTGGGCCTCTGTTTCCCCATCCAAGAGTGGGAAGATCAGGGTATTCCATCATTAAGGGGTCTTCTGCTTTGACTCCTGTGGCCACTGCCAGCCTGTCCAGTCTGCATGCATTAGGTTACTACGATTCTTTTCCAAGGGGAGCAGGGTCTATTGTGTGCAGGTCCCCAAGGGCGTGTGCAAGCCCACAGGAACTTGTAGGGGAACACACCTTACAGGAGCTGACAGCCCCCCACGCGGCCCTAGGCTGGGGAGGAGAGAACCAGGCAGCCGGATGCTAATCGCATGGATTCCCTTTATTGAACTGTACTAGTTACTGCAGTCAGATTAAGTCACATTTAAAAGCAGACCATCCAGTTGCACTGAAACCGATTATATTCATTACATAGTTTTAATCACTGTCCGGTGAACTGGCAAATCCAATCAAAGCATTAGTCTTTAATTAAAAAATTAAAAGGAAATATTCAGACAATAGCCAAGCAATCACATCACGATGCACAATTACCTAGAATTGCAATTAAAAAGTAGTTAACCGAAGGGGGTGGGGGGTGGGGGGGAAGAAAAACAAGAAAGAAAAAAAAGAAGCAAAGAAAAAAAATCACACTAATTCTTTTTTAAAAACTATCAATATAATACATGAAGGAACAAAGGACAATAGCCTTAAAAAGCAGGTTTCTCTAACTCTAGAAATGTAGTCTGCGGCGGAAAGTCTAAAAGCACACTAGCTGTAGCAGGACAATAAAAAATACTGAGCATGGAATACTTTTAATCTCTGCCATTAATATTCATTTCCAGCTGCTTATAATAGCAGCGCCTCATGGCCAAATCATTAGAGTTTTACATCTGGGTTGCAAATGACACTTTGATTGGATGTAATGTTCAAATGGCCCTCCCCACGGCGTCTCCGGCAAGCCTTCTGCGGAGAGGTGTCCTGTTGAGCGATCCCTCACTGTGCGTGCTGGCTCATCGTGTGGTTCTGCAAAGGCGAAGAAAGGAGACACACATGAAGGAGAAGAATGGAGAGCATGCTCGTCCCTCCCACTCAGTGCATTTACGCCGGGAGCCGCAGAAAAGCGTCTCGATTATAACAAAACAAAATGCAACAAGGAAAAAGTGCTCCAGGGACGCAGCTGCCAAGACGCCACGTTGATTTGGGGCTTGGGGATAGGTTCCTGTTACTGCCAACTTGGACTCCCTATATGTTGTTTTTTGGCTTTTTTTTTTTTTTTTTTTTTAAAGACCATTCAGGTCTTACCGGGGGGACTGGCTAGGTGGAGGGAAAGGGGAAATGCCGGGGAGGAGGCAGGAATTAAAAACATCCCTGTTCACCTCTCCATCTCCCTTTTCCTCTAATGAAGAGGAGGAAACTCTGATCGCCTGCAGGCTGCCCTCGCATCCCCCTCTCAGTCTTCCCCGTGGCTGCTCCGAGCCTAGCAGAGGGAGACAGCAGATGTGCTGTGCAGCTCTCCGGCCAAGAAACACCCGAGCGGGCACAGGCGTGCTGAGGCAGTGGGCGGCCGTGGTGCCTGCGGCCCAGGCAGGGGACAGGTCACCCGGCAGGAAGACGCGGGAGGAGCCTCTGCTGCTGGGCTCCGGGAGCCTGCCTGCTTGGTCACATGGCAATGGCCCAACCAGAGACAGGGACTCAGTGCAGTTTGGCCGAATGCACCTAGGAATCCAGGGCCCAGGTGGGACCCTGTGGCCAAATGTTTCCCTCTCATTACAGTCAATGGCATTTCCTCCCCCTGCCAGCCAGAGGGGGCCAGCAGGGTTGATCTGTTTCACAGGAGCCAGCGGCCTGGGACTGGGGGTGGGATTTGGCATCTGAAAGCCGTCTTTTTGTTTCTTTTCAGTGGTTCGTGTTCCAAATTCAGACCCATTTCATCAAAGCCTCAGGTGGTGCTCCACCTCATGACACCTGGAGAAAGGAGGCAACATCCACCAGGTGTAGGGTGGCCCTGTTTGGGGCCGCACAGGACCCTAGATCCCCGGGAGAGGCTCCTTCTGGGCGCCCCCCAGGGCCCGGCGACTCCTGCAGCTGTGCCGCTGACCGCCAGGGGTCAGCAGAGGCACCGCGTCTCTCCTGGGCTCGGGTCCGCGGCGAGGGCGACCAGGTGATGCCAGTAGCCTCGCCCGGAGGCCGAGGCCGGGGCCGGGGCCGGGGCCGGGGCCGAGACGGGCCACTCCTGCTCCCTGGAGCAGGGCCCCGCGCAGTCCCTTCCCGTGACGGGCACTGCGAAGGCTGCGGCCCCCGTGGTAATGTCACCGACCCTTCCTGCGAGCTCCCGGCCGGGAAGAGGCAGCCCGCGCCTGCCTCCCAGCAGATGCCCACAGCGCCAAGCGACAGCCTCGTGCTCATGCGGGCGGAGCAGGCGCACGGCCGGGGCTTGGTGGGCATGCGTGCTCTGTGCCGTGGCAGGCACCGCTCTTTCAATCCTCACAACAGCCTTGCGAGGTGGGACTTCTTAAGATGAAGACACCGAGGCCTAGGAAGGCAAAAATTACAGGCCCAAGGTCACCCAGGTTGGAAGCACCGGGCACTGAACCAGATGGCTGGAATCCACTAGAGCAAGGGGATTTTCAGGGGAGCCAGGCTTCCCAGGGCCTGCACCCCATGGGCACCGCAGTCTGCAAATCACCCGCATTCTGCACCAGACACAGTGCCACCTCTGCCGGCCGGGCCTGACACCTCGGTCGGGGGCGTCAGGGACCCAGAGGCACCAGGCAGGTTGTCTGAGGCCACAGATGGGATGCAGGCGGTTTCCATGGGAACCCGCACCCTCCAGCCGTGGCACCTCTCCCTGTACTTGTGCAGGGACAGCCAGCTAGTCCTGTGGGGAGCCGAATCCACACTCTACACAGCCATCCTCCTGCTACCTTCAAGCCTCTGCTGACTCAGTTCCCGCCTCCCTTCTCCTCCCTCCCAACCAAGCTGCTCTTTGAGTCCTCTAGGCACATGGATCACTTCCCATCCCTGCAGACCTCTCCAGGCACCTGCAGCCCACCTCCCACACAGCCACGCACCTCTCATGAGCTAGACTGACCTCCTTTGCTGAGCTGCACACAGGGTGGCGGCACCTCCTTTCTCAGGACCCAGGGCTGGGCATGCACTGTCCTGACCATACGCCTGGGCCTCCAATCCCCAGCAGGCACAGCTGCCCAGGAGCAACTTGGAGGTCTGCACTTTCACACCCTGCCAACCGCCAGTCAAAAACCCCTGCTATCTTGGTGTGGGTGGGTCATTCTTTATTAGGGGGAGGACAGGGAGGAGGAAGAGAGGGGACATGAGGAAGGGAGACATGGACAGCTCTTTCTTGTCCTCAAATTATGGTTCCTAGGGCCTGGCACAAAGTAGACACTCAGGCAGTATTTGTGAATGAGTCAATGGAAAGAAAACGAATGAATGTATGGATAGGATGTGGATATGTGGAAAGGGGAGAGGGCATTCCAAGAGGAAAGAATAGCAGAGACGGAGGTGTGGAGCCTAGAATCCAAGTGGCGATGCAGGCACAGGTCCCAGCACAGAAGTCACAGGAAGGCTGGTGGGCACATGGCCTACGGACAGTGGAGGCCTTGAGTACCAACAAACATGGACTTTGTTCCACAGGCCACAGAAAACCAGACATGATATTCGATCTCCACAAAATCCCCAAGGACCACCCACTACCAACATGGGCACAGGGGGTGTCTGGGATCTCTGGAGAATGAAGCAGCCTGTTGCCAGGATGCCAAGAACAGGCTCAGTGTGACACACATGGCCCACACTGGCTCACCAGGGCACTGCTGGTGCAGACATGATGAAGGCTGGAACCCACACCTGGGACCACTGGTGAGGAAAACTCCAGAATGCCTATGCCATTCCCCAGGAAAAGCCACAGTGTGCCTGCCCACTTAAATAGCAGTAGCAGGGGGCTCTGAGGTTACACTCAAGAAAGAACTTCCTCCTAGAGGGTTCTGAGACAGAAGGATAAAACTTCCTTCCCTGAAGTTTTGTGACAGGAACAAAAGCCCAGGATGTCACAGCAGATGGAAATGTCAAAACTTGATGCCCCAAGGGGACCAGGCACCAGAATTCACTCAGCACTACATTATTAAGCACCTGCTGGATGCTCTGCTCTGCACTGGCACAGTGAGGGGGAGGGGAAGACACCAGCTGGGCCTACCCCTCGAGGGGCCTGATTTAGAGGGGCTAGACACAGACACCCAAACATTTGTGGGATTAATGGTGCAGCTGGCAGCTCAGCTAGGGAAACTGGTCAAGGTCACCCGATCAGTTTGTGTGATGGTGGTGGGGAGCCCAGAGGTGCCCAGGTGCTCAGCCAAGGAGGGCATTGGCTCCTCCATAGGCCAAGGGCAGTATCTCAACAGGCAGAGGAGGTGGTGGGACCCCTGTCCCCAAGACTTACCAGTCGCCCAACACCAGGACACAGAGCAGCTCTGGACAGCTACTGCAATCAGCACAGTTCAATAACCGTGAAAGAACCCGTGGTCCGTCCCCCACAGCTAGAAGCTGTGGTTTGAGGAACGTGGGGAGGTTCAGCAAACCTTCTTAAAGAGTTCTTTCCATCCAGCATAGTTCTCACAAGGGCATTCAGCCTTAATGTCTCTTTCTCTGTTTATGCCTGTGCTATATTTAGCCCCTTTAGAGAAGGAAGAAAATCGTTTTTTAAAGATGCTACCCACCCCACAGATGAACACTTCCCACCACCATAAAGGCTGGGGGTGGAGACAGGGGCCCAGGGAAGGACTGGAAAATGCCTAGAGGGAGGCCTGGCATCCACTCGGCCTCGCTGCCTGCCAGGGAGACACAGGTGTGGGCCAGAGAAGCAGGTGAGGAAAATAAAACGGGAGAGCAGGAGGGGGTGGGCAGCAATGGTTTGCAGCCTCAATCCATCCACTCAGCAGAGCTCGTGTGCTCTCCTGGATGGAGGTTTCTGGTACAGCCTGTTTTGGGGGCCTCTGCCTGGCACACGGGGCCAGGGACACAAGACAGTGATAGCCAAGGGGATGGCATGGGCCCGGGCACAGAAACCTGTGTGCTGCCTATGCTGGGGGCAGGCCTACCCTGGGTCCTGGTGAGACCCACAAAAAGAGCCCTCTCTGTGCAAATCGTCAGCAGAGCACTCAGGAACTGGTTCCCTGACACACCCTCAGCCTCTGGAAGGAAAGAAGCCCAGCATTCATTTCATGGTTGCTCATTCATTCATTCGTCTTTGAGCCAATGAGCCACTATGCTTGTTGCTGGGAATTCAGCAGCAAAATGATCCTGATCCTGAACCCAATCCAGGGTAATGTTTTGTGCATGGAAGGAGCGGGCCAGAGTACAGAGCCTGGTGGCTACACTGTCCTTCCCAAAGCACCGCCACACACTAGAGGGAATGGGCTCCTTGGAGGTTCAGCTGGGGTCTGATGCTGGTTTTGCGCGCCCCAGGAGGGGGCCCTGGCTCAGCCCACCTCCATGCCCAACACAGTCACAAACAGGAACACTGTGTGCCTCTCCCTAGTGTGAAGCCCAGGATTGCTTCTCAAGATCTTGGCTCCATTCTCTGTTGCTTAGGCGTGGGACCCTGCCTGGTCTCCCTTTGATACCTATCCATCACCATGTCAAGTGGGAGAGACGTGAGGGGCTTAAGCATGCCAGCAGCATAAAGCAAAAGAGCTTCTCCACACACCCTGCTAGCTGCCTCTCCTGGCTCTCAGCTACTCTGAGGACAGTGTCTGTAAAGTCCTAGCACCTTGCCTTGTCCTTGGCAAGTGCTCCATTGGTGCTAGCCACTGCCCTGGTGACCTCAAGGTGGGCAGGAAGCTTTCGTGGGCCGAGATGGGCTACGCCTTGGGTTTGAATCTTGGCTCTGCCACTTACTGGCCATGTGGCCTTGGGCAAGTTCTGTGACCTCCGGGTTTTGGGGGTGGTTAATAACACAGCCCTCTTCCTAAGATGCTGATAGGGTTTGGATGTTTGTCCCCTCCAAATCTCATGTTGAAATGGGATCCCCAGTGTTGGAGGTGGGGCCTAGTGGGAGGTGTTTAGGTCATGGGAGAGGATCCCTCACGGACAGCTTGGTGTCCTCTGGGCAGTAATGACTTACCATTAGATCTGCTTGTTAAAAAATGTCTGGTGCCTCCTTGCAATCTCTCTCTCTCCCCATGTGACGGACTAGCTCCCCTTGCCTTCCATCATCATTGGAAGCTTCCTGAGGCCTCACCAGAAACAGATGGTGGCGCCTTGCTTCCTGTACAGCCTATAGAACTGTGAACCAAATAAAACTGTTTTCTTCATAAATTACCCAGCCTCAAGTATTTCTTTATAGCAACACAAAACAGACTAATACAGATGCCCTGAGGACTCAGGAGATAATGCCTGCATACGTCCCAGTCTGGCTACGGCAAATGCTCCACAGATCTCCATAGTGGTGTCTGTGCTGGTCTTCCTGACCCAGCAGGGTGCTCTGTGGCATGAGGACTGTCTTCTGGTCTTCCTGACCTGGCAGGGTGCTCCACGGCAGAGGGACTGTTTGCTCCCTGCCACTTCTGTGGGACCAGGCACGATTGGGGCTTACAGTGAGGGCCTCATAGAGGTTTAATGGACTGACCAGCTGTACCCCTCCCCCTTCCCCTCTGGGTGTCCAAAGGGCTGGCAAGGTCTTAAGAACAATCCCGAGATGGCTGAACTTTGGATGGTCCTGCCCTTGGAACAACAGGTGTCATTATCCCCTCCCCATAATCCCCCCTGGCTAGAACCCCTGTACCCACAAATCACTGCTTTCTCCTCCCCACCCTCAGGAACAGAATGCCATGTCTGCAGGGGAGGACAGCCTCAGGGAGACTCCACAGGGGATGGAATAGGTGTGCACTCATCCACCCATCCACTCACCCATCCATCCATCCGCCCATCTATTCATCTATCCATCCATCCATCCATGCATACATTTCTTCCACAGATGTTCACTGAGTTCCTGTCTGTCAGGCCCTGGGCTGGGCACTGGGCACAGACAGGTTGAGAAGCTCCAGCGCCCTCCCGTGAGGAGCTCACAATTTCATGGTGAGGGTGCCGATGGCCAAACTCATAGACCCTGAAGACCATTAAGAGGCAAAAAAGAAGGCTTGGCTCTTCTCTGGAGACTAGGCCGTGGTTCTGGCCCTTGAGTCTTTGAGTCCCTATAGCATATGAAGGCACAAGAACACTCAGCCCCCACACCCAGAGCATCCCACCCTGCTCTCCCGGCCCCACCTGCAGAGCCACCCGGCCTGCACATCACCTCACTGTGATTTCCGGTTGGGAAAGAGGTTGTGGCCAATCCCCCTTCTCCCCACTGCCCACCACTGGCCACTCCCTGGCAGGTTCCAGCCACAGTGGCTCTCACAAGGCTGGCTTTACAACTCACTTTCTCCAGGAGCTAGGGCCAAGCCCGAGAATGCACCTTAACCACTGAGAGATTCCCTTTCCAGGGGAAGAAGTAGCCCTTGAGGCTGAAGTGGCAGCCATGTTCGTGCTCAGCAGGGGTGAAGTTGGGTCCCGTTATTTGTTCACTTAGCAAACAAGGCACCTGGCCCTGTGCAGTAGACGGAAGAGAGCAAGTGAGGCACAATCCTGGCCTTTTAAGGACTATAGAGAGAGGACTTCCAATAGGAGATGCTTAAGGAAGAAGCTGGCCTTTTAGCTGCCCTTTAAGGACAGCCCAGGTGAGGATTTGCACTGGGTGTGTGTGTGAGAGCTTGAGAGATGGTTTTCCAGGCAGAGTGAACCCCTGGACAACAGCACGAAGGTGGGAATGGCACCGATCATGATCGCTGCTAACACTGATGGTAGGCTCACTGTGTGCCAGACACCATTCTTAACCTCCACCCATATTAGCTCATTTAAGCCTCACGACTGCCCTGCGCATTAAATACTCTCATCCTCCCTATTTTACAGATGAGAAAACTGAGGCGCAGAGAGGCCCAGGTCCTGCCACTGGTGATGGCAGTGCTGGGTCTGCACCCATGCAGTCTGTCTGCAGAGCCCACTCTTCACCACCACACTGTTCTGCCTGTGAGATGTGAAAAGTGCAGCATATGTTGGGGGAACAATGAATAATTCAGCTTGGCAGAAGCACAGGGTATGTGCCATGGAGACCAGCCTGGAGAGGAAGGCGGGGGCCTTATTGATGAGGCTCCTTGATGCCAGACGAGGCAGCTTGCCCTTAAATCTGGGCCATGGGGAGCCATGGAAGGTATTTGAGCTGTGGAGTTACAGGAGAGGCAAGACACAGGGAGAAGCTCATGCCTCCAGCCAAAAAGGTGTGTCAGCAGGGCCTTCTCGCCCATCATTTCCCTCTGCTCCCATCCCCTGTTCCCTGGAAAACCTTCCCCTTTCCTCCCACACTTTACTTCTTTCCCTTTGGGAAGGGTATAGATACAGGCAGCCCTGCCTCCCCTATCTGCTGTGTATCACCTGGGCAGCCCCTCTCTGCTTGTGAGCACTTATTTTTAGAAGAATTTGACAATCGTCCAAGGGTCTAAGACGAACAGATGGCCTGTCTTAAAGGCTCATATGTTCGCTAGTTTGCACTTCTGACAAACGGTAAGCATACTCGAGAGCACACCATAAACAGCGCCGAATGAATACTCAGAACACAATTTAGCTAATGCATGTCATTAAAATTAGGAGTGAGTGATGGCCAAGGTTCCCTCTAAATGCCTGCCCTGTGATGCAGTCAATCCCCCGGGGCCCAGGCTATGACGTGGACACACCTCACTTCTCCCATGACCCCCACCCAGCAAGCCGAGGTTTGCCTCATTTACGCAGATGGCAGGGCAAGGTTTGCCCGAGTGGGTGTGACACCCAACCCTGGCCTCAGAGTGAAGCTGGTGGCCCACTGGCCTTGGACAAAGCCCTGAGATGTCCTATGGCAGAGGGAGCAGCAGCTCTTCCATGCACGGGATGTGCGTGAGGTTTTCCCGTCCCTGCCTGCCAGACAGTGAGGCAGCCTGTCGTCTGCCACCCCGGAGCAGCAGGAGATGAGTGTTGCAACGCTCAGCCAGGGAAGCTGTCTCTCATGTGAGAGCCTCAATTCATCCGGAACTCCCGGCCTAGAGGGAGATTCCAACTTCCAGGGAGCAAGGGGATTGGCTTTGGGGTGGGGGTTCTGCAGCTTCCTTGCCGAACCAGTAGCAGAAGCAGATGCAGCGACCTGAGTCACCTGGGGTAACATTTGAGAAAGAGCCACATCCACACAGCCTCTGACCCAGACTCCTTTTATTGATGCCAACCGGATCCAGGTTTTCCGTGTTCTTGAGATGCTCTATGGAGCCGAGGCGGGGAGGAGGGTGCCCCCCACTTTCCGTGAACCCCCTCTTGCCAGGACACAAAAGACCAACGCAGGTGGCTTGGTCAACAATCAGTTCCATGAGCAGGAAACTCTTCCCTCGCATGAAAACGTGGGAGAAAATATTGTGGGGAAGAAAAAAGCCCAATAAACTCCCAAGAGGGCAGGTTCTGTACTGCTGTACTTTGGAAATAAAACCCACCAGGGGATAGATTATTAGGAGGGAACCGAAGCCTTCTATTAGGAACCCAGCCCGTAAACAGGCTCCCATTCAGAGTCACCCAACAAAACAAGGGGACTAATAATACCTGCCTGGAGGGACAGGGGACTCAGGGGAGCTGCACTTCAGAATGCAAATGGGCCCCGTCAGTCTGTTTGTGAGCAGAGAATTGGGTGAGCGGTGAGACTTTAGATAGCAGCCGTGCAAGGGAAAATGAGAGTTTTATGGCTGTTGTCACAAGCAAAGGAAGATGGAATGCTTCCAGGGCTGCTTATAGACTTGCTCCTCCTCAGCAACAGAGTCTATGCCTGACTCTGAGGCCTGAGTTAATGTGACCCCCACCTACTGCTGCTGTTTCTCCAAAGAAGGTGGGGGTACCCTGTGGCTAAGCCCCTTGGGGACAGGGTACCTAGCAGCAGATTCAGGACTGAAAATCGGGGGTCCTAGCAACAGTGTGCCAGGTGACCACAAGTTCACTTCTGTGGCCTTTGGCCCCCTCCTGGGTAGAAATGCTGCACTGATCTTGTCAACCTGTGGCCACTGCAAACTCCATTCTAACCACAGCAGCCTGCTTGAAACCAGGCCCCCGTGGGACAGCTCATCTCAAATATGAATTAGTGCACAGTCCCCTGCCCTAAAAGAGCCTGAATCAGACCCCTAAAAGATGGGGCCCCAATCTGATGCTGCTGGGCCAGGAATCCAGTCAAGTGCACCTCTTGCAAAGCCTTGAGAAGAGCCTGGGGTGGAAGTGACGAAACTCCATAAAAAATGGCACTGGAGCTGGGTGAGTGGCTCATGCCCGGAATCCCAGCACTTTGGAGGCTGAAGTGGGAGGATCACTTGAAGCCAGGAGTTTGAGATCAGCCTGGGTGAAACCCCATCTCTACGAAAAAAAAAAAAAATTAGGTGGGTGTGGTGGCGTGTGCCTGTAGTCCCAGCTACTCGGATGGCTGAGGCGGGAGGATCACTTGAGCCCAGAAATTTGAGGCTGCAGTGAACTAGGATCATGCCAGTGCACTCCAGCCACAGGGTGAGACCTCATTTAAAAAAAAAAAAGGCTATTGGGTGGACGGGTTCTCAAAACCAAAAAAGGGTTCACTTCAAAGTATATCTGTTGCTCTTAGTGTGGGTCAAAGAAGATCATGCACGTGAAGCAGTTTGGGAAGACGGAAGCACCTGTCAGCAGGGGTACCAATGCTCAGAAAATGTTTATGTCATGAAAAAGAGCGGGTGAATTCCAGGAGATCTGTCTGCAGTGGGGAGGATTCCTCTGACCACATGGAACTGCATGTCTGGATGGAGGCCTCAAGATTAGAGTGTGGGTGCTGTCAGGTTCACACCATGGACAAGTGCAGCACAGGCCAGGTGCAAAGCAGTAAGACCCAGTGGGGTCTGTGTCAGCCCCAAGAACTCAAACTTTGTCAAGAAGAGGCAGCACTTGTCAGCTCTAGGCAATGACTGCCACATGCGAATATAGGCCCAGTGTTGCTTCCGGTTTTGCAAGAAAACTGGAAATTTAGATTTGTTTAAAATATCAGCTTTCTTAGAGGAATGCTTATACACTGTTGGTGGGAATGCAGATTAGTTCAGACACTGTGGAAAGCAGTTTGGAGATTTTTCAAAGAACTAAGAATTGAACTACCATTCAACCCAGCAATCCCATTACTGCAGATGCATCCAAAGGAAAATAAGCATTCCACCAAAAAGAAACATGAACTCATATGTCCACTGCAGCACTATTGACAGTAGCGAAGACATGAAACCAACCCAGGCGCCCACCAAGAGTGGGTTGGATAATGAAAATGTGGTACATATATATATCATGGAATATTATGCATCCATAAAAAAGAATAAAATCATGTCCTTTGCAGCAACATGGATGCAGCTAGCAGCCATTATCCTAAGTGAACTAATGCAGACACAGAAAACCAAATACCACATGTTCTCACTCATAAGTGGGAGTTAAACACTGTGGTGCGCACAGACATAAAGTTGGGAGCAATAGAAACTGGGGAATAAAAGAGCTGGGAGGGAGGGAGGGGACAAGGGTTGAAAAACAACCTATGAGGTACTATGTTCATGACCTGGGTGATGCATTCAGTCATACCCCAAACCTCAGCAGCATGCAATATACCCATGTAATTAACCTGCACATGTATTCCTGGAATCTAAAATAAAAGTTGGGGGAAAACGGAAGTAAAATAAATCCATAAACTTTCTTGATGTTTAAAGTACTATGCAAGCCCACGAAAACATATCTGCAGGTTGAATCTGGCCCTCGGGCCACCAGCTTGAGACCTCTGGGGTTGGTGAGGGCCTCGAGAAGCCCCAGACACCCTGAAGTGAGGTGGGGAGTGGTGTCATTAGGCAGCAGATGGCCCAACATTAGTTGAATCCTCAGCCAAGGGGCTGGGATGTGGGACTCGGTGTGGTTAAGTTCTGACAAAGAGGGTAAGGGTAGAAGATGAAGTTCTGTTAAGACAGAACCATCCATATGTCCTGGGTTCTGCTGCCTCATGGGCATTCCCACCCAGCCAGCCCAAGTGTTTCTGGGTGCGCCAGGTGCTGGCAAACCTGGGAGACCAAGGAGCATGTAAGGAGACCAGAAACTCCCACTTTCCTAGAGCCACCCAGGAGGCTCAACACGGCTGTCTCGGGGGTTGTCCGTGGGCTATCTGGAGAGACAAGCGCCAGAGTTTGCCACATGACCGCATTCAAAAATCTGGACCATAAGTAACCCCCACACCTTCCTTGCTTCAAAGGACCTGAGATCCCTCCCTTCTACCCTCCACAGTGTCCCATGGGGAATAGGAGAGGCCAGGCATGGTAGAGGGGCAGCCCCTTGGGGTGCTTACGAAAGCAGCCTCCCAAGGCAGCGTTCCTATTACTGTGCACACACCACTCTATATGCATGCACACACACAAATACTCTAGACACACACACACACACACACACACACACCTGCCCCCGTCATGTGCCCACCCTCCCCACACACGGATACCCCCCAATCCCATGTGCCCACACACATAGGTCCCCACAATCCCATGTGCACGCATACACACACACACACACACACACACACACACATGGATGCCCCACAATCCCATGCACACTCACACACACACGGATACCCCACAATCCCATGCACACTCATGGACACCCCACAACCCCATGCAGGTACACACTCATGGATACCCTCGAATCCCCCCCCAGAAACACACACACACACCCCAGTCCTGACACTAACCATGTAGTGCTAAGCGGTCAGAGGCCAGTTACTTTTACTTTGGCCTTCTGTCTACCCTGTGCGGCTAATCTGCCCCACGTTCACCCCACTGCTGAGTCCCTCCAGCAGCCCCACCTGCCCAGGACGCAAGGGCCCCTTGAAGGCCCCCTTCCTGGCAAAGGAAAGCTGAGAAAACAACGTGAAGCACAGTCCGGGTTGTCTCCTCGAGGAGGCAGAGCTGTAGAAGGGTTTCTGCTTTTTAAACTCCCTGGCGGGTCCCACCCACACCCGGAACACATCCGGACTCTGACCACAGCCCAGATGGCCCTCCATGGTCTGGTTCTTGCTGGCCCACAGCCTCAGCCACCACCTTCTGCCAGGCCCCCAAACACCGCAGCCCGGAAGCCCCTCCCCCTCCCAGCAGCACTCCCGCTATCCAGAGTGTCCCCCACACCCCAGTTTTCCTGGGGCTTCTCCACATCGGAGCCATCCTCCTGGAGCAGGCTTCCTGTCCGCTGACCACAGACTCCCATCACAACATCGCTCTGCACCTTGCAGAGGCTTCAACTCTGCATGTCCTGCAACTTGCAGTGACCTGGTTGTTGACGCACCATGGCCAACTGCCCCTCATGACACCATCAGCGCAACAAGACAGGGACCTTGTCTCAGCTCTCCACTGTACCCCATTAGCTCAGAGCCTGTGCTTGGTAAAAACTCAACGAGTATTTCTGAAATGACAGCCTGCAAGCTACTGTAGCAAAGCCAGGCCTCCACTGATAGGGTCAAGGGAGAAGAAGAAAAAATACAGTTGCCCCGCTCCACTGTCTTCCCCATAACCCTTGCCCCGGCCATGCCCAGAGCAGGTTATACCTTTTTCTTAAAGCTGGGATGGATCCTTTGAGGACACTAGGCCAGGTGGAATGAATTATTATATGATTTCTCTTGTACGAGGTGCCTAAAACAGCCAAATCATAGAGATGGAAAGTGGAACAGTGGCTGCTGGGGGCTGGGAAAAGGGGAAATGGGGAGTTAATGTTTAACAGGAACAGAGTTTCAGATGGGAAAGATGAAAAAGTTCTGGAGGTAGATGGTGGTGATGATTGCACAACAGTGTCAATGTGCTGAATGCCACTGAACCAGCACTTAAAAGTGGTTAAGATGGTAAATTTTATGCTACGTGAATTTTTACAATGAAAAACAGGCCAGGCACAGTGGCTCACACCTGTAATCCCAGCACCTTGGGAGGCCAGCACTTTGGGAGGCCAAGGTGGGCAGAACACTTGAGGCCACGAGTTCGATACCAGCCTAGCCAACATGGCGAAACCCCATCTCTACCAAAAATGCAAAAATTAGCTGGGCATGGCAGCGTGTGTCTGTAATCCCAGCTACTCGGGAGGCTGAGGCAGGAGAATCACTTGAACCCAGGAAGCGGAGGTTGCAATGAGCTGAGATTGTGCCACTGCACTCCAGCCTGGGTGACAAAATGAGACTCTGTCACCACCACCAACAACAAAAAAGTGGGCAGGATCTTAGAAGGTAAGAGAAAGGGTTGCTGCACCAATAGCTAAGACACTCAGCGACATTCCTGGCTGGAAGGTGCACAGATCATAGCAGCCCGAGACATCCTCAGCTGGGTGGGAGGGAGCCACAGCATCCCAGGACAACATGCCACCAGCTGAGTGCAAGCAGAGGGGCTTTCTCTGTGCTGCTGGGGCTGAGCCATCCACTGTTGTCTACAGTGTGGCTCCCAGTGCCAGCTAGTGGAAGAACAGAAGACCTCAAGAGACTTGTGGAACTGGGAGCTCTTTCCCCTATGGAAAGGCCTCACCTGCAGTCATAGGCCAGTCCAGCAAAGGGGGCCCTGATGGCTTACAAATGCTGCAGGAAGGAAGTGTCTGTGTTTGCTCTGGCAGGGCAGGTGGGAGGCAGGAAGGTGAGCACAGGGCACACCTACACATGACATGTTTTGCCAGGTTGGAAAAAAATAAGTGGGAGAAAATTTTTTCTGACTCTGCAAGCCTTTACCACTTTAAATATTTATTCATCAAAATATGATGAGAAAACCAAGATCCACATAGAGTCACCATATTCCACAAACCAAAAATCAGGACAAACAGCCAAGAGCTGGGATGGAGTACTTGAAATCAGGACTGTACTGGAAAATCTAGGTCACACGGTCACTAATTATACAGAACACATATGTTCAGGTCCCCAAACTAACCCAGTGCTTTTAGGATTTGCAAATGATATAAGGAAACTTTGATCGTGTCCATTTTTACTTTCTTCCAAATTTTGGTTAAAAGGAAAACTTTCCTGCATCCTCAAAATTTCTAGAAAATTAAGTCCTACAGACTAAGAACTGTTCTGGCGGATATTCTGAGGGGGCCTCCTCAGAAAACATGGCCCATCAACCCCCAAGAATGGCCCCCAGCCCCTCATGGCCCAGCCCCCTTGCTGACAGACCCCCAGGCTGCAGGGCAGAAGCTTGTAAGGATGGACCTAATTTGCTGTGATAAATTGTGTGCACGCACCAGTGATCAAAACTGCAGCTGAGACCGATTACACTTTATGATTGTGACGGTTCTTGGGAAACACGTAGGTGTACATCCTTGCCAGTCCAGAGAGGGGGTCCAACCTGGCACCCAGCAAAGGGTGATCCCGTCACCCAGAAAGGCAGGGCTCCATGGGCTGCCCACTCTTTGGAAGCTGGTCCCACTGATGAGGCTGAAGAATGCTGTGGCCTGGCCTCAAATGCCTCGTCTGCCCTCTCATACATACCCAGCCTCCAACCAAACAGTGGGCACATTGTCACTGCCCAGATACCTGCCCCACAATGATCAAGTGGGTCTGCCCTGTGCCCCCCACTTCTATCACCAGGCAGAAGTCACTGGTTTTCATAATGCAAACCAAGAATTATCTATATCGCCAGTCTGTCCCATCCCACTCATCTCACCAGAGGGGTGTGTGCTTTCGTGTGTGTGTGTATGTGTGTGTAGGTATATGCACAGTTTTAAAGTAAGGAGAGGGATAGGTAAGAGTGAAGTGTGAAATTAAGAGCACACGAAGAAGGCATCCGAAAAGCTGTGTGGTTCTTGACACGTACCTCACACTCAATACTGGAGGGTGATGATGGTGAAAGAACGTGTAGCTGGATGGATAGGGAGATGGATGGTAGATGATGGATGGATGGATAAATGATGGATAGGTGGGTAGATGGGTATGGGGGAATGGATGGTAGACGGATGATGGACAGATGGATGGATGGGTAGATGGAGGAATAGGTAGGTGGAAGATGGATAGTGGATGAATTGGTGAGTGGGTGGATGGGTGGATAGATAGGTGGGTAGGTGGAGGAGTGGGTGGATGACAGATTGATGGGTAGATGAATGAATAGATGGATGGATGGATAGATGAAATGGTGTGTAGGTGATGGACAGATGTATGGATGGATGGAAAGGTGGGTGGATAGATAGGTGGGTAGGTGGAGGAGTGGGTGGATGACAGATTGATGGGTAGATGAATGAATAGATGGATGGATGGATAGATGAAATGGTGTGTAGGTGATGGACAGATGTATGGATGGATGGAAAGGTGGGTGGATAGATAGATGGAAGGATCAGTGGACAGATTGGTGAGTGGATGGATAGGTGGAGAGATGGGTAGGTGGACGAATGGGTAGGTGATAGATTGATAGACAGATGGATTGATGGATGAGTGGATGGGTGGCTGGAGGATGGATGAGAGGATGGATGCATGGATGGATGGATGGGTGGATGGATTGGTGAGTGGATGGATGAGTAGATGGATTGGTGAGTGGATGGATGAGTAGATGGATTGGTGGGTGGATGGATAAATGTGTAGATGAATGGATGAATGGTGGGAGGAAGAGGAGTGCATGAATAAATAACTGGGTAGGACGGTAAACGTTGATGAGTTGATGAGAAGACAATGGGCTTTGGAGATCAAATCTTGCCTTGGCTAATTACTGTCTTTCTGACCCTAGCCAAGTCACTCGCTTCTCTAAGCACTCCTTCACTCACCTGAAAAGTAAGACTAATAATATCTACCTCATTGCCTTGTTAGAAGCTTCAAGTTAGATAACATATGTAAAAGGTTTTATAACATGTAAAATGCTGTATGGACACTTAATAGGGTCATAACTAATACTAACCACAGGGCTTTGTCATCTCTGTCAACTAAAAAACATGGATGATCCCACATTTTTTTTTTGGTAGATACGGGGTCTCATTATGTTGTCCAGCCTGGTCTCAAACTCTTGACCTCAAGCCATTCTCCTGCCTCAGCCTCCCAAAGCACTGGGATTACAGGTGTGAGCCACCACGCCTGGCCAATACCACATTTTTGATGTGGCAGCTTCTGAGGCAAAGATGAGGAAACAAAGATGGCGCCACAGGTCAGGGCTGCAGCTGTCTAGACTATACCTCCAGGTGTGGCCTCAGCTGGGAAACTGGTCACTGTGCAGGAAGCAGAGAGCCTCACTTGCCTCCTCCGCTCAAACACTCAAACCCAAATGAGTAGAACACATTCCACAACTCCCACCACAAGCCCCACTTCTCTCTGCCAGTATCCTACTTTAATGCCCAGGTCCCAAGCCTGTATTCAAGTCTACAAAATGGTGAGAGTCAAGAGCATTTCTAGTGGCCCCTAGAATGTTGCAGAGGCAGCAATGGTTGCAGAGGCACCAATGAGATAATAATTGCAAACTGTGAAGTGTTTCAACGGGGTTACAAACTCACAGTGCAAGTTGGTAATAAGCCAGGTAAGGAAGGCCAGTTGTGGGCTGTGTTGAACCAGGAAGCACATCCCAGTATCCAAAGGGGTCACACAGAAATGTCGGCCAGGGGCTGCCAGGCCTGATTTATAGAAAAATCAATAAATCCAGCCATTTAGTGTGGTGGTGAAGAGGACAGAAGCCGGGGCTGGTGGCCTGGGTCCAGCATTAACCAGCTCTGAGGCCTTGGGGGGTTAGTTGACCTCTCTGTGCCTCATTTTGCTTGTCTTCATATTAGAGGCATTGTGAGGATCAAATGTTTTTATGCCTACCAGTGCTAAGAACAATGCCGGGCACTCAAAAAGCACTAGCTAAATGACTCTTTATGATGATGGAAATTCTCTGTTTTAAAACACAGACAACCAGCTAGGCGCATGGCTCATGCCTGTAATCCCAGCACTTTGGAAGGCCAAGGCAGTAAAATTGCTTGAGGCCAGGAGTTCTAGACCAGCCTAGGCAGCATAGTGAACCCTATCTTTACAAAAAATAAAAACGTTAGCTGGGTATAGTGGTGTGCACCTGTAGTCCCAGCTACTCAGGAGGCTGAGGTGGGAGTACTGCTTGAACCCAGGAGTTCAAGGCTGCAGAGAGCTATGATCACACCATTGCACTGCAGCCTGAGCAAGATTCTCTTTCTTAAAAAAAAAAAAAAAAAAAAAAAAGTGAAAATAGAATATAGAGAACCCTCTAAAAGTTCCACAATCCCCAGGCCATGGACTGTGAGTTTTCACCCTCTGCTCTATAAAAGTGTTCAATGTTATAAAAACAGTGACTTCTCCTTGTGCGTCCCTTCTCCCCTATGTGAGGAGAGACCGGGTTAGATTGTTCTGGATGCTCCTGAAGTCAGGGAGGGCAGGGGCAGGCATGGTTCCTTATCCTACTGGAAATCCCCTCCCTGCCCTAGACAATTTTAGCATCTTGCTCCTCACCTTCCACCACGCTTCCCACCAACGCTGTATTTTATTTACCCTAGAACCCCAAAGAGCATAAGATGCTCCAGTATTTTATGTATCACAACAAACAAAAAATATGACCAATTAAACTACAGCACACAAATGAGGTATTGCAACTTAATGTAAGAGAGGCTCTAAGGAGGAAAGCTGTGTATCTTAAAATACAACCGTGAAATAAGGCAACAGCTCCCGTATACTGAGCTCCTACCATGTGTCAGAAACTGGACTCTCTGCTCTTTATATATTATCTTTACTTCTCCCAGTTGTTCCCGTTTGACCGATGAAGAAATTGAGGCTCAGAAAAGCAAAGTGGCTCGCTAAGTCGTCTAGCTGGTAAGAGGTGGTACATAGATTTTAGCCCAAATGGCCCTGTCCTAGGATGACTACCTCCTTCCCTCTCACTGTCCCCTGCCACTCCCATCCCTGCTGTCCCCTGGGACGCCTAAAGGAGACACCAAACTGAAACTGTCACTTTCCCTTGCTCATATTGCAGCCACACAGTGAATCTCAATGCAGCCCCGGACAAGCCCCAGTCCGTCCATGATTGATTCTGTCTAAACTTCAGAAGCAGAATGAGTGGAGCCACATTATTGACACAGCAAAATTAATTTTCTGCCATCTCCTCTTCCCCATGCCCGGCCCCCAGCACCTCGCCTCTCCTATGAGTATTGGCGCACGGCTGCTGACGGGTGCTCCTGAAATGCCAACTTGCATTTCTCATCATTAATTTCTTTGTAAATGTCATTAGTAATTGTTCCTGCTTGACCAAAGAGTACAATCCAGGCTTCCACCCAGAGCACCCTGGTCTCTCGTTGATGGGGGCTAAGACATCCCCAGCCATGCCAGACCCCAGCCTCCTGATGCAGGCAGCCATCCCCGCTCCCAATAAGTCAGGATCACAGGCTGCTGTATCAAGAAAGTTCTGACACAAATGGAGTTCAGTAACACAAAACATCCTGCCCTTGGTGTTAGGACAATGGTTGTATGTTCAGGCTGCCTGGGTTCAAATCTCATCTCTGCCCAACTATGCCTCAGTCTCCCCACCTGTGAAACGGGGATAACAGCAGCACTGGCTTCATAGGTTTGCCCTCAGAATGGGAAAAAAATCAAGGCAAAAGGATTCCCTTAGTGCCTGGTTGGTGGTGGTGCTACCATCGTCCTTCACCTTGCCTCTTACCACCAGGGTTGCAGGTTCAGCTCTGCCACTTACCAGCCGTGGGACACGACATCAAGCGAGTGGCTTAAACTCGCTGTTGAGCCTGCTTCTCCCATCTGTGAAAGAGGGACAGTGATATCCACATCAACTCTGCCAATTCCACCTCAGATGTTGCCTCCTCCATGTGGCCTTCCTAGGGGACCAGGCACCATGCTCGATGATCTACAAGCATGATGCTGCATCCCCACAGTAACCCTCCAAGAGGGGCACTGGCAGCCCACTGTCCAGGTGACGACAATGAGTCACCGTGAGGGAGGTCACATGCCCAAGGTCACATTGACAAAGCAACTCTGAGGCCCCCAAACCTCATTTCTGGGGGGTGGACGTTGACTGTGCTCCTTGTCCCTAGAAGGCCCAGGACACAGGCCTGAACCCTTCGCCGCAAAGCAGTAAAAATGAGGCAGTGCTTCCTGAGTGCTGCTAGGGACCTCACAGCAAGCCCTTCCCGTGAGTAGCTTCTTACGACCTCACATGAGTGTGTCTCCTTGTTGTAAATGGGTAAACTGAGACTCCCCATGTGGGCAGAGCTGCCAGGAAAGCAGAGCTATGAGCCCAGGTGGTCTGACAGGAGTGTCTGTGTCTGTGTCTATGTCTGGGGTCTTCCCCTCAGGCCCCAAGGCCCCATGTCTTCCCGTGTGAGAGGCTCCCTCTTTGTCTGAGTCAATGCGGGGCAGGGCTTACAGGGTGCAAACCTCTGTGGATGTGGAGCCGGTGAGGCGCCGCCACTCGCAGTGTTGTCACTGTTACTAAGAAACTGAAGGCATGTGGTCCCGGCTGAGGCAGCGCCGGGGAGGGGTTCGGCTCGCCACACACACAATGGCCACCGGCCTGAGGCTCCTGGCAGCTCCCCCGTGCCCATCTGTCGAGATGGCATGGTGCCCTCTAAAGTTGGTTGGCCCCCTGCCCTAGGGCATGAATGACAGGCTCCAATGGGCAGACGGGCAGCCGGAGGCTGATTCCAAGTGCCATCTCTGCCTGGAGCTGGGCCTTGAGGGGAGGCCCCCCAGTCCCCACCTGGGCCTCCACACACTTCATTGCTCAGGCGAGCTGACCCTCAAGGCTCACGAGGGTATCTGAGCACAGCTGGACACAGACTTCTGTTTCAACACTACCCCTCCGGTGCCCGCTCCTCACTGCGCCTCTGTGGTGACCAGGGAGAAGCCATTGCTCACCCAGGGCTGTCCAGACCAGCGACAGTATCATGCCCCGGGAGCTGCATGCAGCCTCCATGTCACCCTCTAGAACGCCTGCCTCGCTGGGAGGTGAGGCCCACTTCGAGACCCTGCACCCAGAGACCTACCCTTGGCTTCTAAGGGCTTTGAGAGTCATCTCCAACCCCACTGCCTCAGCCCGCAGGCTGCGAACACAGGCACTCATGTCAGACTGCCTGGCCTCACATTTCTCCACGCTGGCAGCTATGTCCACATGGGGAGCCTCAGTTTACCCATCTATGACATGGACCTCATGCGTGAGGTCCTAAGAGGCTACCCACATGAAGGGCTTACAGTCAGGTTCCCAGTAAGCACTCAGGAAATGCTGTCTCATTTGTACTACTTTGGGGTGAGGGGCTCAGGCCTGTGCCTTGGGCCTTCTAAGGACAAGGAGTGTTGTCAGTGTCCACCCCAGACTTCTCCCAAGGCAGACCACAAACTGCCACACATGGCCCCTCAGGAGACACAGCTGCCTCCAGTAGTGGCAGCAATAATAATCATGTCAATGACAACAGTGATGATGATGATGATGATGCCACACCTTATTAGGTTGGGAACACCCTTGCCCCACTTGACAGTAAATAAACCAAGGCTTAGAGACACAGACCAACTGTGCTCGTAACACAGTAACTTACAGGGAGCAAGGGCAAAGCTCAGGCTCCACAGTGCCCCTTAATGTCACATGGGGGCCCAACTGTGGGGCTCTGTTTTGTGTAGCACTTATGTTGTATTTAGTATGTAGTATGAGTGATATGGTATGATGCAGCACTATACTATACTATACTATATACTATACCATATTACATCACATTATATTATATTCCACAAACACATAACAAAAATTCTGTTTGTCCTTATTAGCTTACTTTCCCCTCCCTGCAACATGTGAGGGGCTTAGTCTATGCCTCTGTTTGTCCCCAGCACCTATGCACAGCTGGCACAGATCAGGTGCTTAGTAAACACTTGCAGGCTAGATTGAGCACGTCCACACATGATTGATTGAATGAGTCAATGAACGCATTAACAGAAAGCCCACCACCTCCAGACCACAGGCAGGGCAATGACTAGGGCTCACCAACCTTTGACTCTGACCCAGACCCAATGCTGGGAGCTTTTCAGGCATCACTGCCTTCAGCTACCCCAGTACCAAACAAAGAAGGGCTCTTCAATAACCCTGGTCTCTTGAAAGCAAGAGAATGCCGGTGACTTGCTTATGGTCATGGAGCTGCTTGGTGGCAGGGCTGGCATCTGAGGCCAGACTGTGAGCTCCACAGCATGGGCATGGCATCGCCACAACATGTGGTCACATTCAGTAGAATTCAGGCTGTGCTGGGCTCTGGTTTCCTACCCTAGTGGGGAAGGCAGGAAGCATAAAGTGATCCTATTGGAAAAGGGCCACAATGACCCTCAGCAATCCTTCTATCCTAAGTGCTATAAAGTGCTTTACACATGCGAACTCCATCTTCACAACAACCCGAGGCAGCAGGTCTTACCCCATTTAACAGATGTGGAAACTGAGCCCAGAGAAATACAACATCTGCAGTAGGAAATAATGGGCGGCTGGGCACGGTGGCCCATACATGTAATCCCAGCACTTTGAGAGGCCGAGGCAAGTGGGTCACTTGAGGTCAGAAGTTTGAGACCAGCCTCGCCAACATGGTGAAACCCCTGTCTCTCCTAAAAATACAAAATTAGCCAGGCATGGTGGTGGGCACCTGTAATCCCAGCTACTCGGGAGGCTGAAGCAGGAGAATCACTTGAACCCGGGAGGCGGAGATTGCAGTGAGCCGAGATCGTGTTACTGCACACTCCAGACTGGGTGACCGAGTGAGACTCTGTCTCAAAAAAATAAAAAAGAAAATAATGGGGATTGGGAGACTTCGGGGGGTCAGCAGCCAGCCCAACTCTCAGCCCTCCCCAGGCTCCTGGCCTCACAAGTGGCTGACTCCAGCGTGAGCAACAGGTTCTCACTCCCTGGAACCACCACTGGGTGTCAGCCAGCAACTTCAGGCCACACCCATCTGGGCCCTGGTCTCCCAGCAGAAGTCAGGTTGACAAGGATGGGGCCATCTCTAAAGCAGGAAGGAGGAAGATGCCGCTACTCACAGAAAGCGCAGCCAGAGTCAAATGCTAAGTATGTGCCTAGAGCACTTTTGATTTTTAATTATTATTAGTTATAATTATCTGGCTGGATCCAACAGCAGCAGTACAAAGAGACAAGGAAACTGGCTCTTTGGTTACCCATCTTATAAGGACCAGGGATTTTAAAAATGGGCTCCCGGAATCTGTGGGTTTCCCCTTCTTCCTTTTCCTCCTTTCCTGCTTGTGTTCTCTTTCCGACTTTCCAGGAGCTCAAAAAATATGTTAACACATATGGGGATGGATGGATGGATGGATGGATGGATGGATGGATGGATGGACGGACGGATGGCAAAGGGTGTCTTCACTCTCCAAAAACTCACGTCAGAGTGGAGAGTTTGGTGTAGACGTAGTGACTTACAATCCATATGGCCAACGGAATCAGGGGGGTTAAACCAAGGGCTGGAGAAACCAAAGGAAGGAGAATCCGAGAGGCTTCTCAGGGGAGGAGGCACTGGAGCTGGGCTGATGCATTAAGAGAAAGAAAGGGTACTTCCTGCAGGCAGATAGGCAGGTGTACGTGCATCTAGGAAGCCCCATCTTGATCTCACTGGGTAGGCGATGCGAGGCCAGCCCAGGAGAATAATGCAGGAAGGCAGTGGCCGTCTGTCCTGCTTGCCCCTCTAGTCCCTCTGCCTTTTTATTCTGTTCTGAGAACACCCCAAATCTGCTTGGGCCTCAGATACTTGGTACTGGCTCTTCCCTCTCCTGGAGGATCCCCCAGCTCTTCCCCACACTGGCTCTGCAACCTCCAGGATTGAGCTGAAATGCCAGCCTTTCCTGACCACCCAACACACACACACACACACACACACACATGCACACGCACATGCGTACACACACACGCACACGCACACACACACACACATGCACATACACACACCACTCTCCATCACAGTACAGCGTTTTCACATTCTGAAATCCCCTAGTTCATGTATTTACTGACTTATCATCAGTGTCTCCCAAAGCATGTCAGCTCCATGAGAATAGAAACCCTGTCTCCTTGTTCCCAGTTCTGTCTCAGGCTCCTGAGGTGGTGCCGGGAGTAGGTACTCAGTAAATGGAATCAGGGCAAGGGCTGAATCAAATGTTCTCAAGGGCTAGGAAGGAAGGGTCCCAAGGGAGCTGAGATCCCGCCCCTGTCTCAGAGAGCTCTCCCTCTGGCCGGGTACCAGGACCCTGCCTGGCAGAGCCCGGCTCACCCTATCGAAAGGGCTCCGGGTTGCTTGTTAGAATACCTAGCTCTGCTTTTAATCAATTGTAATCATTTAGCTGGAAGCAGCATGATTAGGCACACACAAGCAAACAGCATGAGCTAATCCTTTAAATGCGCCCGCTCAACGCTGGGCTGGCCGCTTTGCCACCGCGGGCCCGGCTCACGGAATCACTTCCTGCAGCCCCTGGCTTTGTCAATGAGGGAGTCAAGATTCCAGGGCGTGGCGCTGGTCCAACACCCCAAAACCATCTTCATCAAGGACATGTGCATGTGTGCGTGCACACATACACGCGCTGTGAACTCTGACATGCCCTGGCAGGCAGTGCCCCACAGCTCCAAGATCCCAGAAGTTCTATGTCTAAAAAGACATCTCTCTAGTTCAAGTTCTATTCCCCCATGACAGGACCAAGCAAGTCATAAAGGGGAGAAAGGTGGCAGCACCATGAACCTGAGGTCTTAGGAAGTCCCTATCTCCGTGACGAGAATGAATCCTTCCTCTCCCCAAGCCCAGCCTAAGCCAAACCCATCCTGATGCTCATTTGCAAGCAACAGGGTTTGCAGGGTCCTGGCCTCGAGCTGCAGCCTGGCAAACGTGGCCATGCACAGCCCTGGCCCCGCGCGCACAGGCCCCATGGCGTTCCCACCTGGGCTCACCCAGGAGCAATTTTTCTTGCATCCCCTGTTACTGCTACTTGTGCTACCTGCTTGGCCCAACTACTAAAATAGTTTCTGGGTCCCCTGACAACGAAAGCTTTTTATAGTTCAGCACTGCAGGCCTCATTTAAATCTATTAGCTCATATAAATGGCAATTTATTTAAACTTTGGAGGGTTTCTGTTTGCCTTGGTGGCAAAGACAATCCAGCTTTATGTGTGGCTCTGCCATTTGCAAATGACCCTCGGCAAACCGCTTAACTTCTCAGAGCCTCAGTTTCTGTATCTGTAAATGGGGATGAGAGTACCTTGTTCATAGGGCTGTACACAATCCATGCAAAGTGCTCAGAACAGAGCCTGGCCCGCAGCACAGACCTAGGGCCCAGGGGTGAAGGCCATGAGAATTGTCTCTGGTACAATTTCAGGGGAGCTTGTCCACTGTCTAACTCCAGCCCTGTATGGCTGGTAAGCCGCATATGACCCTCATGCACGCATCCCCACAGTGAGGATGAAGAACAGGAAGCAGCAAGGCTCTTAGGATGGGGAGATGGAGGCACCATCCGTGCCCAGTGTCTGTGGGCACAGAGGTGCCCATGGGGATGCAGAGACAGCTGGGCTGGTGGGCAGAGGCGACCCCTCCCCTCAGGGTGGCTAACCGCTGGCATGGGGCCGATAGGGCCCCAGGCCTTCATCTGCTGAGGCCTGAGGCTGGGAATGCAAGGCCAACAGCTCTGACATTTGCGGGCTGTCTTGCACCCCCAGTCAAATCTACATACCACCCTCCACGGCGCCCGGACGTGGCTCAGAAATAGAGGGTCCTAAGAAAAGAGCCCAGGTCAAAGGCGCTCAGAGAAGTAGGGGAAGGGGGACCCGAAGCCCCGGCCCTCTGGCCTCCATTCCATGCCCTTTATGCCCCGTCTCACTGCCCTGGGCACCTGGCTCCTCCCAATGCCCCAATGTGGGGTCTCCTGTGCCCACAGCCCTGAGGCTTGGTGGGATGCCACACAAGGAAGGACTTGGAGTCTCACTTTGTTCAAACTCAGGCTGGAAACCATGAAAGCAAAGCAAACTCCAAGGAGAGGGAATCCCCAAAGCCATCTGATCCTCAAACTGCCCAGAAGTCAATGTCAATAATAATCACAGGCAGCGTCTGCTACATGCTCTGTGTGCCAGCCACTGTGCCAAGGGCCTTTTGCAACTGAACTCTTAAGTAGGAACTACTCACACCCCTGCCTTACAGGTAAGGAAACTGAGGCTTACGGCTGGTGCATGACAGAGCAAGGTTTTAAATACGGAGCTGCCCTCACAAAGACTGGGCCGCTCCCTGCTTCACTCTTGGCAGCATTTCAGACACGTGCATTGTTTGCACACTTCTACCGACAGGGACCTCAGCACTTTCCATTTCTGGACAGTTTTCCCGCATACTGCAAATGCTCAGTGTCCATCCAGGTCATGCACCCCTTCCCTGAAAAGCACCCTGAACTTGCTGGTTTGTATCATATGATCCTACCCCCAGCCACAGCTCACTGGAGCAGGGTGGACAGCTGACCCAGGCTCACCTACCAGATTCCCCCTCCAGGGATCTAGCACCTGTTGCCTGAGGGCTGGCTGCCACCGCTGTCACTATCTCTGGGGTTTCCTGGGTGTTCCTTCTGGCTACCTGTGTCACCAATCCTCACACTAAATCCTCTCTGTTGAGCTACCTAGGGTGTCTGTCTTAGCAGAATTGACAGGAGCTGTGGAACCTTGACCACCTTCCTCCTTGTACAGAGGAGCCCAGAAAGTCAGGCTGTAGAGAGAGAGGACAATAAAAGCCAGAAAGAGGCAGAAGGCAGGGACCAGGCAGTCTTAGAGAAGACAGAGTGTAGCTGCCTTATTTAAGTGACACTTGGCTCCGGGAATAGGGCTGCCAAAAACCCAACATTGCTTCCTGCTCTTAGCATCCAAAATCCACTCATGTCCCTACAGCTTAATTTCCCTTCTAGCTTGCGCCAACTGCAGAGAGTGATGCCTGAGCCATGACTATCCAGGACCAAAACCCCTGTTCTGAGTTGGCGCCCACTGCCAAAAGTCTTGGAGCCACCTGAAGCAATAAGAACCCCTCCAGGACCCAGAGTTCTTAAAATGCTCGAAGACAACTGTCCCTGCATTTCTTCTGCAATCCATCCAAGTCTTCTCCTGGTTAAACAGACTTAGGACAGACTCCTGGAAGCACCTCGAGGTCAGACTGGATCCCCTACTGCCTGGGTTTTCAAGGTGTGGGGTGAGCGTGGGCAGGTGTATATGTGGGTGAGGGTACAGGTATATGGACAAAGCTTAGTCTCCCCTATTTCTTTTTCTCTTGCTTTCAAGTCATAGGATTTATTTTGTTTTGTGAAATTGAAAGCTTTAAGCCATAACAAAATGAGAGAAAACTTTTTTTTTTTCATTGTTAGATCAGGCCAGTTAATGGTGAGTTTCTTGGTAATATCCTTTCTCCACCCTATGGCTTCGAAGTTATCACTTGGGCTACTTTAACTCTGTGACTCGTTGTTGTTCCTGCTGCTGTCTTCTGAGATAGATATGCTGCTTACTGTTCCCGCTTTGCTCCAAAATCTCTTCATTTTATTCCATTTAAGACTAACAATAGCAATTAAAATGAGCAAAGGTAAAAAAGAAATGTAGAAACTGATCAAAAGACCATTGTTTTTAGGAGCAGCACGTCGTTTTGGAAACAAGGTACACTTTTTTCTACCGTAAGCTAAAATCCATCATTAACACTTCCTCCTGGTGATGATATTGGCGGCTCACAATCTGGAGGAGCATAACCAGGATCACACTGACAATGGAAAAGTTCATTGCAAGCCCTATTCTCTCTGCAATTTATGTTATA
Organism: Homo sapiens; assembly: GCF_000001405.40. NCBI lineage: Eukaryota > Metazoa > Chordata > Mammalia > Primates > Hominidae > Homo > Homo sapiens. Next base: position 49,518,135 of record NC_000016.10, read on the forward strand.
TCTTGTTATATTTATGTCACTAAGATATTTGCATCCTTGGAATCTACATAACCTGTGTTGACCACATGCACTTGTAGCTTCTGCATAGGTCCCCCATTATTTTGAACCATTTCTTGCATGTGCAGACAAACATACATGACCCCCAAGGTAAGTATATTGTATATCAAAGTCTGTCATTGATACTGTTTCTGAATGTGTCCAGTGACAATCTTTCCACAAAGAATATCATAAAAATGACAACGGGAACCACAGTTTCCAAATTTGTCATTTAGAAAATTCACTTTTTCTGTACACAGAACACTAGCAGACTTAGAAAATTTTCCAAATAACTGTGCGCACTGTCTGTCCCTATCTCTGCATTCTCCTTTAAAGCAATATCTAGTCTTATTGCTGCAGTATTCTAAATCAGCAGCTTTCACATCAGTTACACAAAACTCAGATGTTCCATTGCAAAAAAAAAAAAAAGTCTCCCCTATTTCTTCCCTGCAACTCCGACCTTCAGCCACTGACAACTACTGGTCTGTTTTCTATGGCGATATATTTTTACCTTTTTCCAGAATGTCATGTCAATAAAACCATACAGCATGGAACCTTTTGAGTATGGCTTTTGTCATGTGACATTTGAGATTTATCCATGGCACCAGGGACAGTGGCTCACGCCTGTAATCCCAACACTCTGGGAAGCCAAGGCGGGAGGATTGCTTGAGCCCAGGAGTTTGAGACCAGCCTGGGCAGTATCATGAGACCCCACCTATAAAATTAAAAGTTAAAATTAAAAAATTAGCTGGGTGTGGTGGTGTGCACCTATAGTCCCAGCCACTCAGGAAGCTGAGGTGAAAGGATGACATGAGCCCCGGAGGTTGAGGCTGCAGTAAGCCATGATCACACTCCTGCACTCCAGCCTGGGTGACAGAGCCAGACCCTGTCACTTAAAAAACAAAACAAGATTCATTCACATTGTAACATGTATCTGCAGTTGCCTTTTACTGCTGAGAATGTACACATGACCTGTACCAATGTAACACATGACCCCATCTGTTACCCATCCTCCAAATAAGGGACAACGAGCAGGCCTCCGGTTTGGGGCCATGACAAAGCTGTTATCATCATTCATGTAGAGGTATTGGTGTGAGTGTAAATTTTCCTTTTTTTCTTGGGTAAACACTAAGAGTGGGATTACTGGGTCTAACGGTAAATGAACGTTTAACTTTATAAGAAACTGACAAATATTTTGTCACATGGCCATACCATCTTGCACTGCCACCAGCAATGTGTGAAAGTTCCTATCCCGCCCTCACCAACTCTCAGCATTGTGAGTTTTTCATTTATGTGGGTGGCATCAGGCTATGGTTTTCACTTGCCCTTCCCTAATGACTAATGATGTTCATTTTCTTTGGTGAGACATCTGCCAAAAGATTTTTGCTCATTTTTTAGTTGTTCTGTGTCCCGTCTCATTATGGAGTTTTGAGAGTTCTTCATATAGTCTGGATACAAGTGCTTTATTCGATATGTGATTTGCAAATATTTTCTCCCAATCAGTGACTTTTCATTCTCTTAACCATGTCTTTCAAAAGCAAACTTCTTACATTTTGATTCAGGGTGTAAATCAGATAATATCTGTCCCCTGCTTGGTTTCCCATCATGATGGAGATAAAATCCAAAGTCCTTCACTGTCCTGAAAACCTTGCCATGATCTGGGCTCCACTGCCTCTGCCCCAATTCACTGTGCTTCAGCTGCACTCTGCCTTCTGTCATCCTAGCCCTGGCACCCAGTGGCCACAGGGCCTTTGCACTCACGGCTCTCTTCCACACAATACTGCCTTCATGCCATCGGGCCTCAGCTTGCATGCCACCTCCTCGGGGAGGCCCTCCCTGACCACACTTACCAAGGAGTGTCTGACTTCAACCTCCCAGCATGCTCTAGCCCATTATTTGGTTTTATTTTTTTCATGTCATTGGCTCTTATTGGAAAGTGCCCATCAATCCCCTAGAATGCAGACCCCGTGGGTATTTCTTCATCTTTTCACCACTGTCTTCTCAGGTGCTAGAAACAGGGCCTGGCACATCATGGGCCCTCCACATACTTGCTTCAAACAAATGAATAGGAAAGCTAGTTCCCTCTCATGTTCCTAATTATTCGGTTGTGAATTTGCAACAGTTTGTCTAAACTCCTTTGAATTAATCTCAGTCTTTTGGGCAGAGCCCTCCGAACTTGGAATCAAAGAGGACTCACACCTCCCTTATACTGGCAACTGTGCTCCTGTTAACGCAACCTAAGAAAACATTACGTTTGGAGGGAGACATGTCAATGTTGACAGAGACCAAGCCTGTCATGGTTCAGTTCTACCTCCTAAACTTCTATTCCTGCAGCAGCACTTCCTGGTCCTGCAGTGAGCTCAATCCTAAGCCTAGAATCTTCTCAAGACCTCTCAGCCCATAGTCCCTTGTGCCTGCAAATACCAGGTGCCTGGAATTTCCGTGCATAACCTCAAACTACACAAGGCCACAAGAAACCAGCAAGGATAGAACTCCAGCTGGCCTTGCCTCCCACTGCCCCACCCAAACCCCCAGCTCATTCCAAGAAACAACAGCACACTTGCCTGTTCCACCCAACCAGGGCCTTCCAGCCCCAGCTTCTGTGTAGGGACAATGAACACTCCAATGCCTGAAAAACCCTCCTCTCAAAAACGAGAAAATTGCTATTCAAGTTACTTAACGAGAGCCATTATTTGCATAGATTTGGCATTGCAACAACACTTCCGTATTTAAACGGTCTATAATTAAAATCATTAATTGCAGAAAATAGTGACTCGTTAAGGCTGTAATTTAGCGGTTTCTCAGTATTTGAGGATCTGACTTAAAGCTTAACGGGATGACCCAGGAAACCACCAGCTCACATGAACCGCTCTCAGGTCAAGTGTGGCCCACAGCTCGAGATAGGTGGGATCGAAGCAAGATCCAGATTGAAAGCAGCAGCCTCCCTCCACCTCTGCACTTATGAGCTAGGCCCCCAGCCCAGTGACACCAATGAAGCTCAAAAACGTCAGGATGGGAAACCTTCTCTGGGAATAATCTTGAGGCCATCAGAGAAGAGACCTCTTGGCATTTGGGACAATGCAGGCGAGCCAGGCAGGAGCTGAGCAAGTTCAAAGTGTAAATAAATCGTAGTTTATATGCACTCACGGGTTTAAAAGAGGCCTGACCTGTTGGGCTATAGAAAGCCTCCTCTGTCAGGATACCCAGGCCTATTTTGGTAGCTGGGCCACTCAGGTAAGGCAGGTAGGATAAGGCGGCTGCATGGACTGCACTTGGGAGAGGGTGCGCATCCAGCACACGAGCAGGGAGGCTTCTTGGATGGCATCAACGCCTAGCTGTCGCCCCACACATCCTAAGCACAGAGACATCAGCTCAGTTTGTGGATCAATGGGGAGACAGCAGTGGCATGGTAAGGGTCACTAGCTCAGTGGTGGCCTTTTGGAAGTGGAACCCCCTCTCTGGGCCAGGTCTGTATGATTGGTTTCATAACTCTGTCCCACGTTGTGACAATGGGATAAAGGCCTCATGTACAATACACAAATTTATGAGCACCGTAAGGATGAAAAGAAACAGGCTTTCCACCACACCAGCTGGGTGCTCCTCGGGGCCAGCCCTGAGCTCAGCCTACCTAGCCCTGGCATGGGGCCAGCCTATGGAAACAGGACTTGACCATCTAATGGTGAATCCCCCCGGTCCCCACACCCTCCAAGGGCCTGTTTGCATATCCTCCAGGCAACAGCCACCACCAGCTGTGCAGACAGGCGGGCCCAGGCCTGGCAGTGTGGGTGGGCCACAGCACAGTAAGAAGGGGGCCCCCTACAACAGGCCACAGCTGTGCCCCTCTAACCCCAGAGGGGGAGGCACCACTGTGGCCATTCAAGTGACTCTGCATGGTGTAAGTGGCCCCAGCCTTGTAACCTGGGTATGTGGGAGATTGCTGCATGCAGGTGCAGCAGTGGCATGGGGATGAGGGAGGGTGCTGCTGGGTGTGTAGGGTCCCCCCTGGAGGGCCAAACTGGTGTGTGTGAGTCCTTAGGGCTCCCTTCTCCTTCCAGGCAGAGGGTGGAATTCCCTGCCTCACCCGCTTTGAGGTTGGGCATGCCCGCGGGACTTACTCTAGTCAACACAATGTGAGAGAAGGTGGCGTGCATCATTTCCGAGGGGAAGCTTGAAGTGCTGGTAGAGAAGTCACCACCTCCCTCTTCTCCCTGCCTCAGTGACTACGGAAACGTGGATGGGCATGGACCCTCCGTGGGCCTGGGTCACTAAGTGAATATTATGAACAGAGTCTCTTCCCCATCACCTGCTTGGATATGTCACATGGGCAACAAATAAACCTTTTGTTGAGGACACAGAGACCGAGAGGAGGTTTGTTATTGCAGCCTAACCTACCCATATCCTTCCCGACAGGCTCATTCTTGGTATGTGACATTTCGGCATGTCCGTCTATGTGTATGTGTGATATATCTGTGGACATGAGTGTGGTCCTTCTTTTGGGGGTGCAGTGTTGTGCTGCATGTGTGCGGTATTCCTCAGGGTGGATGCAGTGTTACTCTTTGTGACATCTCTGGGCATATACACTGTGATAGGAACTGTGTGCGTGCACCTTCCCTTTGTGTGTGTGATGCTATGGTCCAGGTACAGTGAATGTGAGATTTTTCTGTGTACGTGTGTTGTATTTCTGGTGGGCATGTGATCTCTCCAGTGTTGCAAGAATTTTTTGCAAAAACCAGTGGGAGAGAAAGCAGTTTCACTTGGGCACAGATCTTGTTCCTTGGAAAAACCAGTAACAGGTGAAATGGGGCCCCATGGGATTCCAAGGCAGGTGGCTGTGAATGCCTGGGAAGACCGTCACACCAGCTTCCTTTCCCAAGGTCCTCTCAGTTACCACAGGCTGGGGATGAGGATGCAAGGAAGTTGGCTGAGGCCCCTGTCCCTTACCTGAGGGCCACATCAGTCTCAGGACCTCTGGTGACTGCCTCTAAGCTGGGGCAATCGGGCACCACTACTCTTCTTTTCTGGCTTTTATGGACAAAACTGGAGGCTCCAAGGCCCCAGACCTAACTCCTGTTCCCACACAGCCCCAGGACCCAGCCACAAAGACATCATGGGCTTCTAGCCACAGAACCAAAGCTCAGTGAAATATCATTTTACAATAGAGGTAGGGAAATTGGAATCCCCAAGAGCAGACAGGACTTGCCACGAAACACCTCAAATGTAAGCTTCTGACTCCTGCTCTGGGCTCAGCCAGTGGCAGTTGGTTCTTTTGAGAACGCTGGGCTGGCAGAGGCCAGGGGGCTGAAACTCCATGCCTGCTAGCCAGGAGGTCAGCCCCTGATTGCAGACCTGCCAGCATAAGACTCCACCAGCTTGCCTTAACCCTGAGACCGTCGGTGCTGACGGGGGAACCGAGGACCATCAGGCGGCGTGGTGCAGCGGATGTGGGCACCCACCTGCAGCTCGGTCTGGAAGAAGAACTTCTGAGGGCACTGTGAGCAGTCGTAGATCTTGTCCTCCTGCCCGTGCACGGCAAAGATGTGCTGCTGCAACTTGTTGGCCTGGACGAAGACTAGACACAGACACGGCTGTCAGGGCCAAGCTCAGGACACCAGCCCAGCCTCCTGTGGCAGCTGCCCCCACAACACTCGCAGGCAGGGATCACTGTGGCATAGGTACAGTCAGCCAAACAGTGGGCTACTGGGAGTGTTCTTAGCACATACTAGAGGAGGCTCAAGTTAGATAAGCTGAGCTCCGGTACTTAGTGGCTGTGCAACCCTGGGTAAGTCACTTAACCTCTCTGGGCTCCATTTCCTCACTCAAAAAATGAAGATTATAATATGTCCCTAGCTGGGTGGCTGGGAGGATCAAATGGGATATTGATAAAGTGCTTAAAAGATGGCCTGCCACAGACAAATGAATGCTGTCTTCCTCGTCCCCATCATCAACAGCCAGACACCTACAGGGGTGAGCTTCTTGAACCCCTCCCAGGCCTGTAGGACAGGTGCTATTATCCCCATTTTATACAAGAGAAAACTGAGGTGCCAGGAATGTTAAATGGCTTGTCCAAGGTCCCACTGCTAGCAAGTGGCAGAGCCTAGACTTGAATTAAATAAGCTCAGCACAGGGTCTTGTACAAGAAGTTGCTCAACCAACACAAATTCCTATTTTTATTGTTGTCAGCATCCTCGGGCCCCCACACAGAGGCCCCCATGTCCTGGGTTGGCAGACGGGCAGCTGGGGCCCTTCAGTGCCAGCCTCAGAGTGTGGCAGTGACAGATGGGTGGGGGCTCCTGCGATGAGGGGGAAGATGGCATCAGGGTGCTCAGGGGCTCTGGGGAGCCCCAGGGGTGTGTGTTTGGGGGATTTGCCCCAGAGTGGACACCCCTGGGCCTGGCATGGAGAAGGTCTAGCCCTGGCTTCCCAGTGGCAGGAGTTCTGAGGTGGCCCCAGCCCTGAGCGCACCCAGGAGGTGGCCCAGAGCAGCTGTGTGTCTGGGAGGTGAGCACTTCAGAGATACCCTCCTGCCAGGCGTCCTCCCCAGGGTGGGCTTCCTGCCGTGGCAGACAGCAGATGTCGGGGGAGGCAGGGAAGGCCAGGCTCTCCCACGCACACCGGCTGCCATCTGGGCAGCAGGAGGGGGCCGGCAGAGCCCCTGAGACTTGCCTCGGGCTGGGACAGCCATTCGCCTGGGCCGGCAGCCAGTCTGGGGGCTGGGAACTTGGCCGGCAGAGCTGCCCTTGACCCCTGCATCCTGGAGCATGGATGGGAGCTAGGTAGGCCAGGGAAGGGGGAACCAGGAGTATGTGAAGCTGGGAGCCCCAGAAGTGCTGAATAGAGCTCAAGGCTCGGGGAGACAAACACAGGGCCCGGGAGGGGAAAACTGCCGCAGAGGGTTGAGGCTGGGTTGGACAAAGGGCTTCTAGCTCCTGTGTGCAGAGGGCGAGGAGAGGGTGCCAACCAGCCTGCTGATGAGGAGAGGCCAGAGAGCACTGAAGGAGGGCGCGTGTCAGCTCTGAACTGAGGGACGTGGGGCAAAGGGCCTGTTAATCCCTCAGGGTATCCCCAACGGAGTCCTGGTCTATAACAGGCCTGCCAAGGAAAGAGGAAGAGCACACACTGGGATCCCGCAATAACAGGGCAGGGCTCCTGTGTTCATCTCTCTCCCCTGAGGGGCACAAGCTGGGTACCTTACCTGTGAAACACACGGGGCATTTGAAGGTGCCGCCCATGCCCTCGAAGCTGTGCTCAATGAGGTGACAGAGGAGCTTGGCCGGGGAGTCGAACATCTGGTTGCACAGCTTACACTCGTGGTTGATGCCTTCCTCTGCAAGGAAAACCCGTGACCAGTCAGTGACCAGCATGCCATGTCCCCCAGACAGGTGCTCACAAGGCCTCCCATAGACCCCAGCACTAACCCCCCTCCAATCCCCAGCACCGGGGCTGGTGAAGGGACTGCAGACACCAAGACTCATCCTGGCTCCACATGGCCTCACCCCTAGAGGCTTACAGACCCCAGAGGACCGGCTCCAAATATGTGGCCCTTGGAGGTGCCATTTGCTGTGATTTCTCCTGCTGATCAAGCAGCCAGGTGTGCAGGCCATGGTCAACAGCTTGAGTCCCAAGACTGGGTCACTGTGCAGAGGCACCCAGGATGAGGTACAGGATGGAGAAGGTGGTCCAACCAGGATTTTAAAAAATCCAATCAAATATTTATTGAGCATGTACTATGTGCCAGGTACTTTGCTCTAAGGATTATTTAGGCAACTAAACAAATAATGTCTCTGCCCCCACTCTGGTGGTGGGGTAGACAGATGATAAACAAAATCATCAGCACATAATGCAGTGTCAGGAGGTGATGTGAATACATGGCGAGAGCACTCTAGGAGAGGGGTGGGGGCAGGGCCCTGAGGTGGGTCCATGCCATGCTGGACAGGCTTGAAGCCCAGCATGGGAACACAGTGCCTGAGCTCAGAGGGCCAAGAGTGAGGTCAGAGAGGCCACAGGGATGCACAAGAAAAGCCCTGTCAGCCCCTGGAGGACTTTGGAATTTTACTTCGAGACTGACGGGCAGCATGGAAGATACTGCACCAAACGCTCTTTTTATTTGCTTTTCTTTTAAACAAATGGTCTATGCAGTGGATGATGGACAACAGGCAAACTCGCCATCCTGCTTCAGACCAGAACACAGCTCCTCCATCTCCCCACCTGGGAGCCGCTGAGACCCCAAACCTTCACCCAAAGGCGCCGGGGGACACAGAGTGCCTGAGCACCAGCCTTGCCAATGTCGAGGAGGCTCAGAGCTCTGGTGCCCTCACTCACAATCAAGCAGCAGCAGGTTCAAATTCTGGCTCCTCAGCCCCACACAGCATGCTGTGGGCACAAGCTCATGTGCAGTAAGATGGGGACCACCTGTCCTCCCTGCTTCCCGGGCTGCAGGAGGACAGAGGGGCCCAGGGGTCAGTGGTGGGGATGGGGAATCCCCTGGTTTGAGCTTCACATCACCTGGGGTTGGAATCCGTCCCTCCCCTTACTGGGTGATCTTAGGCAAGTCACACAACCTCTCTGTACCTCAGTTTCCTCTGTCTGAAACACTCCATAACAGCTTTTCTGTTATAGTTGCTATGAGAATTAAATGAGCTAATACATGCACAGGGGTCTGGAACAGACCCTGGCACACAGCAAGTGCTCAATAAGTGTTTACTGCCAGGCATGTCAGTGTTGGTGAGAGTATTATCTGGGACAGCCAAGGACACGGGTTCCCCTTTGGGCTCCCCCAGGGAACCAGCCTCACTGAAGGCGCCAGGTGCTCTGATTTGCCCTTAAAGGCAAGAATTAGGTAGCAGAGGGGTTCTGCTGGTGGCAAGACATGAACACAGATGGGCTGAGGCTCCTGGCGAGTCCCTGGGTCCCTAGGCCCTGGCAGGGGCTGGCAGAGACAGCAGGCATTCCCCCTGGCCCAGCCATCCCCCGCACCCCCGGGCACCCCACCGCAGAGGCGCACACACACACGTGCACACACAGGTGGGTCTGCCCCACATAGCCCACTGGCTGGAATCTACCGGGTGTTTGTCATGCCCCTGGAGCCCTGGCAACTAGGCCACATACACCCGACAGAGACTCAAACAGATCTTCCATTTATACTAGCAGAAAAGGAATTCATTGACAAGTTTTGGGACACAGGGCAGGCTCAGCACGCTCGCCCTGCAGGCCCCACGCACGTCCTCCACCTCCCTTGGGGAGACGTTCATCATAATTAGAGATGGCCTCCAGTGTGGGGGGCTGCCTCAAAAGACCCCCCAATGCATCCCCTGCCCCCTGCACAAACAACATTGCCCAGTGCCTGGCACAGGGTGTAGGATCAAGGAAAGAAAGAGACTCCACCCTTACATGTGACCTTATTAGAATGAGGACACCCCGTGGACATTAAGGAGGGAGGGGGTATGTGAGGTTGACAACTGTGCAGAGTTTTCTGTAAGAATAGTTTATAACATATTTCAATCTCAGAAATAACCCAGCTTACTTGGAAAACTGCATTTCTGGGAAGAAGAAATGGGTTCGGAGAATTAGACCATTTACTCAAGTAACACAGCCAGATGGGGGCGGTGCAGAAGAGGATACAAAACCTTTCCTATATGCATGTACCCCCGCCATCGTACACCACCGCCAGGCAGCCTGCCCTGACTTGTACCCCTCATTGTACATGACCTCCAGGCAGCCTGCCCTGACTATTCCAGTTCATGAGCACACACACGTGTGCATGCACACACACACACACGACTACTCCCTCACTAGGCACAATGACCCTTGATTCATGTAACCATGTGAGATTTTCTGGGCTTGCCTGCAGGAGGGGCTTGGAAATACTCACAGAGGAGAGACGTCCCCAGGCTGGGCCCTCTCTCCCTGCCCAGCTAGGGGCTCTGGGGGCTGAGACGGCAAACAGGATTTACCGCTCTCTGCCGAGCGGGGGCCTTTAACCACTTGGCTGTGAATGGCGACGGGCCCATCTGATACACAAACACCGAGAGGACAAAGAAGCCTCCTGCAACTTATAAATCAGAGAAATCATGTCTGACAGTCACTTTCCGTTCTCCGAGTGCCGAGCAATTCATCAGCTGGTCCCCCCTGATTCATAGCCGCAGCTACACCCAGCGCCCATGTTCATAAATATGTGCACAGTCAGGCAGCCCTGGAGCTGCAAGCCGTCCGGGGCCCAAACGGCTACCATTTAAGCAGATCACAGCCCCAAACCAGTGTCAAAGTAAGGTTCCAGGCTAATTAGATCAAGAGCCCAACAGACCACTGTGTGTCTCGGGACCCTTTCCTCTCTCTCCCCCAAGTGTTTTAAGAGAGTCAAACCTGGGGAAAGAGGGGAGGAGAAATAAAACAAGCAAAAAGTGAAAGTGAAGGGAGGGGATGGAATAAAGCCTGAAGGGTTCCCGCAGAGCTGGGACTCGCTCCCACTCAAGGCAAGACCTTTTGATTTGCAAATCTTTCTGAAGACGAGGCCTTCTCCCCACTGGAGGGGTTAGAGGTACTCCCTTGGGTGTCCATTACGTGTATCTCTGCCTATGAAACCATCCAGGAAAACAGGGGGAGGGCCGGGGAGGTGGAGAGGGCGGGGAGGGGCTGCCCTAGTTAGTGTGACAAACACTCCTTTGCGTGCTGGTGACCCAATGTGAGCCAGCCCATGGATATTGATAGAATTTGCTAGCACCATCACTCTCACCCCGCAGGCGCTGACAACCTCTCGTTCCACCCCAAGATGCAGGGTCCGCCGATAGTGGCACCCTCCGAGAATCACTTTCCTGAATTATATAAGATCGCACAGTGCTCGGCCGACACCTTGGAGCAGAATGACAAAGCTGTCTGGGAGCCTGCAGGCCCCTCCACCCCAGCGTGGGGACTGGAGGATTTTGTGAGTTAAGACGCACAATTGCTTCCCTTCCTTTTCTGTGCCTTTTTTTTTTTTAATAGCACATGACAGGCATCCATAAGACAGACCCACACAACTCAAGTGAATTATGCAGCCCCGCTCATTTGTAAAGTGAAATGCAGATTTCACCTGCTGAAATTCAGATCTTGCCTCCTGTTCCCCATAAGTCGAGGCTGGCACAAGGAAATCTATTGATTTATTATGATTAAAAAAAATAAAAATAAATAAAAACTCAAACTGCCAAACAAACAACCCGCCAAGCAGGAAAATCCCAAAGTCCCTGTCTCTCCTTTCTCCCTCCTCTGCTCAGGAATAAGTGTTAATTTTACACTTCATTTCTCAAAAAAATAATAGGATGTGCTTTTGCTTAAAACCAAGTCAGCCTGCTGGAACCTTTCAGGCTGAAACTGTGTCAGCCCAAAAGAGGAGCAGAGGGCTTTGTGGAAGAGCATCGTGCCGAGATGATAGCTCCCTGTAATGTCCCTGGTACCGACTTTTGTCTCCAAAAGCATTTGATCCCTGGCAGACACATACTTATTTCCATACGGGTCTTGGGGGAAGCCAGGAGGAGAGAGAGCTGATTATCAGAATCCTGAAGGTGAAGCTCAGGTGGGCCCCACTGATGTCAAAGGCAGGCCTGGGCACACATTCGGAGGCCATAATTTGCTGCCTGGGAGGGAGGAGCGGCGGGCTGCAGCGGGGTGTGGACGGGGCATTGTTCTCGGGCTCTGGTGCACTGAGCGTGACCTGCTCCAGCCACAACGGATAGTCCCTGCCTACCCCCTCTCTTAGCAGGAACCCCCCTCGGGAAAGCTGACCCCAGAGTGGCATCATTAATGCACACACCTGTCTAGGAGAAGACCAATGACTTCCGCCTGGTGTTGACTAGGGGCATGACTAGCCACCTACATCCAGGATGTGGCAATGAAGGACACAAAAGCTAGAGCCGGGAACACTTGGGTTTGAGCCCTAGTTCCACCACTCACTCGCTGTGTGGACTGGAGTAAGTTACTTTGCCTCTCTGAGCTTCTGCTTCTGCCACTAGAAAATAGGCAGAGTCATTACGGGGCTTTTGTATGGCAGCCAAGCAGTCTTATTTGGCCACAGGACATCTGCCCTTGCTGAGACCCCCAGACCATCCCACACTCCTTCCCTCACTACACTCAGGGGTCTGCCTAAAGGACACCTCCTCAGGGAGGCCTTACTCGAGACCCCCATCTAACACAGCACACACCCCCGTCCTTTCCAGCACCTGGCCCACCTTTAATTCCTGGATAGCGCTTACTACCACCTGGTATATTACAGGGTTCATTGTTTAATTCATTCTCATTCCCTCCGTCCCTCCCTCCCTCCGGCACACAGACAGAGTAACATAAACTCCATGAGGGCTGCTTTGCCCACTGCTATGTCACCAGTGCCTAGAACAGGATCTGGCACCAGGAGACGCTTGACGAGCAGGAAATGAATGATTTATGTAAAGCACTTAGCACAGAGTTTGCGGTAGGGTGGGAGTGCTGGTAAATGCCATCACTATGCACCCATGGTCACCCCTAATCTCACAGGACTCGGCTTGTAAAAACCTCAACTCCAGTAACGCTTTCTGGAACCCCACGGAACAACAGCCTGCTCCAAGACTGAGGGCGTGGAGAGGCTCCCTCAGCTGACAGAAGAGGAAGGGACGCTTAGAGAGGCAGGGCCCCTAACAGGGATGTGGCAGGGCAGAGCAGGGCAGAGCGGGGCAGCAGCAGCCCTGCTGTTCACCCCCAGCAGCCCTCTCTGGCTTTAGAAAATTCAAGAAACAGCCACAAGACCTAAAACCTGGGACCCAGCAAGCCACCCCTGCTCCCTGATCACCCAAAAAAATCCTGGTCAGAAGGAAGACAGAGCCGCCCTCCGCATCTCCATGTTTGAGCCTGGGGGGTCCCCTCGCCAGCACAAGCGCCGGTTGGCAGCAGGGCTGGGGCTTTCCCTGAGGAAGGGGAGGAGGTAGCCCTGCATGTGACAGCGTGGGACAGTCCAGGCTGCACCTCCTCTCTCCAAGAGTGTGTCTGCAGGTGGAAGCAAGGCAGGGAATACACAGGCTGCTTGGCCAAGCTGCGGCCCCTCCACTACCAGCCCCAGAAATAAATGCCCCAGACTGACATTCCACAGCACCAGGGACAGCCTGCGGCCTGCGCATCTAGTATCAGGTCAAGTCCTGAGGTCCTGGGGCTCAGACACACACACTGTAAATGGGCGCGGTAAATGGTCCTTGGAGAGAGGAAGCATGGGAGCAAAGGCCCCAGCACTCATCCAGGCAAATCTTGCCAGGAGGCAAGAGGGTGAGGTGAGGGTGACCCCAGGAGAGGACCCCTCCGACACCATCCCCATAGATAACCACAAATAGCGCAGAACAGGAGCTAGGAACCTGAGCTGTGGGAGACTCTGTCCTTTGTTTCCTGTAAGAAACAAAGACCCCCAGGCAGAAAGAGGAGGGCAGGTGATAATATCTGGGCAGCCAGATTGGGCCGTTTATCTATTGATCTGTCATTAAATGCCATGAAGAAATTAACCAGTCCAGGCTGAAGGGAAGGAGAGAGTGACATTTAGGCTGGGAGTCAACCAGGGTCATAGGAGAACTCAGGGTCTGAGGAGTGTCCCTTGTCAAAGGCTGGGCAAGAGCTGGGAGCAGGTGAGTGGTGATGGAGGATGACCATGGGAGCCCCAACACCCCCAGCTCTGGCAGCCCACGGGAACCCACTTCCCTGCCAAGCAGCCCGGGCAGCACCTGGGAGCTTGAGAGAAATGCAGAGTCTCAGGCCTGCCCCAGAGCTGCAGCATTTTAAAGGTGCCCCCGTGTTTGGGGCGTCCATTAACGCTTGAGAACCACTGAGCGCGATACAAGGGGCTTAGGGACGCTGATATTGTTGGAATCCTGCTGTCCCGAAGCTGGGTTTGGGAGCTGTCCCACTGCTTTGACCAATATTCTATGTGGAAGGATCTCTTAAAAGGCAGGAAGTTTTCTAGTCACTTTTTGTCCACATTTTGCAAAAGACTGAAAAATCGTCAGCAATGAAAAATATTTCCTGTGGTTACTCCTGGGATGGAAATGATGCGAGTATATCTTTGAAGAGGCTGCTGGAGACTCTGACGGTGGGTGGCTAACACTCCCCCAAACCATCCCCGCATCACGGCTGTCCCCGACCCCCAGTGCCAGGGGCTCTCCACCCTTCGGTGTCCTCCTCACTCAAGACCGCTCAGCCATGGCTTGAAGGCACAGCCCACCACGCTGCTCCCATTTTGGGCTCACATTTTCCTAATTAATGCTGGAGGATGGGCTGTGCCCTTCCTCCTCCCCCTGGGGGCACCCTCCCAGGCCATTCTGCCCAGAAGGGACCCATCGTATGGTCCCCTGTGTTTCACAAAGGCTTCTAAATGAGCTCTGGCAGCCTGAACCGGGCCCCACGGGGGACCCAGAGCCTCTTCAAAACAGAGCCCTGACAATTAGGCAGTCTGAGTTTTGAAAGGCTTGGGATTGATGGTGTGGACAGTAAAAACATCACCTGGGGAGCTGGGTGTAGTCCTCCGAGGGTTGCCTGAGGTCAGTTGCCATGGCAACGGAGAATGAGCTCAACCTTGTAACTGACCCTTATCTTTTTTTGATCTGTGGGCCACTTGGGGCCAGGGCTTGAAATCAACTGGAAAATAATCCGGTCACATATCAGAAAGAAAACTATTTATACTTATTTACCCAGGTACCCACCAACGTCCCCCTTCCACAATGCTGTCGACACCGCAATAAACCGACATCGCATGTGCAAACGAACGCTACCCCATGGCAGGAGAAAGGGGGAGACCGAATGCCCCATCTGGGTAGAATGCCAATTCCACGCATGGGCACGTGGGTGTGGGTGGGAAGGGTCACCCCCCACCCTGCAGCCTCGCCCTTCATCGCTACTGACCACAGCAAGACTGGACTCTCCTGCCTTCCAGCATCTGGTCCAGGCCCACCAAGGGACGGCCTCTGCGATCTGCCCTCTCGCTTGCTATGCAGGCATGTGGTTTCAGCCTGGCTTGATCACTAGGTTGTCTTCCTTGATTCCAGCATCTGACAAGTCTCCCCTCTGCCAGAGGCTGGACAGAGAGGCCAGGTGGAAGTTCATCACTTTCTACACCTGGGGGTCGCAATGGGATTCGGGGAACGAAGGCTAAGAAAGGAGGAGGACAGAGGCCTTCCTTCCTGGTCCCACACCCGAGGAAGGGCTGGCTGCCTCAACCACCCCAGCATTCACCCCAGGGTTTCCATGGCAAGATCGGCCATCTGGCCAAAGCCTGTCTCCAGGACACAGCTCTCCTAAGTTATAAGTACTTTGCTCGCTCTCTCCTTCTCTGAAACTCAAATCAGAAGACTCCAGATGGTTCCACTGACCAACTGCTCCCAAGAGCCATGTCAGATGGATCTTAGCTAGGGGTCAGTTAAGCTTGAGAATGATTTCTGGTAAACTCCCTGTGAGATTTCCCATCACAGCAAACAGGACAGCTCAGCGGACGGCCCCCGACTAGCCCTTGTTTCATCAAGACTAGATCCTTCAGGGAGTGGGGAAAAACATGGCCAAGAACCAGGCTGCGCGGAGGAGAATCCTGGCTCTGCTGCAGATGCCCAGGGTGACACTGGGCCAAGCGCTTCCCTCTGTGTCTCAGTCTCTGACTGTGAAATGGGGAGAAGGTTGTCCACCTCACAGGGCTGTTATGAGAGTAAATGAGAGCCAAGTAAAGAATATGAAGCATGACCCCCGGCACAGTGGCTTACACCTGTAATTCCAGGACTTTGGGAGGCCGAAGCAGGAAGATTGCTTGACCCCAGGAGCTTGAGACCAGCCTGGACAACACAGTGAGACCCCATCTCTACAAAAAAGGAAAAAATTAGCCAGGCATGGTGGTGGGTGGTACACTGAGGCAGGAAGATGTCTTCAGCCCAGGACTTTGAGGTTACATTGAGCTATGAACCATTGCACCCCAGCCAGCCTGGGTGATGGAGGGAGACTCTGTCTCTTAACAAGAGCACAAAAAATTTTTAAAATTAAAAAAAAATTAAAGAATACTGATCATAATGCTACCACCACAACTATTACTGCTATTGTTACTTCTCCTTCTTTTTTTTTGTTTTTTTTTTTTTGTTTGCTTTTGAGACCGAGTTTCACTCTTGTTGCCCAGCTGGAGTGCCATGGCACGTTCTCAGCTCACTGCAACCTCCATCTCCTGGGCTCAAGCGATTCCCCTGCCTTAGCCGCCCAAGTAGGTGGGACTACAGGCGCACACCACCACACACAGCTAATTTTGTATTTTTAGTAGAGATGGGGTTTCACCATGTTGGTCAGGCTGGTCTCGAACTCCTGACCTCAGGTGATCTGCCTGCCTTGGCCTCCCAAAGTGCTGGGATTACAGGAGTGAGCTACCACGCCCAGCCTGCCATTGTCACTTCTGACATGACTCTACCTGAAACTCCATGCTCAGGCCTGGTGACATGGCACATACAAACCCGCTGTGGGGGCCATCAAGGCAATAGAACCCTGCTCCTCTTTCAGGGCATATGGCCAGCCATGTCCATGCCCCTACCCCAGTAAATGTTTAAAGACCCTTAGCACCTGGGACATTGTGTGTTCTCTCATGGCACGTCCTATGCTACTTCCACCTTCAAAATGCTTCTGTGTCAGCTTTCTTCATCTCCCTCCTCCTCTACCTCCACACCACTCCCATATTTGCGATGGCGAAACTCGTGTCCAGATTTTAAGCCCTTTTGTTCCCTTGTGGCTCGCTGCAGCTTCCTACTTCGGGCCATATGAGTTGACTTTGCCTCCCCTCTGATGCTCTTGGACCCAAGTTTCCCATTTCTTTATGGTTCTTCTTGCTTCTCTCTCTTGAAATTCCCTGAGATTTTCATGAAGGTCAGAGCAGGGCCTGACTGAGTCAGGGGCGTGATCAGCTGCATGCACCCCCCAACCCCTTGGCCCTTGGCCAGCCCTTCCCCATAGCTGGGCCCATGCAGAAATCTCCCTAACCTGAAAGGCCTCAGAGCCCAAAAACCGCAGAGATCGGGGCCCAGCCTGGATGGGATTACCAGTGGAGGCTCCTTCCAGCTCTGAGAGCTGATTCCACACTGCCAGGGAGCTAGCACTGAGGTGCAAGCAGCCCTGGGTGGTTAAGGAGAACATCACCATCACAGAGGGTCCTGCTTGCTAACTTCCTATGACGCTGGCGGACACATCCACCTCCCGCCTCTCTGAGTGATCAGCAATTGCTCAGAGACACATCATTAGCAGACACATCCAAATCCCGGCTCTTTGAGCGATCAGCAATCATGACGGGTGGTCTTTGGCAAAAGAAAAGACAAAGATCAGGTCCCGGACATAACACCAAGAGACAGGAGGTAACTATCTCAGCTTCTTAATAGAAAGAGAATGGATGTCTGAGTGATGAAATAAACCACACACAAGAGAACAAGCGGGACTTCACTGAGAACCGAGGAAAGAGAACTCTTGGAGTTCTATACAACTCAGAACTTCTCTGCCTGCACATTTTCAGAAGGCATTCCACAGCCCTCCTCACACACATCCCCTTTTACCTGTAAAGAACTGAAGGCTGATCACCTCAGAAAATGAAGATTCCACTACATCCTGGGGATCCACTAGGTAAAAGCAAGTAGCTTATTCTTTCTTAACTCATCAAACACCTACTGATGTATATCACTGATCTTCAGATTAAAGTTTTCAACAAGACGATTGCCTAAACATCCATCATGTTAATAATCCTCAGATTAATGGCCTCTAATAATACACAATTAACATGACAGGCAGGTTGCAAAACCCTTATTGTCACCGACCCTGCCAGGGACACATGAATTACCCCTGCTTCTACTACAAGGGTTTTCTCTACTGCCGACATCATTTTTTGTCCCCACCAAGATCATTTTTTAAAATGAGCAACAGCAATGTGTCAAAAAGCCTGACAGTTACCAACGGGCACACACAAACACAACACACACCTGCAGAATGCAAGAAAGCAACATTTTTCAAAAGTTCCCCATCCAGGTAAATACAGACAGAACTTTTCCTGCAGTTACTAGTACTCAAAGCAAAAAACCCCCAGAGTTCAGCTTGGAAACTGGAATTCACCACTTTCTCAAAGTCCACCTTGACCTGGGTCACTGGACACCACCCTCCAGCTGAAAAAAATAAACAATGAGACTAGAAAATAATGACTGACTTCTATTGAAAAGCTTTAAAAAGTAGATCCACACTGTCAATCTAGTAGTTACTGGCCACCTGTGGCTCTTTAGTTTCTGGGTGGTTTTTTTTTTTTTTTTTGGTTTTTTTTCTGGGACAGGGTCTCACTGTTTGCCCAGCCTGGAGTGCCATAGTATGATCACAGCTTAGTGCAGCTTCAAACTTCTGGGCTCAAGAGATCTTGCTGCCTCAGACTCCTGAGCAGCTGGGACTGCCAGAGTGCACCACCAGACCTGGCTAGATTTTTAGTAGAGATGGGATCTTGCTATCTTTCCCAGGCTGGTCTCACACTCCTGGCCTCAAATCCCAAAGTGCTGGGATTACAGGTATGAGCCACTGTGCCCAGCCTGTGGCTATTTAAATTTAAATTAAAGTTGAATATATTTAAACATTCAGTTCCTCAGTTGCAATAGCTAATGTGGCCAGTGACTACCACTCTGGGTAGTACAGAATATTTCCATCATTTTAGAAACTTCATTTGGAAAGCATTGTGTTAGAATACAGGCAAGGTGAGGGCAGGGGCTCTCCCTGTCTTATTCAACACTGTAATCCCAGAACCTACAACAGCGTTGGGCACATAACAAGTGATTAACAAATATTTATTGAACTGTGGAATGTGAGTGTCAAATATTATGAAGAACACCTCAGCCCTTTTGCTGTTAGCACTTGCTTGCAATTGCAATTGCCCTGCCTGAGAAACCACTTAGATGTGAACTTCTCCAACGTTCAACATAAACCTACACCCTGATAATTATGTGGGCACTTTGCCCAAAGTGGGTAAGAATATGACGAACACAGGAACACTGCAGAGCCATGAAGTTTCTCTGAAGGATGTAACCCAAATACCATAACTTTGAACCAACAAGTCATATGGTGGATCAATAGCACCTGGGCTCCTAACCAGTCAAGAAGCCCACCGGCCACAGCACTACTGAGTTGCCTTTTAAGCCGGCTGAGCCCTGTGGCTCATCGAGGAAATAAATGCTTGGATTTCTGATGCTGAGCTAAGTGGTCTGTGTGATTTCTCAGCTCTGCTTCTGCAGGCTATGTCTCAGAGAGCCGGGTTTTTGCTGTGACCCAAGTAAAATGAAAATTGAAGCTAAATTGGAAATTCAAACGCAACATGGAATAAATGAATACATTCAAATCAATGATACTCCTTCCAAGTAGTCACATGATTGCGACGCTAATACCAGTATTGGGTCTACTCTGGGGAAGCGGGTCTTTCTTCAGTTCGGCTGAAAAGTCACCCAAGATAGCGAGGCTTATGGTCACAGTGCACAGGGCCCTCAAAAGGTCTTTTCTGAGGTCACGTCTTCCTCTCAAGTCTACTCACCTCTCCCCTTCCTTCACTCGCTCCCCTAACAAAATACCACCTTCTTGAGGCCAAGCCCAGTGCTCGGCCTTTCTCTCTTCAACAGACCCAGGACTGAGATCAAATGAGGCCGATGGGATGCCCCAAGCTCACATTAGCTTGTTGATGTGTTCAGCTCCCAGAGCTGAGCCCTCCCATACCATTTTCTCAGATGGTGTGGGCCCAGCACACAGGGACCAGATGGGGGGTCTGCCACCTCTGGGCGGCTTAGACCCCATTGCCAGCTCCCAGAGCCCAGCCAGCCCTCCTGTCTGCCCTTGGCTGTGCCTCCCACCTGCCAAGCAGGTGCCTGCAGCCTAAGGTCTGGGCTGATCCCATCCAGCAGCCACTCCTGACCCACAGAGGCAGAGCTTACTGACAGCTCCTGACAGCCCCCACCAGGAGAGGCAGGGACAGGCAGAGGGGGACTGGGCAGGTAAAGAATGGGCTCATTGCTGAGCAGCAGGGGAGTGGGGGTGGAGGCCACCTCCACACAGCCTCCAACTCTCCAGCGAGGTGCAGCGAGCAGAACAGCTGCCATTAGCTGTGATGAGATGTGAGCAGTGCCAGGCCCACACACCATAGCAGGAAAACGCCCCACCGTACAGCTCTGGCTGGCATCTTGCCTTTTTCCTACTTGGAAAAGACATCTTCATAGACACCTTCATCAAAAAGCACATGCGACAGACACCTGGCAATTCACCCTTTGCTCTCCGCTCCTGGCCCCACCTCATCATGACTGCTCCAGCCTCACCCCCTGCCACATTCAGACACACTGCCTGGATAATCCTCCCCAGGCTCCACAGCCATCATTTCCCTCTCCTGCTCAAGAACCTGCAGTGGCTCCCTTTTTCCCAGTGCAAAGCTGCACTCTTCTGCCAGGTGGCCCTGGCCCTGCCTACCTAACACCCCTACTTTTGGCCGCACCCAGCTTCCTCCTGGCCCAAGGGCTGCACTCACAGGGCCTCACTCATTCCTGAGGGTTAGGGCTAGGGTTAGGTTACGGATTCTGTACCCTTATTCAAGTAGCTCTCGATGCCTTGCCTCTGTCCTCCAGGCCACAATTTTCCAAAAAGGAGTTTTCGTTGCACCCAAGTTATTCATAGCTATGTGAAATAAAAAGGTAGCTTTCAAAACATTCCTTCTCTTTGCTTAAGCTAACTTGATTTTCTGTCAACTTCCAACCAAAACAATCCTGGCTAATACATTATCTGAGGATGAAAAAGCAATTCTTTCACTTTTCTGGTATTTCTTACAGAGCCAGACAAACACGAGGTGCTCAATAAATGCTAATAGTTTGCTGTGCACATGTGTGTCCATCTCTTGATCATGTCCCGTGGGAAGAGAGGTGTCATCCCTATAGACCATGCCCTTCAGTGGCAGCAGGCACAGGTCCCTCACACTGTCCCCTGATGGATAGAGTCCTGCCTCAACTACACCCCCCACGGCTCTGGACACCAGCCCTGGAGCATTCAGGTCCAGGTCTCAACACCATCCCAAATGCAGGAACCCAGACATGTGGCTCTGGGTCCACAGATGCCACTCTTCATGTCCGGGAGCAAGGCTTGCTCTGTGGGGGTGACGCGGTGGGGCTGCATCTTCCCGGGAACCCCATACCACCTCAGCCACCATGCCATTCTCAGGGCTGGACATACCCCCTCATTTGCTCATCGGCTGCATTCAGCTATAGCTTTCTGGTGGCACAGCACATGAACAGAAGTGCAGCCTCGGAGTCAGATTGCACAGGTTCAAATCTCCCACCACCATCCACTAGCAGTGGGATCCTGGAACCCCACCTCCCCGGGCCAATGTTCCCCACCATGTAAAATGAGAATGATTGTAGTGCCTACATCATAACTGTTGGGAGATGAACAGGCTTAATAGCTTGAGTTATTAATATCACTGTCATGGTTATTATTGACCCTGAGGCAGGCACTGTGCAAGGTGGTGGGTGTGGGGGGTGTGAGTGTAACAGAGACCAGTGAGACACTGTCACACCCAGCTTGCTTAGGAGGAGTCTGGGAGGCCTGGCCAAGGGACATACTTTGTGTGAAAACACAGTCGCCCAGAAATCCTAAAAAAAAAACAAAACCAAGTCCTTTGGGACCCCAGAGTGGGGAAGCAGAGCTCCAGGGGAAATGCCATGGACGTCTGGGCTGGCAGGAGTTGGAGGCCCAGCAGCTCAGCCCCGCCTGTGCCAGAGCTGTCTGTCCTGCCTCTGTCATGCCACAGAACAGCCTCAGTGACCCAGGGCCCAGGATGCAGGAGCCGCTCTAAGAGGGCAGGCAGAAGGGCAGAGAGGACCAGTGAGAGGGGCCAATGTTCTGGTGCCACTGAAGGGCTTGGTCTAGAGGGGTGATACCTCCCTTCCTACTGGACATGACCAAGAGGCAGACACACACATGCACAGCCTCTAGAATGCTGGCCTCAGCTGGGGAATCTAGCTCATAGTTCACTGCTCCAGAACCCATTTCAAGGTCCTGCATACTAAGGAATTTCCAGTAAGTACCTCCAGTCACAGCAAAGACTGTGGCCCTGAATCCCATCCACAATGTTTTTGTTTTGTTTTGTTTTGTTTCGTTCTGTTTTTAAGACAGGCTAGAGTGCAGTGGAGCAATCACAGATCACTGCAGTCTCCATCTCTCAGGCTCAGGCGATCCTCACACCTCAGAGCCCTGAGCAGCTGGGACCACAGGCACAGGCCACCATGCCCCACTCATTTTTTTTTTTCTTTTTTTGGTAGAGATGGGGCCTCACTATGTTACCCAGGCTGGCCTCAAACTTCTGGCCTCAAGCAATCCTTTCACCTCGGCCTCCCCATGTGCTTGGATTCCAGGCATGAGCCAATGCGCCTGGCCCACAATGTTAAACTCAGATTTTGGGGGAAAAAGCAAATCCAAAGCCGATTACTCTGCTTTCACCTCATGCTTTAATCACACCCTGAATGCACAAGGGCAGGACCTTAGTGACAATTTAGAATTCCAAAAGCCAGGGTTTAGTGAAGCCTGTTGAATCCCACTTCCAAAACAGACTGTGTCTCCAATCCATGCCTCCACACCCTCAGGTGGGGACCTGCACCCAGCCCTATCCTGGCCTCCATGTGGATGGCTCCCTTCTCCTCATCCAGAGCTGAGAAAAGTAGGAATCCAAGACAC
Organism: Homo sapiens; assembly: GCF_000001405.40. Taxonomy (NCBI): domain Eukaryota; kingdom Metazoa; phylum Chordata; class Mammalia; order Primates; family Hominidae; genus Homo; species Homo sapiens. The sequence continues at coordinate 49,540,878 of NC_000016.10, forward strand.
CATGGAGAGGGCTGTGCATGTGCTGGTGGAAACAAGCTCCAGCATGAAAATGGGGGTCCCAGTGGCCCTCTGTCTAGTTGACAACAGAAAACACCTCCCCAACTTCCCATGGCTGAGCCCCTCCTGCCAAGAGCAGGATGTCCTCAGAACCCGGCTGAAGAACTCAGCTCCACAGGCACACTCCCTGCTCACCTGCCCCTCATGTCTGCCCCATCAGGGACTCCCGCTCTCTGCACCCAGAACCTATGCTTCCCTCCCCTAGAACAGGTAGGGAGGAAGGATGGACCACCATCTCTCTCACACTGCTTAGGCATTTCCCAGCACCTAACAACCTGGCACACAGTGGCACTCAGCCAATGATTGCTCAATGGCAGGGGGCTTTCTAGAGACAAACAACATTTAGTCTCTGTCCACAGCCCTGTGGACCAGAGACAAACGTCTTCTCTAAAAAGGCAGACTAACAATCACTCAGACTAACAATCTCCCACTTCACCCACAATTAAGTGGAAATACACAAAACCAGGTAGTAAACACAATGCTATTTTGGTTAAGAAAGAAAAGTGAGGGAAAGAAGGGAATGACTATATTTGTGTGTGCTTGTGTGCGCTGAGAAACTTGCTGGAAGGACACACATTAAGGTGTTAGAGGGTCATCTCTGGAAGGCAGGATATGTTTTTCTTATTTTTGCTTGGCTGGATTTTCTGGTTTTCCTGCAATGAACATGTATAGCCTTTGTAATTTATATGGTTTGGCTCTGTGTCCCCACCTAAATCTCACCTTGAATTTTAATAACACCCACCTGTCAAGGGCGGGACCAGGTGGAGATAATTGAATCATGGGGGCAGTTCCCCCCATGCTGTTCTCATGACAGTGATTTCTCACGAGATCTGATGGTTTTATAAGGGGCTTCCCCCTATGCTTGGCTCTCATTCTTCTCTTTCCTGCTGCCATGTGAAGAAGGACATGTTTGCTTCCCCTTCTATCATGACTGTAAGTTTCCTGAGGCCTCCCCAGCCCTGCGGAACTGCAAGTCAATTAAACCTCTTTCCTTATAAAGTATCCAGTGTCAGGCAGTTCTCTACAGCAGCATGAGAGCGAAGTAATACACTACAATAAAAGCTTTTTAAAAATTTTAATCCACTGACTAGTGATGGAGACAATGTTGGTAATGACTAGGCCTAGGTCTCTCTATCTATAACTGGAAATGGTTGGACCAGAGAGCTCCACAGCCCCTCTCAGCCCCTGCCTTGCAGATCTTCAGACCAGAGATTCCCAGTGGCAGTGACTCTTCACTCAACAGCTCTTGCTGGGCTGAGGCCTCAGCAGATCTGCTTTCTGGTCCCTGCTGGGTCTCTGCCTTCATGGGGGCAAATTGCTCCCTCTGGCCTTGACTCTATTCCATCACCTGTCAAGTGGAATGGACAGGCCAATTTTCAAGCCCGGGCTCTGCCACTGAGTGTCCCGGTGGCCTCATCAGTAAAATGGGGATATAATTGTGCTTGATGCATAGGATTGAGTGATCCTATGCATTTGTAGAGCTTGGAGTGAATGCACCTGCTGGGCTGGTCCCTATGGATGGCCCTGAAAAGATGTGAGTCATCATCCACTCTCGTACCTCACACAGTGTTCTGTCCCATGTGAGCTGGAATGTGCCTGCTGTGACACATGGCCAGAAGGCCAGAGGCCAGGAGGTGTGAGGAGCTGGGAGGCGAGTCAGGGACAGATGCCAGGGAGGCCTGGGACCCCCCATGAGGAGGCTGCCACGTGATGGCTCCCATAGCCAGTTCAGACACTCTCAACAACCACTTTGTCTGGCTGGGTGCAGGCTGGGCCCCAGCCCACCCTGGGGAGGAGGCAGCTCCACAGGCTCACCCGGCCAGATGCCGCCTGCCCAGATCTGCGTCCTCCATGAGATTGAAGATGACAGGCTCTGGGGGTGGGGAGGAGCCAGGTCAGCGGAAACTTGGCAACGAGAAAGGCAAGAGGAGCAGCTGAGCTCAGAGCACCCCGTGGCCCCCACCCTTCCAAGGGTGCAGCGAGAGGTTCTGTCTGCAACCCCTCAAGTCCCCTAGTGGAGTGGAAATGTTCTTCATCTGAGGCTGGGGTCTGTTACCCCTTCCCAGCCTACCAGCTTCCAAAGAGACAGCAGAAAGTGATCCAAAGATCCAATATTTGTATTTTGAATGCTAATTTGACATAGAGGAGTGGGCATGGGGAGTGTTTATAATCAGCACTCCAATAAGCCCACAAATGACGCCAGTATTTTATAAGCTTGTTAGAAACAAATCACCCCCTCAGCTGATATTTACTTACTGATGAATCATAAAAGGGCTCAACACACAAAGAAAATCCAAAAAGAATGTCTTTCTTCATCCCATGTTCGGCAACAATGCTGGGAGCCTGGCCTGGGTAAGCCCAAGCAGCGGGCCTTCTCCAGCACCAGTCCTCAGCCCCCCAATCCCCACAGCCTCCCCAGGGGTGGCAAATCATCGGTGCCAGCCCCATCTCCGTGCCCACTCCCCACCACAGCCCCCACCCATCGACTGGCCTAATCTGAGGCTCAATTCAGCGCTCCAGAGGCAGCTCCGTCCTTCTGCTGCCCCCGGAGTCCTCTGCGGGAGCGGATCCAATCCAGCTAATTTGCATAATGATGAAGCCCTCCAGTGCGGGCTGGGTCTTAAGAGGGTTGGGAAGAAATATGCCCTGTCCTTTGGAGAGGCACACAGAAGGCTCAGTGCAGCCCGGGAGGAATGGGGCGCCTGGCGGGTGGGCGGGGGCAGCGTGGAACCCATCAGCTTCCCCGCCAAGGACAGCTCAGCCCTGTCGCCCGCTGAGCCTATGTCCAGCTGGCCCAACTGAGGAAGGACTGCCCAGGGCTGTAAACCAGTGGGAACTCAGGCACAGAGCGCCAGCTCCAGACGCAAGCCGGAGTCATATGACCCCGGTCACAGCGACCGCCACTCACGGGCTGGCTGACCTTGGGCAAGTCGCTGACCTCTCTGAATCTCAGTCTGCTGATCTGTAAAAACAGAGGGAGATCTACCCTACAGGGCTCTGTGAGGACCAGCAGAGGTGCCTATAAAGCACTGAGTAGAGTGGGCTGATAGAATGCAACAACTGTCAGCTGTTAAATTAACACCGTCATTAGTCTAATCCCTGTGGTACTGGGTCCATCCATGCACACATCCACCTGTCCATCTACCCATCCATCCATCCACCTATCTGTTTATTCAACAAATGCCAGGTATTGTGCTAAGCAGTCTGGAGAAGAGAGAATGAATTAGACACACCTGCCTTTAAATCACCTCTAGCAACAAAACGACAGTATGGTCCAGAGGTGAGGCCAGTGCTTGCCTTTGAGGGAGGCAATAGCAGGAAGGAGTGCAGGGAGCTACCAGAGGCCACTGGGTTCGACTTCTCGATCTGGATGTGTTCTATTTCTGCAAACTCATCAAGCTGTGCACTTAAGAGGTGTGCATCTCTCTGAACGTACGCTATACTTCAACAAAGTTTTAAAAAACCCTCACGTCTAATTAGGGAGGGAGATCAGCTGGGTATGCACATAAGCATTACACCAGGCAGGAAGGGGTCAGCTCCTTAAGAAGGGTGAATAAAATATTTGGGATGGGGGTCGAGGTAACACCAAGGGGGAAGAAACTTCCTCCGTGACAGGTGAGGATCACCTTAGCACATGTCTGGTGCATAGGTACCTACTGAATGGATGAGTGAATGAATAACTTCCTGAATGAGGTGGCCTTGGATGAACAGGCTGAGATGTGGAGGCAGAGAGGGCGTTCCAGGGGAGGGTGCTTGCAGGGGCTGAAGGCTTGGGAGGGTTTTCCTCACTGAGCCAGGTGCTGGCATGCAGCAGTGACCTGGGAGCCAGGGCTTTTGCCCTTGCTGGGCTCACAGTCTACAGGCATCAGACATCAAGACGTAACTCCAGGGGATCGCATCCTTCTTCTATTCTGCAGAAACTGAGCGCCCAAGCGCAGGGTGCAGCATTGGGTGCTGGTGATGTGCAGCAGAACAGGACAACAGGACCTCTGACCTCACAGTGTGACCAGAGGATCAGAGCTGAAGCGAAGCCAGCTTTACACAGTCACTTGCTCATCACAGTGGCACTATGGGGCCGGTGCCGTTATTATTCCCACTCCACACATGGAGAAAGTGACACTGGGTGAGGTAAAGTGATTGTCCCACGTGGCTGATCCAGGACCGAAATGCAACTCTTAACCTCTGCCAACAATGGCCCTTCCCCTTGGCCTCTACGGAACACTTTATCCCCAGGTCTGTTTCTCAGCCATGTGAGTAAGCTGGATGGAGGTGGCATTTTTCGTCCCATTCTGCAAGTTGGAACACTAAGCTTCTAAGTATCAAGTTGAAAAGATAGTAAGTGACAGAGGAAGTGAATCTCAGGGCCCTGACTCCTTGTCCAGTGCTCCTTCCCCTGCCCATTGCTGTTGGACAGGATAATGGGGACTGTCATGAAGAGGAGGCGCCGGGCAGGCTTGACAAGGGCAGCCCCATCACATCTCAACATGTGCAAGACTGGGCCTTGGCTGCCACATGACCATGCCACCCCATCAACCCTGCTCAGAGCCTGTGAGCTACACAGGTGTCATGCCCAGCCCTGCCAGCCAGGGTGACCCCCCACTCTAACTGTTCAGCACCGAGCCTCCGACAGAAAAGCAACCCCAGACTGCAGTGGTAGCTCATGCTGAAACAATTCTCCCAAGCTGCTTTAAATGGAGATTTTGCAGTTTGGGGTACAAAATTATTGTCCACGTCACATGGGGAGTGGGCAGAATGTATTTGCCTGTGCTGAGCCACAGTTCTGTCTCCCAAGCAAAGCTGAACAGACACTAGCCAAGACTGGGCTCGCTGAGTTAATAAAGATTAGCTCTCCTGGACTATCTTGGAGGCATTCAAGTGCTAACTACCTGCCAGGCATTCAGCTAAACACTTTACATCTGGGATGGGCTCATAAAATCTCTACGAGGAGGTCATGATCTTGTCCTCACTTTACAGTAAGTGACAGCGCCCAGGCCTTTCAACCACAGAGCTGTGCTCTTAACCCCAGGGCTGTGCTAACTTCCTTACCATTATTCATAATCGCCATTGGTAGCATAAGGATAGAGGCAATTAAATTCAACACTTAATTTCTGTTATGTGCAAAGCATAGAGCCAGGTGTTGGGAACATAAGCAGAATGAGAACTGACCTCTGTCTGCAAGAAGTTTCAGATTTTTATACCCACAAATGCAAGACATCTTTTCACTAAGGTTTTTTTTAATGATCAAGCACATTGCCCAGCATCTTGCACAATAAATGTCTTCTGACTACACAAACAAACAAAAGTTAACATTTTTTAAGGAGAACACATTTTCCTTCCCTACTGGCTGTTCTCAATTCCATTTCAACACCCCTCCATCCACTTAAACTGTGACTTTCTTCACTTCCAAACAGTACAAACGCTTTCATTAAGAAACTACTCGGTGGGGTGTCCTTGGGTAAGTTGGTGCCTTTTCTGAGCTCAGAGACCTCATTTGTGAAAGGAGGAGGTAGGATTTGATAACTCACAAGGTCACTCGGGGATAGAGTACTAGGATGTTAATGGCCAGTCCCCATCCTAACTGTAGAGGACTTTATCAGATAGTTGGCGGCTATAAAGGGATGAGCATGTGAGACTTCCATTACAAAGTTCAAGATTTAAACTCGAGGGCAAGACATCAGAAGGAGGCACTCATAGTGAGCGCGCACAGCAGCTGAAGCTATCCGTGGAAGCTCGAGATGTCATCAGGGGGCACAGAATTAAACGCCAAGGCTGAACCTTAATGCTTTTCGAATATTCCCTGCACTTCTTATCAGTCCCTATTGTCCTGTGCTCCTCAGCCCCACCCTGATCTGCTTGACCTCAAAGGTCATTGAGTTTGTGACCCCTGTGAAAGAGAATTCATTCTTCAAAGGCAAAGCAAGAGAGAAGAAAGAGCATAACATTTGTTAACTGGGGGACGTCAATGCCTGGTGCCTGGAAGCTGTGTGATCTTAGGATAGTCACCTAACTCCTCTGAGCCTCAGTTTTCTCACTGTCCAGAATGGACAAAAGTTTTATCTACTTGATACTCTTTCCAGAAAAAAAAAAAAAAACAATCAGCCAGCTTTCCCACACTTCCAATACCCTGCAGAAAGTTGTAAACTTTAGAGAAATCAACAAAGACCTGTGTATTAAGATAGGGAAAGCTATGTTGTAGTAACAACTCCCAAAATCTCAAGGGGTGCAATGGTTTATTTCTCATTTGCCCTTCACATCCATTGCAGGGGTTTCTGCTTGTGAAAAACACTCAGATGCTGAGAGTGCCCCAGGGAAAGAGAGAATGCTGAAAGGTCCCACTCTGTTGGTTAAAGGCTCCACTCACGGCTCTCTGGCCAGAATTAGCCACAAGGCTTCACCCAACACAAAGGGGCCACGATGCGTGATCCTCCCACATACCAAAAGACGACACTAAGGATACCACGTTAACAAGAAGAGCCATAAGGCTCAGCAGAGCACTCTAAGAATCTCAAGGGAGGAGTCAGGGACATAAGAAAAAAGATGAAACCTGAAAACTCAGGATGGTAACAAAGGTTCTCAGAGGATGTTTGCATTCATCAAGGCCCAGGAATGGTGGGGGTGAGCAGCTGGCAGCATGCTCTCCAACTCCCTGGGTCAGCTCCACAGTGGTGAGTGGGCCCTGGCGGGGAACCTCCAACCCCCACGCCCTCTTCTGAAGGCGGAGGGTGGCACGCTCCTTCCAGCACTCCACCACAGCCACCCAGCTCTCCAAAGAGCACAGCAGGTAAATGCTGGGCGTTGTCCTGGGGCTTCTCGCAAAAGTCGCTCTTGACGATAATGGCTTTAGGAGGCTATGCAACCACACGCCTGGCATCTGAAACATCATCTGAGGCCAGGTGTTGCATCTCTAATTAGGATGGGGATTTTTTTCACCCCACACAGAATTTACATAATTGGGAAGGAGGTTACAACGAGGACCATCCCCACCAATTGTGCGTTTTCCACGGCCTCCTTCCACTTTCCCTTGCACACCTCAAATTTAAGGCAGAAATGAATCGATTTGAATTTTTTGAAATTAATTATCATCATTGCCATGGAAAATGTATCTGCCACTTTCCCTGGGGAGTTGAGAGAGGAGGGGTGATCTCATGTGGAGGAGTGCTGGGAGTGCCACACATCACCCACTGTCCTCTTAAGGAAAAACCTCCACCTCACCCGACCTCACCCAGTGGGTCCTCCAAGCACCTCCCAGTTTGGTCTGAGCATTCTTCAGAATTTTTTTTAGCACCAAAATTAATGCTTTAAAATGTCACTTGCTACAGTAAAATTTATCAACATTATTATATACCATAGAAACTGCCATCCCAGACAAATGCACGACATTAAAATTTGGTCTAGAGCTCCCCAGAGGAAACGTTTGCTGCAATTTGTATAACAGTTTATATATTTATGCTATTTAATGGTACAAAGCAATAATTATGACTTCATTCACTGATAAGCAACGGCATTACATAAATCTGATGCGGATTTAGAACATGCCAGCTCTGACACCAGTGTACTAGTTGTAAATTATGTTGCCGTTAAAAAAAAAAATCCAAGCAAATATGAAGGAGCAGCAGGAAACTAATAATGCATCTCCAGCTGTTCCAGTTAACCTGCAAATGTGGCCATCTGCACCTCGGGAGAAAGAGAAGGGGAGAGAGACGGGGAAGGCGGAGCAGAGAGAAGGGAGAGAAGGAGACAGCCGCCTTCGGGGAAGCACAAAGCCTTCCCCTGACATCGAACCAATGACCTTGCTCCTCGCTGCCAGGCAAGCCGTGCCTGAACCAGGAAAAGTTTCCCAAGAGCGCTGGGTCCATTCTCCACTCCTCTGGCATCCACACCCGGACCCACACTCCTGCCCCTGGCCAGAAAGGTGGCCCCAGTGTCATCCCTCCTTTCCCTGCCTCTCTAGAGACTCATCTTGAACCTTCCAGTTCCTAGTTACTGCAACACTGGTCTGACCAGGCAGCTTCCTCTACAACTTCATTTCTTTCTTTCTCCTTTTCATTTTAACACAGGCCTATCTTGCATTTTTTTTCTTAAGTGGGATGAGTGGTGAAAAAAAGTAGTTATTGTCAGATGTGTGCCCACTTCAGATGGTTCAAAATGGAGCTACAGGGTTCAAAGACTCGAACTATTGAATGAAATGGAAATGCTCAGATGGTGGCAGATCACAGATCTGCATGTGAGGACTTCCACTGGGCTTTGGATTCCTGGGGCCGTGGGGCTCTTGGCTTTGCCTGGTGAATGGGGGGCAGGAGAGATGGTCTCGGGGCCACCAAAGACTGAGGGTGGGAACAGGCAGGAGCTGCAGGCTGGGGGTCTGGGCTGCAACTCAGGCCATGCCCCACCCTGCCTGCACCCCCCAGAGCAGACAAAGGTCCCATCCGGCCTCCAGCCAGATGGCAGGGAAGAGCTCTCACCAGGCAAGTGCATGATTCTGCTTAGGGGCATGGGCTCCCCTGTGAACCTCCCCACATCAGCTGCAGCTCCCTGGGACTGTCCCTGGGCCCAAAGAACGGAGGCACAGCAGACCCATTTCCTCTCCTCTCCTCCAGAGGTTGGCTGACCGAGAAGGTGACAGGTCTGGGACCACACCTCCTTCCCTAGGTAGAAGGGTGCATCTACAGCTTCAGCAACAGCAGCTAACATGGAGCATGGATTGTGTGCTAATGTGCTGAATACTTTACATAAATTCACACATCCGGTCCTTGTAACGTCCTTTTGTGCTGGGAACTACTGTTATTCCCATCTTACAGATAAGGAAACTGAGTCACAGAGAGATTATGTAACTTGCTCAAGATCAACCCAGCCAGTGAACTAACTACATTTCTGAACCGTAAGGCTTAGAAGAATGTTTATATAAGCTACTCTGTACTTTTCAAATATGTTTTGTTTTTTCCTTCTTTTTTTTTTTAGACACAGGTCTCATTCTGCTTCCCAGGCAGGAGTGCAGTGGTGCAATCACCGCTCGCTGCAGCCTCGACCTCACAGACTCAAGCGATCCTCCCACCTCAGCCTCCCAAGTAGCTGGGACCACAGGCACACGCCACCATGCACAGACAATCTTTTTCAATATGGACAGAGTCTTGCTATGTTGTCCAAGCTGGTCTCGAACTCCTGGCCTTAAGCAATCCTCCTACCGTGGCCTTCCAAAGTGCTGGGATTATAGGGATGAGCCACTGAGCCCAGCCTCAAATTGTTTAAACTGCAACCCACAGAAAGAAGCATATACATGATGACCTAGCTGCACATTAATACACATGGAAACCAAAGCAAGTTTCATGGAACCACGTGAGAGCTTACTCAGGAGGATGGATTCTGACATTACCCTTCCCTTTTCCCTTTTCGTCCATTCTCTTCCATTCTGTGTTCTGCTCCGCCCTACTGTTTCCTCTTTCATTTCGTTGGCTGTGGCTGCCTAAGTTGATTTCATGATTTGCTAATGGGTTGCAGCCTGCAATGTGGAAAACACTGCCTATTTCAATTCCCTCATTTTACAGAAGGAAAACTGAGGCTCGGAAAGAGAAGACTGCTTGGCCAAGGCCACACAAGTCTGTGGCCCAGCCAGAACCAAAGCCCAGGCCTCCAGCTCTCTTTCTACAAAACCTGCAGTCAACGCCAACCCTAAGCCTTTCCTGGGCCTACTCAGTGCCCCTTTCTAACCACACTGGGGATAACTGGGTCCTTGGCCATAGCGTGGGGACATCATTTGTGGATAAGGGACAGCCGTGGGAGCAAGGGACAGACAAGGGAATGTAGGTCTCCCCAAAGGGGCTCTCAACTCATGCCAGTAATGATTTTGGGGATGTGGCCGGCCCAACAAGTCTAGCTCTGAGGGCTGCTTGCCAACTGCCCCCAGCCTGCTGGGCAGAGCCCATGTGGTCACACACAGAGAAGGCGAGGCACTGCCTGCCTGGGAGTGACCTCCATCAGGGTGGGCCTCCCTTCGCAGGTACCTAGAGGGCCCCTTTGTGGCTGGGTTTGCAGGAAGCTGCTGGACCGATGAAGAGACAGAGGAGGAAACAGGTGATTCTCACAGGGCCACAGGCAGAATCAGCACCATCTCTCCCCACTCTCCCTTATCATCAGGTCCCAAACAGAAGAGCTATCTCTATGCCCCTTCCAGGTGGGCCCCCCACGGAAGGCCCTCAAGCTGGGACACTGGGAGGGATGTGTGTTCCCACCACCCTCCTTCCCACTCAAACTTCCTATCGTGTTGACAAAATGTTTTTGCAACTAAGAAAACAGCATTTCTTGGCTATTTTAATTTTCACAGATTCAACCTCAGTTCCAACATCCAACGCTCCGCTTTTCTGCCAAAAAGTTTCAAAAGCCTCCATTGGAGATTTTTGCAAGGTGCAAGGAATTGGTTCCTATCAGCATCTCAAAACACAATTCCATCCCCCCTCCCAAAATACACACACATCAGCTTCTTCAAGAGACACATTCTAAGTACCCAGGATACGGTCTTTTTATTTTTATGGTCTAAGCAGAATCAATTCCAAGGACTAGAAAAACAATCCCTCAGTGAGAACCTATTCAGTGACACTCCCAGGAGGTCCCGAGGCCAAACTAGTAGCTCTGTCTCCTTGGCAGCATGGGGGCAAAGGACAAACCAGGCGGGAGGTGGGTCAGACCTGCACCTGCTGCAAAACACGCAGGGTGCATGGAAGCTGGGATCCAGAGAGGAGGATTGCTTAGAAAAGGCCTCCTTTCCTCCCAGGAAGGGTGAGGAGACCCTCGGGGGCACAGCTGAGCCAGAGTGGGTGGGGGCTGGAAGACAAGGAGCTGGAAGGGACACCGAAAACGGGCCCCTCAAGTCTGTGGCTGGGACAAGTGGAACAGCCAGGAAGGCATCTGACATGGATGGAAGTCAAGGTGTTTGGACACCTGGACCAAGAGAGTGGCCTCCCACTTGTACACTGTGCAAGTCCTGTACCATCTTCCAACTCAAATCTGTGGTTCTGTTTTAGGGCCACATGGGTGTGTGTGCATGCACTCATGCGCTTTGTCATTAGTTGCCAACATTTAAAATACAAGAAATTTGTATTAAAATATGGGCTTTTGGCTTCTCTTGAAAACTCAGAACATCTGGACTCTCCCAGATGCAATTGCCTGGGCAGCCATGGAAGGGGTGTGGGCTCTCTGCAGGGTCTGCATAACCCTCACTGTCCCACGTGCAGCTGTTGCACCAACTTATGTTAATGCTTGGCCCCCATAGACACAGAGTTGATGACCCTTGAACTAGGAGACCAGGGTACCAGCTCCCTCTGCCACTGACTCACTGTGTGACCTTGGGCAAGCTCCTGCCCCTTTCTGAGCCTCAGTAAAAACTGTGCAATGAGGAGGGTAGAAATCAACTCTCTTATACTTGATGCCTCCCTGATGCAATTTTAGGCCCCTACAAATAGGGGGTGGGCCAGGAGCAATTTTCCTGGTGAGAAGACAGGGTGGAGGGGGGCAAGGGGCCAGCGCAGCCCCTGCAGCTGTCCCCAAGGATGTGCTGACGCCACTACTCCAGCTTGATATGAATATTGTGTCAGAGATTGGAGATATTAAGAATGACAATGCATTATTACTGCAGAGGGAAATCTCGGGAGTCCTAGAGATAGGATTTCTAAATCCTCAGCCAAAAATCAATAGTAATGCCCAAGAATTTATAAAAGAAGCACGTCAGTCTGCATTTGAGATGACACACTTTCGGTTTCCAGCTAAACCAAAGGGACAAGTGCAAGCGTGTCATTCAGGAAGGGCAAGAAGCAAAAGGCAAAAACCTCACACAGGGTCCTGCCTGGGTGATGGAAGGCAGCTTGTAGGCTCTTGCTCAGAGGCCGGGCCATGATCCCAAAAGGCAAGCAGAGGAACCAGCGGTGCTCCCCAAGGGCCCCCACCCCTCCAGGAGGGGATGGGGATGCAGAAGAGACCCGACCCCACCTGGACCCGCTCTACCCTGGAAACCAGCATTTATGGTGCAAGCAAGAACAAACAGGAGGCCCAGGGCAGAGTCACCAGCAGGGCTATTCTGGGCTGTAAAATGGGTACAGAAAAATGGCCCCAGCTTTCTCCTGGGATGCTGTAAAGATCAAATATTAATTTAAAAAAAATATCAAACAAGCTTTCTGGGGTGTTAAGATTCAACAGAGCACAGACTCTGAAGGCAGAAGGAGCTGGGCTCAAATCTGCATGAAGTCACTGGAAAAATGATAATAATAAGTCTTACCCTACACAGGGATGTTAGAAGGGTTAGAGGTACTACCTGTGCAGTATCTGGCAGAATACTGAGTTCTAATAATTACGACAGTTTCAATATTATGGTCATGATTAAAAATGTAAACATTATAATTTATATATATATATTTCTTTTCTTATATTTTATTTTTTTGAGACAGGCTCTTGGTCTTGCTCTGCCACATAGGCTGGAGTGCAATAATGCAATCATAGCTCACCGAAGCTTTGAAATCCTGGGTTCAAGAGCTCTTCCTGCCTCAGCCTCCCAAGTAACTGGGACTACAGGCATGCACCACCCCCACGGGCTATTTTTTTACTTTTTTGTAAAGGTGAGGTCTTGCTAGGTTGCCCAGGCTGGTCTCAAATGCCTAGGCTCAAGCAATCCTCTTACCTTAGCCTCTCTAAGTGCTGGGATTACAGGCATGTGTCGCCGAGCCTGGCCTATTTTTATTTTTTTTTAGATATGGGGTCTCACTCTGTTGCCCAGGCTGGAGTGCAGTGGCATGATCAATTTTATATGTATTTCTTAATAACAACCACTCTTAGTAGATTAGATGATAATTTTAAGTCTTTTTATGAAATAACGTCTTTCCCTGGCATAGGGCTCCCCTGTTTATAAGATTCTCTCATAACATTTTCATTAGGGTTGCTCAGAAGATGAAGTGAAAGATTCTCCATTAGATGGGGAACTGAAGCCCCCCAAAAGTGATATGACTGAACCAAACAAATTTGCCAAGTTAGCAACAGGAAGAGCAATGCCTCCAGCCCAACACAGTCCCGCCTTGGAGGCAGAGGGGACTCCCAACTGCCCCTCCAGTGCCCATTCCTTTGCTGGGCTTCATGGTCCCCCCACAACAATGATATCTTTTCTCTCCTGACACTGGCACTGGGCAGACTTAGAACAGGATGCATCCATGCTGGAGAGCCCCAGAGTCAAGCTTATCCAGCTCCCAACTTTACAGACCCCACACCTGAGGCCACAGCTCCAACTCCACATTCAAACCAGGAGTTTGAAGCATGCCTAAGGACTTCCTCCCTTCCCCAATCCTAGATCCTCAGGTAGTAACGCCGGGCATAGCAGCCCAGGGAGCAAGTGCACTAAGAATGAGCATTCTACCTCTACCCATTTGCCATAGCTCGGAGGCAAGACCCACACCACCTTCACAGCCCACCTTGGTGACCACACCTTGACCCAGGCCCCCAAATCCCAACTACCTCCTAAACAATCTGGCCGAACATCCTCTCCCTACTTTGTCCAGTCTAAACCATTTCAACAGGGTGCTCTAAATGCCAAGAATCGACTGGGCAGTGGGTGGTGAGCACCCAGGGTGTCTCCAGGACCAGTTGTTCTGAAAATGCCAACTCAATGTTCTCCATTTGTTTTCAGGGACTCATTACATTAATAGGCCCCTATGGTATCACTTTGGCTATTATAAATGGTGGTTCTTCTGCTTGACTGTGAGCTCTCTGATCTCCCTGAATTATTTTCAGTTGGCTTTTCTGATATGGAATCATTATATGATTATTGTAGGAAATTTGCAAAATACAAAAACAGATAAAGATCGCCCTTAATTCTACCCCTGTTAGAAACCCACTGTCAAGATTTTGGTCTGTTTCCCTCTGAAGATATAAATCTTACACGAGACCTTCAGGACAAAAGCACCTGGCACAGTGCCTGGTACACAGCTGGTGCTCGACACATGTAGCTTGAAGAAATCTGTAAGAACAATCAAAGAATGAGTGAATTTGGATGTAAAGTGCTTTAAAACAGCACTTTAAAATTAAGAGCTTGGTCAAGATGGAAACTGGGATGTAGACAACTCACCAAGGAGTATCATTTTCTTCTGTATTTCATGGGTTCATTTCATAATTAAATGTTAAAAAAAAATTAAGAGACCTCATGGACACATATTAAACACACCTACATCAAAAACTAGGATTTTTCCCCCTAAAACAAAAATAAAAACAAAATACACTGGTCATTCCTTAATGATCCTTAATGCCTATGTCAGTAGGTCCCTCCCACTCCAAAATCCTAGCCCTTGCCACAAGGAAGAAGCTGGGAAGGAACCTCTCCAGTCTATACCTGGAGCACCAGTAATTCAGTTCAGGCTGTGCAGGGTGGCATCCAGCCTACAGGCATCACTCAATAAACAGAGGCAACATTTACTGAGCCCTTACCATGCCAGGCACTGTGCTAAGCACTTTGTGTGTAGTATCTTATTTAATTTTGACAATGAGCTTCTGTTGTCCTCTGCTATTTTTTCCCATTTTGTAGACGAAAGGGTTAACACACGGGTTAAGTAGCTTTCCTAGGACATAATGCTAGTAAGTGTTGAAGGTAGGACATTAATTCAAGAAATCTGACTGCAGAATCCTTGCTTTTGATCCATACACTATAATGTCTCATGGATTATGAACAGATAGATGGATAGATGGTGGATGGGTAGATGGACATCTGGCAGGTGAATGTAACCATGGACAGGTGGATGGTAGATGGTAGATGGAAGAATGAATGAGTGGGCGGATGGAAGGATAAGTGTATGGGTGAATAAATAAATGGATGGAGGGATGGTGCATGGATGGATGGACAGATGAAATGAAGAGGTTGGTGAGATGGAGAGATGGATGTGTGGATGGATGGATTGATGGGATGAGGAGGTTGAAAGGATGGATAGATGGATGGGTGGATGTCAGGTGGATAATAGTCATGTGTCAGTCCAGATCTGCCTCCTTTCCTTAACCCAATGCCTCAGCACTGGAGCACACACAAGAAGATGATCCACAAGGCTGCTCCCATCAAAACTACAATAACATGAGAACCACAGACCTGCTTCCCTCCCATTGTACCTAGGAATTATTTCCACTCAACCCATCAAAGGGCTGAGTTTTCAAGCCCACAAGATCACTGGTCTCTTCCGACCTTCGGAGCTTTCCAACTGTGGACAGTAGAGAATTTAAAGGGCATCAGGTAAAGGCAAGCCACATACAGAAAGAGGCAGTCCATGCAGCTTGCCCAAAATACCTGCTCTCATGCTGAAGACTGACTTTGGTTTTGTTCACTTCCAAACATTCCCTGTGGCTCTCATCACTCTTCAAGTCAGAGCAGAAGTGCCCCCTCTTCTCCAAAGCCCTCCCTCTCACCCTAGGCAGAATCAGATGCCCCTTCTCAGAGCTCCCATACAGATTTTTCTATCCCAGCGTCTCTCACATTGATTTGCTAGCTGTCCTCTCCCATGGGACTATTCACGTGAGAGCGGAGATTTCTGCCCTATCAACTCGGAGGCCCCCACAGCCCCCAGTTCAGTACTTTGCACAGAGAGGAACTCAATAAATATGTGTGGAATTGATTCCAACATCCCAAACTGAGACCTCCACAGACTCTGCAGCCTCCCCCTACCCCTCTTGGCCACAAGTAAACAAGAGTTCAGCCACTGGGCTGCGGAATTTAGCCACCTGCAGTTACTTCTTTATCCACAAGAGAGCACAGTGTCTTGAAGCTCAGCACAAATTCTTTTGTAAATGCCTCGTGTACTTATAGAACACTGTATAACTCAAAAATTATAATTAAAATGTCTTAGCTCCTGTATTTATAGTAACATTTAAACTACTGTGCTTTCTTGAAGTCAGTCATTTACTTGAGAACAGCACACTTTACGGTGAACAGATCTTTGAAACAGTACCACGGGGATCTAGCCCAGGCACATGTAACTCAATATATGTCAACAGCTGTAAAAATATTGGTGGGAGAAGGCAGGAAAAAAACTATGAGCCCAGATCAAGTGCCCTGTCTCTCATATCTGACTGTTTTCAGCTGCTCCCTCCTCTTCCAAATAATTGGGCCATTTTGGTGCCCGCTGTCACACAAGGCGGGCCCTCTTTGAGGCTGGATGATCAAAAAGGTTATAAATGAAAATGATTTCGATGTTGGCGGCCTAGAGAGTGACCAGGGCGTGCAGGGCGGCAGAGGGGCTGTTCTAATCTTACCAACTGCACGCCGCCATCGGAGAGTATTCCTAGGGCGCGAGCAGCTCCCCAGGGTGAGGCCACGGTAAATTCTGCCTAATCCCTTCTGCATACAAATGAGCGCCTGGCAGGAGGAGGGAGGGGGGCAGACGCCGCAGCCCCTGCCCGCTCCTCCTCCCCGGGTTGGCTGTCTTGGCTGAACAAACAAGCCAGCGACAGTGGAGAGGGCTGCAGCCTGGGTGGAATGAGAAGGAGGAACTCCCGGGGCCACCAGGGCTAGGGGAATTACATGAGGGGATCCTAGGAGCAGGTGGCCCTGGGGCAGTGTTCTGACCCTCTGACCCCAGGGGGTGGTGGTGGGGACACGGGTGCTTGGGTGGAAAACGATGGCATGGCTGCAGGCCCCTGATATTGGCCCAGGTGAGAGAATGAAATGGCAGCAGAAGCAGCCTCTGGGCTGGGGCTGGAGGAGCTGCCAGGTGATGGGGCGGTTTGGGTGGGAATCTGTCCTTCTGAAGGCACAGCACTGAGTTCACAAAGATGCAGAAACTCATCTCCCATGAAGGCCTCAAGGATGGTAGAAGGCCTCCTCCCACCCACAGGATGAGCACGCAGGAGGCCCAGGAAAGGCCAGGAGGAAGAGCCTCCATCCTGAGCCCCCTTGGTTCCAGCCCTGCAAGGAAGTGATCAATTCAATTCTGGCAGCCAGATCTAGAGAAGGAGTCTGGGCCTGGGCACCTGGGGCCCCCAAAGCCAGAGAGGGCTGGCTCCAGAGGGGCTGAGCCTCAAACAGGGAAACAGCCCACAGAGGGGAAAAGACGAGGGTCCCACCACAGAGAGAGCCAACAGACAGCCGGACTGGAGCTACACAGTGTCATCCTGCAGTGCTGGAGGTTTCTGAAGCCAGTTTTGCTTGCAGAAAAACAGAGGCAAGGACTGTTTTTGAGATCAATTCTGAACCTGGTGGTTAACTCTCCAGGGCAGGCGTTCATAACTTGGACCTGTGGATGGAGCTTGTGGGGCCCCAGACCCCAGCAATGGTGGGCAGATTTCACAGGTGCACTGCATTTGATTGTCACAATCTCTGCACAGGGCTAAGGAGTGACTTAAATGAGTTAAATAAAGGATGCACAGCACTTAAACTCTGCTTGGCACACAAGCACCCCAGGAGCATTAGCTAGTATTAAGATGTTTACTTGTTGGGGGCAAGGAGAGAAAGTTCCATGGCATGAAAAAGGTGAGTTGCCCTGGCAAAGATCCTGGCCCCAGCCCTGGGTCACTTCCCAACTTGAAAGTGATGCAGGATAAGAGGAGTAGGCCCAGAAGTGGCTGTAGGGGCCCTCCCCAGTGTGCAGGAGAAATCATGTCCTTTGCTAAGTAATGGACCCATCAAGAGGCCCAGGTACCTGCACAGATATGCAAATCCACACAGCTCAAAAGCTAGCATCAGCCCAATTCTGCTAAGGGATCCACACACACCCACACACACGCACACACTTGTACATGCACACACATCCCACGTCCACATCTTCCATGAAATCAGCAGGAATTGCACATTTTGAGGACCCAATTAAGCTCAGTGTGTATTTGACAACCTTTCAACCTCCAGAAGACATTTATTTTTACAACACTCTCCAGCTGAGAAATTACTAGGTTTCTGCCCTTTCCTGAATAGTCTTGGCATTGGGAAGCACCAAGGTGTACCTGGAAGCGAGCGGGGTTTTGGGGGGGTCCCACCTGGAGGGGCCCAGCAATGACATCAGAACCACTCAGTAAGGGGGTCTCAGAGGCAGGGATGTCCGAGGTGGGGGCAAGTCCTGAGCTCCTTAGGGGCCACAGGGGCTTCCCTCAACCTTGGACATCCCTGGCCCAGGCTTGCCCCAGGCATGGCCTGAGTCAGCTGCCCCTTCCACCTTCTCACCATCCCCTGGACTCCTAAACACCACTCTGAAAGGCAGTTGTATGTCTGGGGTGGGGAGTACTCTCCATCTCATGGACAGAGAAAGCGAGTCCCAGAGAGGTCTACTGACTTATCTGTGGCTTGGCCACACAAAAGGGGCAAAGCCCTGGGATATTGCCACTTCCCGCTTTGTACTTTCCTACTCAGTACCAAAGGGGGTCAGGGAACAGGGTACAGTACGGGAAATAAAAAGAAAAACAGAAAAGCAAAGCCTTCTCTGCTAATGAGGTATGGTGGGCTGGAGCATCAGCATGGGGCCAGATGGCGAGAGATTTCCCCTAATCTTTCTAGGAGGCCCCAGGGAACATCCTCACCAGTCTCCATCCATCCCTGATGAAATTCCTCCAACTCTCTCCTGCTGCAGAATGAGTGGTTGGACCCAAACCTATCTCAACATCACTGACTTATCTCTGCCCCAAGAGGATGAATCTTCCCCCACTGAAAAGACCAGGACTTAATATCCTTGTCAAGGAAGAAGAGTTGATGACAACATGTTTTCCTGTGGGCGGTCTGCTCCTGATTCCTGGCTCTTTGGACCTTCGCCAAGCTCCATCTTTTGTGCATTTGAACCAAGGTCTACTGTCTACATCAGTATCATCAGGACATTGCTGGCCAATGTACCCAGATGCTAGAATTTCATGGGTATTTCATAGCAGGGTCCCATATTCACTAACATTTTCAAACAAAGATGAGTAAACTGAAGGCACGATCCCAGTCAAGAAAGCCCACAGATGTCCTCCCAAGAGAGGTGCAAACGGTACCACTGCTTGTAGATTTACCCAGCACACATCTATGATTTCAATGTTAGTCTCTCTTTGGTCTTTGGCTGTCTAAATGTCATGGTGACTTTGCCAGGGCAAAAGGTGTGCCCAGAAAATTGCCACCCTGTCACAGTAGCCTGAGAGCAGGGTACCGAGTAG
The DNA here is from genome assembly GCF_000001405.40 of Homo sapiens. NCBI lineage: Eukaryota > Metazoa > Chordata > Mammalia > Primates > Hominidae > Homo > Homo sapiens. The sequence continues at coordinate 49,560,051 of NC_000016.10, forward strand.
AACATATGCTCTGTATGGCTTTGTTTGCACCTCTGATTCTGCTATCTCACAAGCAGCAGGTTGGCGATTAACAAAATAGCAATAGCATCGAAGCCGGTGACAACTGCCATCATCACGGCAGTGACGACAGCTGTCACCAGGAGCCAGTGAGCCTGCTCCTTCCCACCCCCAGAGTCCCCAAATAGGCAGGAGCTCTGAGCATTTTAGGGAAACTTGGCCAATCATTTCCGTGAATCTTTACTGCCTGGACAGATTAAACCCAGGCCCCAAGTGGCTCTCCCAGTTGACAATTTTTCTTTCAAAAAGGCCGAAGTTGCTGTGAGCCAAGTTCTTGCAGCCGAATTCCTGGACACAGTTTCCAACAATTCCAATCAGCCAGCTCTGCGGTTGGGCTGGGATTTCAAGCTTGCCACAGTATGAAGTCCAGTTTGGGCTATATTCCCTTCCCTCTCGCAGCATGATGAAGGTTTCCCCGCAAAATCAAAAGGCTTACTGTCAAGTTTTCGATTGGTCTGGGCTTCGTGCTATCGTGTGTGGTGTGGGAAGGAATATGAATGTGGTGCCGGCTCTACCATGGGGCCTTGAGGCCTCGTCCAAGCCATCCAGGGACCTTATGAAAGTGGAACGGAACTCTTTTCATGTATATTCCAACTGCTGAAATTCCCCAGACACGCCACAGTGTGCAAACTCGGTGTAAAAAGAACAATGGCTGGATAAAAACCGAGGCGAGTCGGCCGAGTACGCTGAAGACAAGCCAGTGTTGCTAATGCAAGGGAAGCCAAGCCTGGATTCTCCCCCTCCTTCTTCACCTCTTCTTTTCTTCTTTTCTTTTTTCCTTTAGCACGTGGAACTTAATGAAAATAAAGTCACCGTGTTTCCAGGGCAGGAGGCTGCTCTTTACTTGAATAAAATGTACATGCAAATTCACTAAAGGAGGCTGGCACTTGGGAAAACACAGAGATGATACTCAGGGCTCAAACTGATGGATAGCATTTATGTCTCCTTTCTTTTTTTCTTAAACCATAGAGATAATATGTGTCTGTCTATATGCACGTACATGTGCACATATAAAACAGGGCTGTGCTAGAGCCAGTTCATACTGACTCCTGAGAGCCAACTGTGCGTTTCTCTTCCCAACTCCAGATTCAGCGAAATGATATTGGTAGACTGAAATTGGCCCACAGTGGGAGTATTTACACCACAGAAATCGGCAAAGGCTACAAAATCAAAATTCTGTTTTTTATCGGACAGTGAGTTATTAAATATTTACCAACTATATTGTAACTACATCTACTTTACTGGGGGTATGTGTGTATATAGATGTATAGAGGCATATATAGATATATACACATATATATTACATATATGCACCAGATACACAGAATACAGATGACATGCACGTACTTTTAACCTTTGTATACTCCCCTTAATCCATAACCTCTCTTTATTCTTCGAAAGCAATATGAAAACCATGGATCTAAGTGAATCTGTATGCTTTTATCATAAAAAAGCATGAAAAACCAATCTGCTCTTCCAAAATATAAAAGCAATCACTAAATTGATTCCTTTTTTTGCCAGGCATTAACTTTCTCCTATTACTGCAAATTTGCTGCACTTGTATTTTCTTCCAGCCCCAGAATTAAACACACTTCTAATTTCTCACTTCAGGTGCATTAAGTGCGGTATAGGGCACAAATGAATAATTTTATTGATAATAAATTTTATAATCCATGCAGCACTTGCTGAAAAATGGATGTGTTCTGGATGCATTCTTTATTTCTCCTAATTTGAAGACGCCAGGATTGCGGTCGCCCTGCTCACTGAGCCTTTGGTAATTGCTGGCTATTTTCTACTGCTTTGAGGGCTGATTGACAATTCAGGCACGTGCTCTGCTTTACGGGGATAAATTACAATAACCAGTTTATCAGATTATTATTTTTATTAATTTAAGAGACTAGACAACAGTAGTGAGTGGCTTCTGTCTCCTGCAGACAGAATTTATCCTACTAGTTTAATGGTGCTGTGAGAAGCTGTAGACATAATATCTCACAAAAGGTAACATCCCTATATAGTCTCCCCAAATCACGCAAATAAAACATCAATAGGAAGAAACCATTATGGGAGAGTGGTCTGACTGCAGTTGAGAAGGGAGAAGCAGAGAAAAACACCAAAGAATTAGCTGGTTCTGAGCTTGCTTGGAAAGGATAATGGTTAGGACATCAGACAGGTCTCAGTCCCAGCCAGCTGAACTGGATCCGTGTGAGTCTTAAACAAATTAACTCTCTGACCCTTTATCATCATCTGTAAAATGGAGGCAAAATAACATCTGTCTCTTAGGACACAGGAGGATGGATGAGATCATGTAGGTAAAGTGCTTGGCGCAGTGCCTGGCCTGATACACACCCGATGGGTGGCAGCTGTTAACTGTTCTTGGGAGTCTATACTGAAGAAGCCAGGAAAGTATTTGTATCAGGTGAGAACCAACAAAAAAGTACAGTCTGGAAACTAGATCCACAAAAAGTTGTCTATGATTGATTGTAATGGGTGAGTTCCCCATCATGGGAGGCATTCAAGGAAAGCTGGGCATTTGTGGAAGAGATTCATGAACGGATTCTAGAATCAGACCAGATGATTTGAGGTTCTAGGATTCTTGTCAAACTATTCAAGATTATGGAAGAATTTGTCCAAATAGCCAACGTTCATTGGGTACTTAAATGCCCAGCATAGCTGTAAGCATTTTTTTTTTTGAGATGGAGTCTTGCTCTGTCGTCAGGCTGGAGTGCAGTGGCACAACCTCGGCTCACTGCAACCTCCACCTCCTGGGTTCAAGCGATTCTCCTGCCTCAGCCTCCCGAGTAGTTGGGACTACAGGCACGAAACGAGCCACCAAGCCCAGCTAATTTTTTTGCATTTTTAGTAGAGATGGGGTTTCACCATGTGGCCAGGATGGTCTTGATCTCCTGACCTCATGATCCACCCACCTTGGCCTCCCAAAGTGCTGGAATTACAGGCATGAGCCACCGCGCCCACACAGCCAGCTGTACGCATTTTACATGTCACTATAGTTTGGATGTTTGACCTCTCTAAATCTCATGTTCAAATCTAATCCCCAGTGTGGTCGTGTTGGGAGCTGGGATCCAGTGGGAGGTGTTTGGATCACAGGGGAAGGAGCGTGAGTGAGTTCTTGTTCTGTTAGTTCCCATAGAGCTGATTGTTAAAAACAGCCTGGCACCTCCCCCCTCCCTCTTGCTCCCTCTCTTGTCACATGACCTCTGCACATGCTAGCTCTCTTCCCTCTTATCCTATGAGTGGAAGCAGCCTGAGGCCCTCCCCAGATGCTGGTGCCATGCTTCTTCTACAGCCTGTAGAACTGGGAGCCAAATAAACCTCTTTATAAATCACCCAGCCTCGGGTATTCCTTCACAGCAACACACAAGGTCTAAGACAAACGATATCTCACTTAATCTTCACAACAACTCTCTGAGAGAGATGCTGTCATTATCTTGATTTTATAGTCAAGGAAAGTGGGGCAGCCTGTCCAAAGTCATAGAGCCAGGAAGGGGCAGAGCCCAGACTCAAACCAAGGTGGTCTGCCTCCCAGAGCCACGTCTTTGGCCTCTAGGCCTGTCGGCACCATCCCAACCACACCCTTGGACCAGGCCAATGGCATCCACCTGCACCTCTCCCTCACCCCCTGAGACCCCTCCCCATGGCCTGCTACTGAAACATACACATCCCACTGGTATGGCCAGCTCAGGAATCCAAGAAAACATCTGTGACCTGATTGCTCATCAGGCAAGAAACCACGAGAATTCCATGTCTGCTCAAGAGCCTCCAATCATGCCACCAATGGGCAGAGCTTATTTCCCACCATCTGATGGGCCAAGGTCATGCACAGCAGCTTTGGAAGCCAGGCCTCTTCCCAACATAAGACTGCCACAGTTGATGTGTGATACCAGCAGGCTCTTTGCCTAGGTTTGTGTTTCCTTGATGACCAACTGCACCTGATGCTTAGAGCCACATCTGCAGCTGATGGACTGCACAGTAGCCTGCCCAATGGCCTGCCCGAGTGAGGACACAGCAAATTGTTAAATGGATAGATTTGCTATAGATGTACCACAAACGCCACTGCCACTGAATTATGGCCATATATTGTACTATTTATAATCGCAATGTAGTTAAGTTGGATTTATTCCTTTTTTCAGCAAAGACTCACCTGACCCTTAAAACAGGAAGTATTTTGCTTATTGCAAAAATAAGTACATATCAAAAAAAAAAGAATATTTCCAGATCTCTCTTTTGGCATGCTGGCTAAGGATGGGGGTGTGCTAGATATGCTCTCAAGTAGCATCTGTGACAATGGGAAGGAACCCCTTCTGTGGCCTTGAGTCAGACTCAGGGGCCAGGACCCAATCCCTGCCAAGAGCCTTTCTCAACACAAGAGAAGACATCCCTTAAACATATGAAATCAAAACAGCCCCCATGTTGTAGCCAGGGGAAAGCGAAGGACAGCTGGCAGCAGGTGGCTCTACAGAGAAATTTCCCAGGACAAAAGTAGATCTGTGCAGCTCCCCAGATCCAAGAATCACCCTACCATTTCAGCCAGGGGGGCCTGAGCATGGTGTGGTGGCACTGAGCTCCTGGAGCCTTTGGAAGTAGTGTGGAAACACCCAGATGTCCTTATTCACCCAACTCCCAAGACAGATGCCTGGAGCAAGGCACAAGGAGGGGGTGCTGTGCCCAGCCCTTGGTCCCCCGCCAGCAACAGCCTGTTTGTTCCCTGGCCCCAGAAATCACAGCTCTGTACAAAGTTCCTGGTCTGGGCAGGACACCTCCACCAATCTCCTCCTCGTCCTCATCTTCTAAATTCCCGGCATTCCACGGGTCCCTCTCCCCACTCTCCTGATTAACAGCCGGCCACCTCATTTAGAAAGCTAACTTTTCTCAGAGTTCCATCCTGTTCTTGAGGTTTCGGTTGGAAACTTGGCCTAGATGACAGCTGTGTGGGCCTCTCCCCAGCTCGACCCAGCAGGAGTTCTAATACACTTCATTCTGGGGCTGGTTGCTGCTTTTAATCTATCAGCACGGCGCCGCAGCTGCTGTAAGCTAGCTGAAAATTGTCTGCATACGGGCGAACCATTTGTAACCCTTTTCAGTGCAAACCCACACTTCGGCAGAAATGCACTGTCCAGCTCTCCCACACCTACGAAACACGTGGGCCCAGAGTGGCCAAGATCTTCCCTTAAACCAAGAGGTTCCCCACCCGAACAACCAGGAAACTTTCAAAAAGCCTGAATACATTATTGGCTTGGAAATTTCACTCTCCTGACCCAACTTCTCATCCCAAGGAAAGCCAAAAGGCTTCTTCAAAAGCTCAAGCCTGAGCGCCAGAGCACCATCGGCCCCTCTCACTAGGGCTCTGCCCAGGACTCCTCTGCCACTTCCCTTTGATTCTCAGTAAGAGAAAGGGGCTTTTCTCCCCTAAGGAAGCAGGCTCAGCTTTGTGGAAGCCCTCCCACGTGCTGCCCACCCTCAGAACCAACGAGGACCTGGCTCAAGGCAACACCACCTGATTCTCAAATCTGCTGGTGCCATCAACTCAAAGGGTCTCTAGTCGATCTACTCAGCAACATCAGACCCATCGGGGCTCCGTGAACAGGGGAGGGCAGGAGTTGAAATGCTTGCCAAATATTAATAGTTACAGTTCTTACACAACAGCCAGTACCCTTCAGGCATCCAACACAATTTTAGATGTCAATAGGGAAAGAGAGAAAGGAAGAAAAGTAGGAAAATAAAATGGAAAAGATAAGGATGGAAGGAGAGAATGGAGAGGAGAGGGGGAGGGTTAAGAAAGGGAGAGGAAGGGAGGGGAGAGAAAGGGAGGGGAGGGGTGATAGGAACAAGGTGGGTGCTCCCATCAGAAAGCACCATCTATCCATCCATCAATCTATCCTTCCTTCCTTCCTTCCATCCATCCTTAACCTGTCTTTGCAAACCCCCTGGTGGTCAGTGGTAGGAGGCCTGGTCTAACCCCACTTCCAGTGGAGACATTCAGAGGAGAAGTTGACTCCTTACCCCCAGACTTCCATCACCAGCGGAGGAGACAGGCTTCCTGGCTTCTCCACCTGCTACAGAGGCCCCCAAACAGCACTCATAGCCACCTCTGCTGCCCAGTGGGGAGAGAGGCCTGGAGAGGGTCCTTCCTCTTCTACCACTCAAAGAAGGCCCATGGCTCCTCCCAACCTGGCTCACTGGTCATTAGATTTCTCTGCTTACAGAGCAGCACCCATAAAAGTCTGGGTCACCCAACTGGGGCAGGACTCACACCCTGCTCCTGGAGCAGATGGGTGCAGCCTGCCTAGACTCTCACCCCACCTGCAGCCCAGCCCCAGCACTGGCTGGGAGAGGAGGGGCTATGAAAGACTCCATGGCCCAAAGAAAAGAAGGGCTGCAGGAGGCCTCTGGGGAGGGATGTGGAGCTGTGTGGTGGGGGAGGCCACCTCCCAAAATGAGTCCAACTAAAAAATCCAGTCTTCCCTCAGAATTGATACGGCAGCAGCTGTATCTCTTTCATTTGAGTAATTATCATATAATTAAGTGCATGAATTACAAGAGAGCCAAGGCATTAAATTAAAATATTTAATGCTTGTAAATCTGAAAATGATTACTGTGCTGATGCGCAGCCAGTGAGAAGGGAGACTAATGGCTTGGCGGGCAGCGCGGGGAGGTGGTGGCAGCCTCGAGCTTCACCCCAGAAGTTAGAGAAGGGGAGGGGAAGAGGGTGTCAGGGAATTTTGGGGAGGGGGTCAGCAGCAACCTTGAGACAGGGTAGCCTGAGCAGAAAACTCACAGCTGATTCTCTGAGTAGGGAGAGCCATTTGTCCTAAAATGAGAGCCATGTGTTCCTAAGCTGCCAGCAACAATAGCACAGAAGAGGGGTAAGACGGGGTCCTCTCACTGGGACTCTCATTGGGACAGAAAGGAATGGGCCCAAATTGATGACATCACTCGCGAATTAAGTTTTACCCCTCACAAAGTGTTCATGTTCCTGTGTGGACAAATAAGGAATTCAAGGCACAGAAAGGAACAGAGACTTGCCAAAGATCACAAGGCAAGTTGCAAGCAGGGCTGAGGCTAGGACTAGGGACTCTGACAAACTGAACCTCCCCACCTGTGAAGCTGTGATGAGCTAGCTCACCCAGCTTTAGCTGGCTTTGATGTGACCCAGGATGGCATTAGCTGATCCTTTCATTTCCCAAGCCAACCTCTCTCCCTCTCAGGACAAAAGGGAGATACAAAGCTGCCACTGCGATGCTCCCATGATGCTGACGCACAGCTCCACAATGTGGAAACAGGGGTGAGCTTTGGGTTTCTGTCCAGAAAACACTATGCGCTGCCCAGATAGAATCAGGCTAGACAGACCCCAGAAGGGTTCAAAAGAAAAAGGTCTCCCAGTCAGACCCAGCCCTGCCATCTCGGTCGCCGTTCATGCTGGCCAACCAGGAATCGGACAACAAGCGGCCTTAACAAAAGCTCCCATTCCCACCCTGAAATGCACTCACCAGGGAAAAGGGAAGGCATTGAAAAGAGCCCAGCCCCAGTAGGGAGGATGCAAATAGCCGTCCAGTGCAGGTGCAAGGAAATTAGGTGCATGAGATGTCAAGAGAGGCTAGGGCCTCCTCTGCCCATGTGGCCTCCACCAGGTGTGGCCATTCCTTGGCCCAGAAGACCCTCCCTTCCCATGGACCCAGCCCTCTCTGATGGCCAGCTCCTGACATTCCACTTGACAGGGTGGACCCAGCTCTAAGTACTCATTCCACTCATTCCTGGAGGGGAGAGCCGGCCTATACTCCTCCGGAAGTGGACCTTGTTTTTATTCCCGCCAGCATCCATTCTCCCTCCTTTTGGGAACAATGACCCAAGAGTCTTTTGGGGAACCACCATCAGAGAATAATGGCACTCCTGAATCATAGGTGAGCATGTGATTCAGGCCTGGCCAATTAGTGTATTCCATGTCTCTGGATAAAGAGACTGGGTCAGGGATGAGCATGTGACTAAGGCCTGGCCAATGAGTGTATGCCATGCCTCTGGATAAAGTGATTGGTTAAAAGATGAACATGTGACCAGGCCTGGCCAATCAGAGCCAATTGTAAGAATTTTCTGGTATTATGGAGGTTAAAGGACTCTCCTGTCATGGAACACCATGGAACTGCCAGCTAAGGGGGTAGGATGTGGGCCTGGAGGGGCTGGTGGCCATTTTCCGTACCATACTGCAAGGGTTTTGGCAGAGAGGGAGGCTAATAGAGAAAAGGAGGACCAACAGCTGGAGACACAGAGGGCAGGGCTGGGCCTGTTGCACCTTAAGAAGCCCTAGTTTCAGCAGCAGTGAGCCCTTCCCCTTGTTCCCTAGACCAGCTGGAGGCAGGGTTCCAGCTCTTGCAACTCAAAAAACCTCTGACAAGGCATACAAGGTATGTATGCCTCCTAAATCTTCAGTGCCTCCCATGGAGGGCTTTTGTCCCTTTTTGTCCCTCTGTCTGTCTCCCTTCCTGCCTCCGCCTGCTCTCCTGCCCCACAGTATTAGTACATCGATGGTCTGAACAAATGAATGAATGAATGACAAATGCTGTCTGCGCAAGCCTTTGGGTCCAGTGAGGGCTCCCCAATCTCTCCCACACCCATTCCTATTCACTAAAATTCACAGCCCACCCAAATCTGTGGAATAGCTGGTGTTGGATGTCACTCTGCTTGAGCCACTGTTGGCTGCAGGCCTCTTGTCCCAGCACACACGGGGAGCTCCTTGAATGCAGGAACCTTCTCACATCCTCCTCGTCTGCTCCCCAAAGCTGGTCCCAGGGCCTTCCCACCGCCAGACCTTTAACTCTTCATGTCTCTACTGTGTGAAATGACTCCATCCCTCCTTCAGGAGTCAGATTAGACCCCACCAGCCCCTTCTAGTAAGGTTTCCCAGAACAACATCCCTCCGAGGAAAACCCCCGCCTCTAAAGAACTCTAGCACCTACTGCGCATGCCACTGGTGACCAATCCTGTTTTCTCCACAATCTACCCTCTCCTTTCCACCTCTGCTACCAGCATCCTTCTTCAGGCCGCTATCTTTTCCCTCCTGGATGACAAAATCCTTCTAACCAGTTTCCCCCCTTCCAGGGAGGATGAGCCTGTCCTATCACCTCACTCAACCCAGAATGAGCTTTTCATGGACTCCTGGAGAAGGCAATTCCTAAGGGTCAGAATGCCCCATGGGGGTCAACATACGAATCCTCCAAGACTTCTGGATAATCCACTGAGACTGCAGATATGAAAGTCTGCACAGAGCAGATGCCCAGTTAGGGTCAGGGTTGGGAGGTGTGTTTTCCTGAGTGGCAGCATGGCAGAGTGAAAAGAGAGCCGTTTTGGGGTCCCATAGGCTTGGGTACAAATCCTAGCCCTGTAACGTCCTGGCTGCCTATATGGCCTCAGCTAGATTACTTTAAGAGCCTCAGTTTCCTCCTCTGGATGATGAAAGTAACAGCAGGCTTGTTGCAACAGCCATGGAGAATGGATGTTAAGCACCTCCTCTGGGCCTTCCACTGTCACATGGTAGGCACTTGATAAATGGGCACTGCTATTAGTCTGGGGCTGGTTGTGTGGTGTATCCCTAGCCTAAGTAGTGGAGTGCCCGTGGAAAAAAAGACTGGCAGCTTAAACGGGCCATTCTTTAAATAAATGAATAACAAAATTGACATGTATTGGGAGTTTTACTATGTGTCAGGCACTGTAAGTGCTTTCCATTTGTTAAATTCATTTAATCCTCACAGCAGCCTAGGAGGTCAGTAATAATTAGTGATATCCCATTTTACAGAGGAGGAAATTGATGTGGCAGGGGCGTAAGCAACTTGCCCAGGGAATTCAGAGCTGCTAAAGGAGGTGCTGAACTAGCACTTGAAGCCATCTGAGGTCTGCATTCTGACCCTCCTCACCTATGGAGCCTGCCTGCTCTGAGCTATGGACTATGGCTGTTAAACAAAATGAAATAGGAGAGTCCTTATCCCTGCTCCCAGAAACTCACAAATGACACTGGCACACTCGTGAGATGCATTTGGTAGAAAAAGGACTTCTAATCTGGCTCTGACTGACGGAGCATAAATCATCCAGCCTCAATGCACCCCCATGCCATCGTGACCCTTTAGTGAAGGCCTGCTTTGTGCATGGAACTGTAACAGGCAGGCTCTTTCTTTCATTATCTCATTGAACTCTCATGGCAACCATGTGAGATGGGTGTTACCATCCCCATTTTACAGATAAGAAGGCTGAGGCTCAGAGAGGTTAATTGCACCATGGCCACAGAGCACCACAGAGCTAAAAATTAAAGCCCATAATGGTTCCAATAAATCAAGCTATCTTCATTTATATGGTGAGTTGGGGGGTATTTATTTAATTCTTTTTCTTCCTCTCCCTCATTTTTAGCTCGTAGGGAGTCAAGAGAGGTGCCTCCTAATGAAGAATGAAACAGTTTGCTATAATTTGCTCCAAAACAGTATGCTTAATTACCACAACCTCTTCCCCAACCAAACCACTTAATTGAATTCAGATAGCATGTTTGATGTTATATATAATATTTGGCAACTTGGCCCTCTTTGGGGAGTGTATTGATTGAGGAGGAAAACAGATGTTCTGGAAGATGTTTCCAGATCATAGCTGGACCAGACGGCTCTGGAGTTTAAAAGATTACAGAAGTGCAAAGAGAGTCGTGATACCAGGGGCCAGAGGCCAGGGCAGCCTCCATCCCATCACTCACCAGAAGGCCACCCCCAGCACAAGTGTGTCAGCAGAGGTCTCTAGGGCCCCATTGCCACCCTCCTCCAGGTCCTGCCCGTGTGCTGGGGTAGAGCAGGCAGGAGGGTCAAAGGCATGGCCATGCATGGCCTCCTGAGCTAACAGGAAAAGAGCAGGAGGGCTGGATGGACAGACAGATAGTATCCCTGGTCTGGAGAAGGCCTAACTGGAAGAGTCATTGGCCAGGCTTTTCCAACAAGGTGCTGAGCCTTCTTGATTTGCTTGGGTTTTTTGGTTTATCCAACAAGAATTTGCTAGGCATCTATAGTGTGCCGTCCATTTATTCATTCAATAAATATCTACTAAGCACCTACCTTGTATCTTTTTTTTTAATCCATTTATTCATTCATTCAAAAAACAAGCATCAAATGTTTACTGTGCATAAAGCCTCAGGTCTGGGTGGTGCCTGCCCACCAGGAGCTCCCAGTCCAGCCAGGGAGGAAGATATTCACCAACTGTACACACGAGTCACCACCTAACTGCAGCCTGAGAGATGGATGCCCAGGAGGGTAGACAAAGGGGCAGCTGCTCCGAGGGCATCAGGCCTGTGTCTTGGCAGGTCTGACACGTGGAGCGCAAGTCCCAGAAGAGGAACAGCATGCACAAAGGCCTGTGGCTGGAATGCAGAGTGAGGGGCAAGTGTCAGATGGAGGGGAGGGGAGGATGGGGGTGTCTGACCACTCTACAGAGACTTGTGGCCTACACTGAGGGTCTCTACCTAAGGACAATGGGAGCGACTGAAGGCTCCAGACAGGGAGACACATTCAGAAGGCCACTTCCAGTTCACCATAGAGAACAGATGAGTGGTTGGGAGCGTAGAATAGACCAGAAGAGCAGAGAGGATGCAGGTTCTGACTGCAAGTTCAGAAGTGAAATGCACAGCCCCTCCCCACTCGAACCCATAGGTCACTCCAAAACAGGGACAAGGGAACAGGCAGCTGCCCTCCTAGATGACCAACACTGCAGAGGGCAAGTTGGGTTTTGAATTTTTACTATTATTCTTGCTTTCTTTGCTCCATATTTATTTTGAAATTACAAACATTAAAGGAGAAGGTAAATATTTTCATTCATTCTTCCATCCAAAAAATACTGATTGAGCACCTACTATGTGCCAAGCACCGTGTGTACTAAGGGGCAAACAACATTCAAGGCCTTTTAACCCAACAGTCAGACCCCAGTAGCCCTTTCTACACCATCTTAGACACATGTAACTAAGTCCTGAACTGCCGGGTTCAGAAACAGCACCTACTATGTGTCAGGCACTGGACAGTGACCTGGAGTGGAGACAACACAGACCTGCAGCTGCCTGAAATCTGCTATGAGCAGGAGACTTGCAAACAGGAGCCAGAAACATGACAATTCCCTCGGCAGAGGGAACGTCCCATCCCAGTGGGACACAAGGACAGACCCCATGAGTAAAAGGAGGGAGAGGCATTGGAGCAGGACCACAGAGAGTGGGAAGGATTTTAACTGGGGGGAGTGAGGCACATGAGGTGAAGGTGTTTTCCGCAGGAGATGGCATGCACAAAAGCATGAAGCCAAAGCACATGCCAAAAACAGTCTGGAAACCAAATCACCCACTCTGGCTGCAGCACAAATTGGAAACCAAAGGGCCGTAACATTGATACCTAGACTGGGCCAAGCACAGAGAGCATAAGATAGCTGAGCAAAACAGTGGGCTTCTTTCTACAGGCACTGAGGAGCCCACTGGAGTCTTTGAGAAGTGGCATGATCAAGTGTGGTACTTCCAGATTGTGAGTAACGGCACGAGTTGGGAAAGGCTGCTTGTGGGGAGACCAGCTGACACGCCACTACCATAGCTCAAGGAACTGTGAGGAAGGTGTGGATGGAGCAGGTGGTGGTGCTACAAAGGACGAGAACATGAGGCCTCCCACAGTGCACACTGGAGAGGGATGCTGGCAATGGGAGGAATGGAAGAGCAGGTCCTAGGCAGAGCTGTGGAGAGACTCAACTGTTGTCATAATCCTGGCTCAATAGTCTCTTACAGAACTCATGTGACCAACTCATGTGACCTGGGTTAACTTAGGTTTCTACTGGTTGAGAATGATATGGAGTGCATAGTACATGTAGGCTCTCCATAAGGGAGAGCGGGAAGGTTTGGCTAACTAGTGGACAGGTAGATGGATGAATGGGTGCGGAGTGAATAAGCAAATGGGCGAGTGAATGGTGACTTAAATATTTGGATGGATATATGAACATGTGGACGATGGATGATGGGTGGATGAATGGACTGATGGAAGGTAGAAGTGGGTAGAGGAGTAAATGGATACATGGATGGACCAGTGGATGCATGGATGTGTGGATGGACTGATGTATGTCCTGCAGTAACTCCCAGCAGAACATGTCTAGAGGATGCTGGGAGACTCCAGGCCAGTGAATATATTCTGGGTTTATAAACCATGGGGTATCTCCTTGGCTTACCTAATCACTTCCAATTGAAACCTCTTCTCTCCCAGCTCCATTGTCTTACTCCATTTTCTGTTGCTATAACAGAATGCCACAGACAAGTAATTTATCAAGAAAATAAGTTTATTTAGCTCATGATTCTGGAGGCTGCAAAGTCCAAGAGCACAGAGACGACATCTGGAGAGAGCCTCCTTGCTATGTTGTAATGTGGCACAGGGCATCACATGGCAAGAGGACAAGTGTGTGCCTGTCTACTCAGGTCTCTCCTCTTCTGGTAAAGCCACCAGTTCCATCATCTGGGCCTACCCTGATGACATTATCTAATCCTAATTACCTCCCAAAGGCCCCACCTCCAAATGACTCAACATACGGATTTTGGGATTAAATCTCCAACACATGAAATTTGGGGGACACATTCAAACCATTGCATCCATCCTCTGCATTCAGAAAGATAGTCCAACAGAAAGATCTGGAATCAAGAGACCCAGCTGATTACCAATTCCAGTTTTGCTCTGATGTGCTGAATGACCTTAGACAAGCCCCTTCCCCTCTCTGGGCTTCTCTTTGCTATCCAGTTCAATGAAGGAATAGGACTAGATCAGGGATGCGTACATGTGGTGAGCCTGCTGATCATCCCCACGCCTTCATCCATACCTCACAGCAAGCCGTACCAATCTCTAAGGAATCACTGCACGGCTGAGCCCCATTTGCCAGGTGATCTTTAAGGAAAGTGGTTCTCAAACTTTAGTGAATCAGAATCAGCTGGAGAGTCTTTTAAAACAAAGATTACAGGCTGGGTGCAATGGTTCACACCTGTAATCCCAGCTCTTTGGGAGGCTGAGGCGGGAGGACTGCTTGAGGTCAGGAGTTCAAGACCAGCCTGGGCCACATAGTGGGACCCGCTGTCTACACAAAATTTTAAAAATTAGCCATGCATGGTGGTACATGCCTGTGGTCCCAGCTAATCAGGAAGCTGAGGCACGAGGATCACTTGAGCCAGGAGTTTGAGGCTGCAGTGAGCTATGATAGCACCACAGCACTCCAGTGACAGAGCAAGATCCTGTCTCTAAAAAGACAAAACACTGATTGCCAGTCCTCACCCAGAGTTTCTGATTCAGCAGTTGTATGTGGGGCTGGGAATTTGCATTTCTAGCAAGCTCTCAGGTGATGCTGCTGCTGATGCTGATGCTGCTGGTCCTTGGACTCTACTTGGAGAACCACTGATCTAGTGACCCCTGCTCTGAGAGTCTTGGTGAAACCTAGTAGGTATCCCCATGTGGGGGACAGCTTGCCATACCTAAGACTGGAAGCCTGCTGGAGCCACTGTTGCCTCCTGTCATTCAAAGGCATCCTTGAACCCAATGACAGGGGCACTCTCCGCCTACAGCCAGCTGCACTCCAGGTCGTGCATCCCACCTCGCCCTGCCCTGCTCCCTCCTGCTTTCCCTCTCTCCTGGAGCCTGGGAGAGCACCAGGCCTTCTGCTGCCTGTGTGCTGCCTGCCCCTGCTGCCCTCAGAACAGCTGTGGGCTTAATTATCAAAATAACATTTTAATAGTCTCATAACTGAACTCCCTTCAAAACATGCCAGCGGAGGAGGTGGGAAGGATTCTTTTTAGCACCTCTTCCCACCCGACTTGCTAATCGGAGGCATTTAAACTGCTAGAAGGCCCAGATGCCCGGCCCTGCCCATGGAGCCCCTCCTGCCACCACCAAGGATGCAGCTTCCACAGGCGGATCGAGGGGTCGGGCCCATACCAGACTGCCAGCCGGAACCAGGAGTCATTGCAGGAGCCACACTGCACCTTCGTAATGAGAAGAAAGTGGCTCATTCACGCGAACCCAGGCATCACTCAGGAAAGTGGATATGCTAAGAGAACTTAGGCAATTCATTTGCGATCACCAGGGGTTTCACTTGCTTTCAACACATTTTTTTTAGATTTAAAAAAAACTGCTATCACCAGCATTAACTCTGGCTCCCCGTCTCCCTGCCATTTCATGTAATAATTCCACGGGGAGTCCTGGCGGGTATTTAGCTCCTAATTTAAGCTCCACTAAACAAGCCCAACGCAAAACTAGCTTCTCAGATCAGCAGTTTCCCCTCCTACTTGCCGCAGCCCCTTCACTCTCTAGGTTCTTCAGGCCTCTAACATCACATCCGGCCAGCATTCACAACACCCGGGCTGTGAGCTAAGTGCAGAGCATGTGTTAGGAGTGGCTGCCCCAGTCCTCGTTCAGCAGCACAGGGAGATAGGCCCGACTGTGCCTAGGAGGAAATGAAACCAGGACAGGCCACATCCCCAAGCTGTATGGCTAGCAGTGGGTGGGGCTTCGACAGAGGCCAGGCTGGAGGGCACCGTGCTACCTCCGGCAGCATTTGCCCTGGGTGTCCCGACTTCCAAGCCAGCCCTTCTCAAACTTGACTGAGCATGCAAATCACCTGGAGCTCTTTTAAAAACACGGATTCTTGTTTGGCAGGACCAGGTGAGGCCTGGCCTTTGGTACTTCTCGCACACTCTGAGACACTGCAGATGGTGTAGGTCACTGGCCCACACTTGGAGGAGCCTGAAGGAGGCACGGGCTGCCCTCCAGGGTGGTTAGATCAGAGACTGAGTGCAGGCTGGGAGAAGCAAAGGCCAAACTCTGTCTTAGGGTGGGGTCCTTTTTCTCCCCTGGCTCTCTCCTGATCACCCCAGATAGTGCTCCTGACTCCTGGGAGAGACAGAGGGGCAGGGCTATTTCAAAGGTCAGTGTTCTCATCTTACCCTGTTCATCCCGTTTCTCAAACTCCATACCCAGACATGGAACCAGAAGTTTCCTTTGCTCTCTGGAGGAAATTGCCAGAACCAGACAAATCCCTTTGGCCCTCATCATATTTCCTGCTGCCCGCATTGACCACTTACTGTATACCAAGATAGACACTGGGAACACTGGGAACAGCAACCGTGGCTGTGGTCCCTGTGCTCAGGCAGCTGACTGGGGTGCCTGGCCAGCTGCTGTCCAAGGGAGCTCATGGTGCCAGGTGAACTCGTGGTGGGGGCAGGGGCAGAGGCAGGGGTGCAGGCAAGAGCAGTAGCTGGGCTGGGCACTGCCAGGTGCCCTGAACCTTGACAGAGTCAAGTCTATTGAGTGTTAGCCCCAATGCAACTACATTCACTACCAATAAAAACGGAGGCCACCATGCCACTCGTGGACACTACCTGGAGGCAGGCACTCTTTCACAGACTTGTAGACTCAGGCCACTGCAGTCCGTAGCTCAAGGCCAACCCTTAGCAAATTGGCCCCTACCCATCAGAAAACTGGTCCTGTTGGAAAACCCCCAGAGCCCAACTCTCTGCTGCCCACACAGTCTGCCCCAGTAGAGTTCAGAGCCCTGAATTCAAGTCCTACCTTTGACTTTCCAGTTGCTGTGACCTTGGGCAAATTAGTTTTCTTCTCTGAGCTGAATTTTTTCCATTGGCACTGGGTGTGATTCCCAGGGTCTAGCCCAGAGCAGATACTGTATGATAAGGAATAGATGCGCATATATTCTTTATTATATGTAGTCTTTGAAGTGAAAGGCCTTTACCTTTTTAAAAATGTAGTTTAATACTATTCAATGAAGCAAGTGATTACTAAACATTTACCAAATCCAGAATTTGGGGGCCAGAAACAGAGGGCACAGATGAGAAGACAGGCAAGTCCCTGTTCTCAAAAGAATCTGGAAATAACTGAGATGTGCCAAATGGATGTGACAACATTAAAGACAACCCGGGCAGACAATGAGGCAGTAAGGTTGGGTGTCCAACCACCCAGGGCAGACAATGGAAGACCTGGGGTCAGGCCAGCTGGCGTGGGGGGGTGGGGTCCCTGCAGGAGCGGTGCTGTGAGCCAAGTCTCCAAGAATGGGAAAGAGTTGTAGGAAAAGAAATCAACCACCACAGCCATAATAATGTCAAACATTTATGTACTCATTGCTACTCCATGTCAACACTGATCTATGCACTCTACATACTTAGCTTATGTAATTCTCACTAGCACATAAGGAGAGGGTACCGTTATCATCACCGTTTTACTGAGGAGAAAGCAGGCACAGTGAGGTTACATGACTTGCCTAGTTGCCCAGAGAGCAGAGTGCAGAACTGAGGCTCACACCCAGACAGACGCCAGGGCCCCATGTCCAGCAAGGCCCAGCGACCAGCCAGGAGCCAGCATCTCCACAAACAGAGAAAAGGAGGGCTGGGACATCCCTCCAAGCAGGGTCAAAAGAGAAGGGAAATGTGGTGCAAGACTTGGAAGGTAAGGCAGGCAGTCCAGCAGCCGCTCAACTTGCAGCAGGTAAGTGCAGGAGGAGAGCAAGGCCAGGAGGTGACTTAAGGCCTGCAGGAAACCTTGTTGGCAGCCACAGGCAGTGCCGACCCTCCTCACTCATGGAGAGAAGGATTTCCCCACGCCCCACTGATGGCACAAGAGGGAGACCTCCACTGTAGAAGCAGCTTCTGTCCTCCTTCCACCATGCAGGTGCAAGAGGCCTCTCCAGGACATAACAGCCTCTGTAGTTCCTATTTGCCAGCGATAGAGACCCGGCTCCCAGCCACCCTGGACCAGGCTGCCTCTGAAACTCTGCACTCACATTGCAGTAAAGGCCAGTGCCTGCTTGACCTAGACACATGGCAGGCACACACTGTGGGCAGGTGGAAGAAGGCGGCAGGGGGTGAATGTCCAGCACCTGCATTTGGAAGAAAGGCAGGATCAACAGAGCCTAGAGCCACAGTATTCCAAGATCCTCATTTCTCTGGGCAGGGAGCTGGGCATGCCATTGTCCAAGGCTTTTGAAGCCACACAAATGGCACCAGTCCCAGTAAACATCCCCCAAGACAGGACGGGAATCTGAATCCTTGTCTGCAAATGGCCACCTGCCAGGGACCCCCTTCAGCAACAAGCTCCCTCTCCCAATCCCAGAGGTGGCCTCTGTCCAGCCTATCCATAGCAGCTGGAACAAGGCATCCCAGCCCCCTGGCTCCAGCGGGGGAAGGACTGCTTCCATTTGCTAAGGGTCTTCTTCATTTCCTTCACCTTCTCACAACTGCACTTTCTAAAACAGGATATTAAGGGAAGAGAAACCGAGGGCTTTGGGGTTTTTTAGCCTCTGCTCCAGGGAAAAACAGACACTCATCCCTGTCTGAAATTGCTTCACTCCGAGAGCTTGTGGGCCGCGGGAGCCTCCCGCCACAGATGAGCAGAAAACAGAGTTTGTTTCTCTATTTCCCAGCCCCCTCGCCTCTCGCCCTCTCCTTCTCTCTCCCACCTCTTCCTTTCTGCCTGGTGCATGGCTGGGAGCTGGGACCTTGTGGCTCCACACGGCTGCCTGGTGCCACGGAGCAGGGCATGGGCTCCCACAGTAGGCAGCCTGGAAGGGAGGGGGACCAGCAGAAACCCTGCCCACTTCCTCCCACACTCCCGAAACCCCTCCAAACCAGTCATCAAATAACCCTGGACGGAGGTAGACCCAAGGACCTTTTGTTCCCTGAAATATTCAGGTTTTCAGGTCATTCTCTGGCCTTGCCAGGAATGCAGTGTACTCCTGGCTTGAACAAAATGCGCTAGTGTTAAAATATTCATCTGGTTTTGGTTGGGACTGAGAGGGTGTGTGTGTTTCAGGGAAACAAAAACATTATTTTCCCCGCTTCCTCTGCTCCCAAGCATACCTGGGAGGTTCATGCTCCACCTTGATTTTGGCAAATTCTTTTTTAGATTCCTCCATGTTCCCCAGGATGCAGAGGGTGGGAGAGACACAGATGGATGGATTCAACTAGTTGTTGCTTCTCCAAGGGAAAGGGGAGGGATATTAGATATTTTCTTGGAAGTTAATTCAACTCGAAGCTGGGCACTGGGAATATTCTGTCCAAGCAATTACTCCCTGCCCCCCCACCCCCACCCACTGCTGCCCCACCCCAGCCCCTGGTGGTAGCTGCCTACCCTCCAGAAGGTCAGGTGCACACATGCCCACTGACCAGATCTCCATGGGGCAGGACCCCTCTTGGGCCAACTGGACCACACTAGGGCCCTCAGGATCCTTTAATTATCAGTCACTCCACTTCCCTTCCCTCCGCTCCTTAGTCCCAGCACAGAAACCTGTCAAGCGTCCACCCTGAGGACTGGGAAAATCAGCTACCTACTGGCCCTGGTCTTTAACTAAAGGCTTAAGCTAAATTATATTACAGACCGTGGGGAGCTTGGGAGTGGTGGCTGGAGGAAGGGCTGTTGTTGGGCTTGTGGGGAGACAGAAGGGAGGGTCCAGGCAAGCTGAGCGTGCTGGCATCCACTTCTCAGGAAAAGCTGGGGAAACTGAGGCTTGCGTAGGAGTAACATAATTCATGAGGGGCTGGGGAGGCAGGGAATCCAGCCAGCCCCTGCTCCATCCTTTCTCAAGGACCACCATAAAGGGTTCCAAACAGTCTTTGGGGAAAGAAGAAGACACCCCAGGTAGTCAGTCCTGCGAGATGACCTCTCCCATGGGAGGGCACAGGGAGGGCTGGCAGAGGGTCAGCTGAAGAAATTCAGTGGCCCAGAGTCATCCAGACCAACACACCTTCCTGCCTCACATGCAGTTTACCAGTGAGTTTGTCCACCTACCTTTCAAATTATACCTTGACGCAGCCTCCCCAGCCACTGCCACCACCATGGACTGTCATCTCCAGCCAGTACAGCAGCAGCAGTGGCCACCCACGGGACCCTGAGCTTCCACCCTTGCTCTTGGATGTTCCCATCTCCACCCAGAGGCCATAGCAATCTTTATACAAACTTAAAATAGGAAAATGTCACTCACAGCTTATAGTCCTGCAATAATTTCCTATTGCAGAGAATAAAATCCCAGTTCTTGGCCACATCCTGGAAGGCCCAATATCTCCTGGGCTCTGCTGGCCTCTCTCACGTCATGGGAGCCACTGTCCCGGTCACTCCCCACACTCTAGCCCCACACCCAGCTGGCTCCCTCTCATCCTTTAAACCTCAGCTTGACCAACATCCTCCCAATTTTCCCTATCCCTGCACCAATAACACGTCTCTTAGTTTGTAATTATGTATTTACTTGTTTGCCTGTTTATTCCTGGCTTTCCCATCAACACAGTAAACTACACAGAGGTGTGGAAAATACATGTATTCATTCCCCAGAGCCCAGCAAAGCGCCTGAAGCAGAGCAGTCTCTCAAATGTTTGTTGAATGAATTAAAGAACACAGGCCTTCCAGTTAGCTCAAAGCAGAACTTCCCCATTGCCAAGGGATGAAGAAAGGAGAGCTTTGAACACTCAAGACCCGTAGAAACAAATATTCTTCCAACCTGTGATGCATATCAATCTTCCTTGTTCCTTCTTAATTCCTGATCACATTTGGATTCAGATATTTAAGAAGCCAGAGAAGCAAATGTTATACAATGCCCCGAGAAGGCCCCAGAGATTCCACATTCGAGGGTAGAAAAGTTTCACTTTCATAAAGCCTAATAAAATCTTGCTTCCAACGAGCAGGCAGCGGAGAACGCATTCAGAGAGCCTACAGGGTGCTCTGTGGATCGTGAGAGCATAGAAACGTGGACTGTGACCAGAATACCAGAGTTCACAGGACCCACCAGGAGGACAGCCCGAGGCCCAGCCAGGCCCACCACATGCACAGAAAAAGGGCCCTGAGAGTTCACGGGCTGAGTAGATGTACGCTCCAGCCGTGATATTTATAACAATAAATGATTCACGAGATTGCCACAGCCCACCTCAGTCCTCCTTAAGAACCGTGGACAAAAACAAACACATACTCACCACCCGCTCCCCAAAAAATAAACAAGGGGGGAAGAGAGGCGGTATGTTCCTCCAGCCCCACTGATGTGGGCTTACTCATTACTCTAATGTAATCAGAAGAACATTAAACATTTCTAAAGTCTCCTCTCTTTTCCATGGCTGATTAAGCAATTGGGAGCGGAGAGTTTACTGTGAAAAAAAGCAAACAATTATGTGCTATCCGAGGTAAACATTACCTTAGTAATGGAAGCTGAGATGCGCAGCCCCATCGTCAGTAGGGATTATCATTATAATACTTAAAATAACATTTATAACACTTACTGAAATTACACGAATGAAGTCTGCAGAGACACCGAAATGAAATCAGCTCAATGTGTTTTTATAAGAATACTGAAATCTCTGTCCCTTGGAGGAAAGTTATAGGCATTAACAGTTTTTGCTAGGCCTCCATTAGCTGGTAAAATTTGAATACTGTTTCTTAGGTGAGCTCTAATCTTCTTTGAATCCTCCCAACACATTTTATCTGTAAAAAATTGTAGTTAAAAATTTAGCTTGATGGAATGATATTTAAGTGCTTTTCCTCATCTAACTCCCTGAAAGTGCCCCAGAGAGTCTCCCTGTAATTTGTTCAAACGAAATAATATTTTCGTTTCCCCGTTTCTCTTTGTTGTCTTGGGTGATGAAAAGTAACATTTCTTTTCTTTCAATCCTATTAAGCAAGGCTCGAGGAATGCCAGCCACTCAATCCAAATGCGATCTGGCAGACAGGCACTCAGCTTAAAAAACGGGACCTGCCAACCCGGGTTTCTGTCAGGAGCTGACATGTCACCAGGCGTCAGTTCTGTGCAACATTTCCCAAGCAATAACCAGGGTTATCAGCAAGCTGAGTGAGTTTTTTCCTTCTCTCTCGCTCTCTTTATTTTGGTTGCCACGCTGGGAAACTTGGCTCAAATATCTGGTTAGTTGCACCTACTCTGTCTGCACACCCATGCAACTCACCACGCTCACATAGTCTCCTGAGCCCACCTGACGCCTACACGCAAGCTGGGGATGCAAGAAACTGTCCCATTCTCCAACTGCAGAACTTCCTCCCAGGGGAAGCCCCTTCCAGGCAGGAAGGTGCATGAGATCCTACTCTGTTCCCTTCCTGAATCCATTGAGTCTCCTATTCCTCTTCTCATCCCCCATGGCTTCCTTCCATATTGCAGACATTGATCAAACTTACAAACTCCAAGCCACTCTTCAAAACCTGTTATAAAATGTCACCTCTTCTCTGAAGCCCTCCCCAGCATCCGAGTTGTATCTGTGCTCCCATTGCATTCTGCAAATGCTTTTACTTCATCCAGAAAGGTGTGATTAAATAAGTTACGGTGCAGCCATAAAATAAAACACTATGCATACTCTATTTTTTAATGAAGCAGAACCAAATGGGTTGAAATAGAAAGAAGTCCACAGTGCAAACCTAAAAGCGAAGGAAGCAAGGTGCAGAATAACCAATGTAATTGATCCCATCTGAATAATACATGGAAATGGGCATAGGAAATTCTTGGAGGCACATAAACATCAATAAGAGTGGTAGGTGGCTTCCAGGCAGTGGAAACTGAGGGAGGAGTCAAGAGGGGTTAGAGAAGGAAGAATTTATATTCTTCTATGTATTAAAATGTTTTTCCACAAATATGCATTACTTTTGGATGAAAAAACAATAAAATCAACCTATGTTGATGAAAAAAACACTTATTAGCACCATTTTGAATTTCTACATTTAACTCACTGGAATGAATGCTATCACAGGATAAACCACTATCACCAAAGATCAGTTTTATCACACAACTTTCTAAATGACCCATACTCCCTATCCATATGTGAATATCTTGCTGACATCACAACTGTTAATTTATTGTATGTATGGAACCCCTCTGAAGATGAAATTCTCTTAGCGACCTACTCAAAATTGGGCTCTGCCTTCCCCTTTCTGTTCCTGCCTGGCTGGTAAACAGAAGGAAAGGCCAGCCAAGAAGAACCACGATGAGACCTCAGAGGCCACCTATGGACCGCAATTTTGGACACTAGCAAAGGGTTAGGACCTAGGAACCTTCCTGGACTGATGGGAACAAATGGTCATGTGTTTGAGGCATTTTGGCCAACTTGCAATGGTGGGTTTTTTCATTTCCTGTATGTTCCTATCCTTGGATGAAAGAATAGCAAGAACAGTATGACCAGGGATGCTGGCAGGACACTGACATTTGGGTTTTCCAGATAAAGCTGCCATTTGACATTAGAAAAGCATCTTGTGATGATGCTAATCACACCATAAGTGGGGAAAAAAAGTCATGATGGCAGCATCATTCCCATTCTATAAGAAATGTCTATGGATTCTAAATGATTTGAGAACAAATACATGTGCGCAAAAATATTAAGCCTATCAATTTTATTCTAATGACATAATTTTCTTTACAGATGCATTAACCATCTACAGAAGTACTAATGACTATGCATATTTCATATATATTCACACACACATATATATATACACATACATAAATACATATATACACACACTTATATGTCGTCAAGCTCAATGACCATTACCCAGGGAGAAAGGGTGGATACTGTACCAAATCTATATCCAATAATGGCAAGTGCCTAGCAAGTGTGACATAGTGCTAATGAACAATCAATAAAATATATTGATCAGGTTTAGGCTAGTGGTCCTATAACCAAGTACCACAACCTTGCAAATATCAACTATCTGTCCAAAGTTGGGAATCCAAATGTTTTCTGCTACTTTGCTAAGTTATAAGAAAGCTAAATTCTTTTAAATTATGGACTGGAGCTAGGGGCAGGAGGAAGTTGGAGCCTGGGGTGCTCAGGAATGTGTCAGTCACAGACCCAGCTTGTTCACTGAGCAGATACCAGCCAGGCCTAGAAGATGCTAGAATAAGCTCTGATAACCACAAAGCATTGTCTTCCAAGCTTAAAAAGTCCCTTTTGTAAATATTGGTTTGTAGGCACCAACACCCATGTGCTTAGAGAAGGAAGATGCAGGAATGCAAACCTCTCCCACACTTCCCATGAAAATGAGAGTTATAGCTGGTTGGTGCAAGGGTGTAAGAGGCCTCTGTGGAGCCCATTTCAAATGACAAAGAAGATCCCTCCCACAGCCCCCATCGTGTCCCTTAGTAGCTAACTGGATATACGAAAGAACGTCTATCTAATCCCTTTTAGGAGCTGGGCCTCTATTGTGGAATGAATTGGAGTGGCTGCTATCTACTGCCTACGCTTAGGGCATCCTGTACTTTGTCCAAAAACTGTGTTTTTCAAGCTTTAAGGGGGCTGCTGAACTTTGGTTTTCTGGGACTTTTCCAACAGCCCATACCACAGCCTCCCCGAGCCTCCTAGAGCTATAGGAATTGTCTGTACTCATACGCTGGGGCTGCCATAATGAAGAACCACATGAAGACTAGGTGACCTAAGCAACAGAAATTTATCTTCTCACAGTTCTGGAGGCTGGAAGTCCAAGATCAAGGTGGCAGTGTCAACAGAGCTAGCTTCCTCTGGGGCCTCCCTGCTTGGCTTGTAGGTGGCCACCCCCTCGCTGTGTCCTCCCATGATCTGTCCTCTGAGCACATGCATCCCTGATGTCTCTCTGTCCAATTTTCCTCTTCTTATGAGGACACCAGTGAGATTGTATTAGGGCCCAACTGAGGGCCTCATTTTGATTAAATTACCTATGTAACAATATGTAATTTATTGTTCAATATTGCTACATATTGCTTCAATATGTAGAATGCACCGGGAACATAATTCAGCCCAGAACAGTGTCTTCTTGGGTCTCTGTTATTCCGGAAGGAAGGAGCCTCAGCTGTCTTGTCTGTGTCAGATCCAGAGCCTCCTCCCCGGCACTCACTTCATTAGCTAAGTGCACCAGGCTCCTCTAAGCACTGCCATGGCTTTCTCAAGGCAGAAGGGTCAGAAGTGCTCATGAACTTTCAGGGGCAATGACCCTGACTGTTTCTCCCCAGCCACCCTCTTTCTAAATTACCTTTAGGCTGTGGCAACAGGGACTTGAAGGTAACTTCATCCAATCTCTTCCCCCAAGACCCCCTCAGGGTAGCAAGACCTGATGGATTGGAAGACCTTGCAGAAGGAAAATTATGATAATAAAGAGCCGTGGCTGCCCCCAGAACACAGATCAGGTGTGGGTGAGAAAGCGCTCAGGAGGCAGGCACTGACTCGGCCTCTCAGCCCCCTGAGGAGCAGCCCACACCTTCCCTCCCACTCCCAAGGTCCCCTCAAGTCCCACAGCTACCAATGGAGGGTCAGACCCCCCACCCCCACACCCATAGCCGCTGTACAGCCAGCCATTGTTACACAGGCCTCGATGGGGGGATGAGAGTTTGGGAGGTATTTTTTAGTTGCATGCATTTTGAAAAATTTGTTCATGTGTGAGATGCATACTGCCTGTGCTACAGAGAGCAGGCTTTGCAATCTGAATCGGCAAATTTGTTAACTGACTGTTGAGTCTAATGTTATACCACTATTCTGCCTCTCGTTAGCAACACAAATTACCGGCAATTAGCCGGCTGACTGTTCAAAGGCAGTTCAATTTCATGTATAAAGAGAACTATATAATGCTTAATGTATCTATCAAATGTAACAGCCCAAACAAAATTAATGATATGAATACAATGAGTGCTTATAAGGGATAATTACAAGGTGTCCGTCATGAGAGGCAAGCCATGGAGTCAGACGCACAATTCAGGCAAACAGTCACCAAAGTTCTCAAGGCTGGCCTAGGCTGTTAGGAGACGGAAAAGGAATTGTGATCCAGAGGAGGCTCAGCCCTGTCACTGGACAGGGTGGGAAAGCAGGCCACCGTGACGTCTGAAATATACAACTGTGATTTCAAGCCCTGAGTAAAATGAGACAGTGGGCTCCATTTCCTCATCTGTAAAATGGGAACAATAGCATCTGCCTCCCAGAACGCTAACCTGGCACAACACAACCAAACAGCAACGAAAGAGCACTGCTAACTCTCCTGGCCTCACCTGGAAGAAGGTGGTGATGCTGTTGATGTTCTTATTATTACATAAGAATTTCCGAGGTGAGGCCCAGCAGACCTCTTCCCGCCTGCGTCGCTGACAGAGTAGCGTGGCGTGATACAAACGACACTTCGATTTAATTACCACCTTTTTTTTTTTCCTCCTGTAACTAAACATTTTCCTCTGCTCAGTATCCCTGGAATGACTGGGCCATTCCCAGTGTATTACTTGCATATCTATAATTAAATAATTAAGAATTGTTCAAGCCCTTCCAAACACAACAAAAGGCGATGATTATTTCAAAGCCACTTTAGGAAGAGTCAAGCCCCTATCAGCTCCATTTTTTGCTAATAGTTATGCAAGGCTGCACCGGCAGCATTCCCTCTTGCATGCCAGCACACCAATAAATTAAGATATTCCTGGCCGCATCTGCACGAGGGAAATTAGAGCATTACCTGGTCCCCGCCAGTGTGCCAGCTCCGAGCGGCAGGCGCAGCCCACGCTGGGCGACCAGCTGTCTGCGAATGTGGCGTGTGGATCACAGCTCAGAGCCAGGGGATCTCTTAGGAGGTCTGCTCTAATATCACAACTGCCTCGCTGCAGGACTGTTCCCTTCACAGCACAGTATTCAAACACTTCTTCCGCCTCTTTCTTTCCAACTCCGAACCAGGGAGAACCGGGAGCTGGGACCTCCGAGCCAGTCCCCGGATGCCAACATGAGCCTGGCTGATTTTTCTTGTTCACCTCGGAATCCTTAATGGTGAGGACAGCACCAAGGCACTTTGTTTTCTGAAACCCCAGCCCCAGCTGCCTTGGAGGAGGGGCAACCTCATTCCTGGTGGGTGTAACTTCACCAGGCACAATGTCTCGTTGGTTTTGATGAGGGACAAGTAGCCCCTGTGAAGACTTAACAGCCAAAATGATTCCACAACGGTTTACACAAGCACAAACTCGCTGTCACAAAGAGAGGGAAAGACCGATTTTCCCAGAAATGGGTGGAGGCTTTCAGTTTGGGAGGCCAAGTCCCAGGGTGTGTAACGTCTTGAGGGTCAATATCCAGTTTCCCATGCGTTCCTTTAGGTCTGAATCTCTCTCCCTCTGCAGAGCTCCTGAGCCCCTGACAATGACAGACAGGCCTTGGAAACGGTCCCTGTGCTTTAGACAAACAAAAGCAAAAAGAATGAAGTGCCACTGACCCTGCATTTGGCGAATGTTCGAGGCATCCAGATGAAGCCTCTTTGGCAAAATAACCTGAGGTGCCACAGACCTGGATCAGAGCTGGGGCTTGGCAGGTGGGAAGAGTGAGGCTATGAACATCGGGGGTCCAACAAACATGTGGGTAGGGGTTGTGGGGACAGGTGGAAGGAGCTGATCTAGGAGCTGCTGCTGAGTCAGAAGCACTGAGACAAGGGGCTTTGACACTGGTGTGGGAGAGGGTGAAGACAGTTTCAGGCAGCTGGCTGTTGGGGTGGAACAGGAGAGAGAAGGAAGTTAGGGCTGGACACCATTGATGAGGGTTTTCAGACATGCCTGAGGACAAGAGTGTCTAAGGAGTAGTCAACAGGGTCTAATGGCCTGGAAAGACTATAAAAGTCATCAACTTCTACAATCAGGAGTCACCGGTGACTCTAGCAAAAAGAATTTCAAAGAGCATCATGCTCTTTGCAATGCCTCTAACTTTTGCTGTACTTATCACCTAAGAATTATCTTTCACTGTTTCTTCTGGTGAACTCTTATTCATCACTTTAGAGACCCAACTCAAATGCCTCTCCTCTTTCAAACTTCCACTGACCACCCCCTATCTTCACATATCTATTCCCACGCACACATAACCAGGACAGGCAATCACTTCCTAACCCATTCATACTACTTAGGAATTTGCACATCTATGTGTCTACCTCTCCCATCAGATTGGATATTCCTCTAGGATAGGAGCTGTGTTTGCCTTAGCTCAGGGTCCCCAGCAAACAGCAAAAAGCCTGGCATGGAGCTGGCAGAAACAGACCAGATGGCATGAGAGGAAAACTATTCCAAGCCTAGGGTGGAGAGTCTGAGACCCTGTGAATCTTCCCTGCTGCAGTAGGCTGCCTCAGTAAGTTGTACTGGGGGTCAACTCCTGAACCAACAGGGCCAGAAACCAGAAGACCATGGGCATCCATGTGTTTGTACTCAGTGCATGAGATGAACATCTTCCTCCCAGGGCACACTGGGGGCGTCTGTCCAGAGGGGTGGCAGCTGGCTCCCGACCTTACATACGCTGAGGCTAAGCCCCATCCCCAAAGGACAGAGCTCTCACCAGGTCCCATGAGGCCCACAAGTGAAAACTGGATTCTTCTCCCTTTCACTCCATCTGGGTATGAGCTGTTGCAAATTATGCTGCACTTTCTTGGCTTCATGAGCAGGTTAAATTCCACCCAAGCTGGTCTCATCAGTACCCAAACAGGCTACATCCTTCTAAACCTTTTCTGACTATTCCATCCTCTACATTCTCTTTCCCATCAAAAACTCAGACTCTAGCATTTAATCCTAAACTGTTTATAACATGAGATGTTTTACGGTAGCTATGTCTGCCTCCCAAATATGTTGAAAGCTTCTAGAGGGCAGCAACAAATCCTATATCTTTTAAAATATCTACCTCAATCCAAAGCCAAGCAAGAATATTTGATAGGAAAATAGTGGGAAAGTGCTGCCTGCTACCACTACGCCACCAGTGGCAGACATGGCCAAACAAGCACCTATCTGCTATCTCATGATGAATGATTCATGCATGCAACTTGATCACTTCTGCCAGTTTTATCGGACAGCTGCTCTCCAACAGAACTGGAAGGAGCTGTGAAGTGCATGACTTCAAGGAGGCCCCAAGAAGCTACTGCTCACAGCAGCAATGTGCTTGGATGCAGCCCCTCTCTGAGGTCCTCCCCAGCAGCCCTCCTCTGTCAACAACTGAAGGGGCCACAGAAAATCAGGAGAAACAAAGACAACAGCCACCATCCCCATTCTTGGCATTTCCCCCAAGAGTCACTGAAACCCCTCTTCCCACTCCACATTCCAGTCTCAGTAGGTCAAAGTCCATCACAAAGGGGAAAACCCAGCTCTCTAGGATGTGCCCTTGTCCAAGCTTTCCCACTGCCTACCCAACCAAAATCAGACAAAGAGATAAGACAAAAGGTAGGAACTCTTGAGCCATCCATCTGCTGTCTTTAATATTAGTTTATAAACATGATTTCTTCCTCCTCTGCTACTCGCTCTACTCTGGGCGAAGAAACGTAGCTCAAGACCTGATCTGGGTATCACTTTTCAAATGCCCAAATCCCTGTAAAGGTTTAGTGTCTAGCTGTGTGCATTTTGCTCAGTATTAACATGTTCAATGGAGTACTTTGATTTTTTTTTTTATCTAGACGCCAGAAGCTGGTGAATATATGCTTCATAGCTTCAGATAAACCTTTTGTTCTTCTGGGGCTGATCAGCTGGTGGAGCAGCGAGAGGGAGAAGGGGAGGGGAATTCACAGGGGCTCAGCGGTTTCAAAAAGTCAAATTACCTCTGAGCCATAGCAAGGCTGATAATTTAAATGAAAAAATATATATACAGGCTGCAGCACACAACATCGTCTCTGTTAGGACTTTTAATGAAGCCCCAGTTGTGATGACACTGAAGCCGGGAACGCTACAGTGGGATAATTACTTGGCTCCCACACAGCTGAGTTCCATAGATGCATTATTAACGGCACATTCCTCGCCATAACGAGAGCTGAACAGAGGTAGGCTCCGCAGACCTTGGCGTCCGCCATTAGCGGCCTGGCGCAAACACAAATGAGTGTTTTCACAAAAGCATGCAAAGGTTGTGAAATTCCAACGAGTCTTGAGTCTTGTGCTGGGAGGTGGAGATGGGATGGGGTAAAGGGGAAGTGGCGAATATATATATATATATATATATTTGGTCCATACAGACGTGACCAGAGATGTCACCTTTCCCTGCGCAAGGTACTTGGAGTAAGGCAACCTGGGAAATTATGGAGTCAGAACACATTGATTTTCCCGCAGCAGATCCAGGCAGCAGCCCTGATGAAGAATTACAGAAGAAATGCAATAACCTAATTCTCCTCCAACCTGGCCCTGCTGCGCCTGCAGCCCTAAGCGTACCTGGCTGGGGCTGCGGGCAGCACCTCCTGACCCGGGCATGCTGCACAGCTGGACTCCCGTTTGGCACTGCCGGGCAGTCCCCCATTCCCAGCCCCGGCTCACACCCAAGCCACAGCACTCACACCGGCCACGTTTTCAAGACATGCAGGCATCACGGCTGCTTCGGGGGGCAAGGGTCTTCTGGAAAAGAGAAAGCCACAGATACGGGCATTCTTGCTCCCAGCTCACCCCAATTAAAAGCAGGGATAAAGACACACACTCATTATCACCCAGGGCCAGGGAGAGCCTCTGCACATCCCATACAGGAGCTCCAGGGCACCAGGGTGACTTAGCCAAGGCTGGTGGGAAGCCGTTCCCCCAGCCCTGTGCTTCCCCTTGGTCTTCTCCTCGATTTCTCTTCCCCTGGAAGCGTCTGTTTCAAGGTGACCCTGTTTCATGAGTTAGCCCCAGCGTCCCCCGCCTGCTCACAGAACCAGGGGCCTCCCAGTAATTAACACCCGCACTTGATGAGGTCCAGCTGGCAAACTGAAGCGATGCCAGCATCCTCACACCACAACCTGGGCTCCAGCCGGCCCGGTGAGGGCCTTTCCCCCACCACCACTCTGGCCACTCTGTCTCCAGAGAAGGAGGGGAAAGTCACCCATTTGGTTAGGATGATGTTCAATAGAGAGTTGTTTCTAATAGTGACACTACTAAAAGCTCCAACGGGAAATTTAAACTGTGGCACTTCTTATAATGGAACACCAAGCAGCCACTAAAAATGATGATGTAGAGACATGTGTGCTGACACAGAAAACTGTCACTGCCTACTGTTGGGGGGAAATGATTACAAAATAATATGGGCATTGTAACTCCACTGGAAACCAAACCAAGTGTGCTAAAATAGTACGGACAGTATAAGTCCACTGCAAACTAAACACAAGTGTGCAAAAATAGGATGAGCATTGTAACTCCACTGGAAACCAAGCCAAGTGTACAAAAATAGTATGGGCATTATGACTCCACTGGGAAGCAAACAAGTGTGCAAAAACAGTATGGGTATTATAAGTCCACCACAAACTAAACATAAGTGTGCAAAATAGTATAGGCATTATAACCCCACTGGAAACCAAGCCAAGTGTGCAAAAATAGTATGGGCATTGTAAGTCTACTGAAAACTAAACATAAATATGCAAAAACAGTATGGCCATTTATAACTCCACTGGAAACCAAACCAAGTATGCTAAAATAGTATGGGCATTATAAGTCCACTGCAACTAAACACAAGTGTGCAAAAATAGGGCATTATAACTCCACTGGAAGCCAAGCCAAGTGTGCAAAAATAGTATGGACATTGTAAGTCCACTGCAAACTAAACACAAATGTGTAAAAATAGTATGGGCATTATAACTGCACTGGAAACCAAACACAAGTGTGCAAAAGTCTGTGCATTATAACTCCACTGGAAACTAAACAGTATGGGCATTAAAACTGCATTGGAAACCAAACACAAGTGTGCAAAAACAGTACAGACATTAAAACTCTGCTGGAAACCAAACATGAGTATGCAAAAGAGTAGGCAGTGATTCCATTTCTACACAGGAAAAAAAAACAGGCACCACTGTCTTTGCTGTTAGAAGTCAGGGTTGTGGTCCTCTGGGGGCTGGGACAGGAAGGTGCAGGAGGTGAACTTCTGGGGTGTGGGTCACACTGTGTCATGATGTAGTGCTTACCTGGGTTTGGTCTGGGAAAATTCAGCAAGCTATCTGCTGCTTATGACAAGTAAGCTTTTCTGTATGTAATGCATCAATAAAGGGTTATTACATTAGGTTGGTGTAAAAGTAATTGAGGTTTTTGCAGTTGCTTTTAATTTCTATTTATTGATATGTCTACTTTTCTGTATAAATATCAAACTACAACAAAATGCTTTTTAAAACTGTATCTATGCATGTGTGAACACACAGAATTGGGAAAGGTAAACATCAAATTGTTAACAGCAGTTTTCCCTGGGAGGTGAGATTAAGGGTGATTTCTATCTCTTTCTTCTGTTTATCAGCATTTTTTTTCTTGTAAGGAAAGTGTATTATTTGAGTTTTTTAAAACACAGCTTTTTTAAAAACAGGAGGGGCAGTTCAGCTGAAATTATAAGGAACACAGCCAATTAGGAAAATTGATAACAACCACCACATCATCATCTACTCAACAAATAAAGCATAAAATGCAGTTTGGGACCTATTCGACCCCAGAGTCTTCTTAATGCAGGCTCCCCTAAAACACAGTGACAGAATTCTTTTGCAGAAGTCACTTGCAGGAGTGAATTCTTTTTCCCTGGCCTGGGCCATAAGCCATGAACCAAAACGTGAATAAGACAGCTCTGTGTGCCAGGGCATCGCTGTAAAGCCTATCCTCGTCACCCACACCAGCCGGGAGTCAGCCACGTGCAACCAGAGAATAGTTACACAAAAGACAAAGCAGGCAGGAAACTCAAACCCACTCAGCAAAGGTGTGTGATGCCCCCACCTCTGCCAGAACCGGCGGACCTGAGGGCTATCCCCTCGCCTCCCCTCCCCACATGCTCCTTGCTCATTTTAGATCCATTTCTAACAGATCAGTCTTCACTCTGCGATGCCCAGATTCACAGGCTCAACTTCTCACTGCCATCCATAAACAGGGAAGAAGATATGTTAGCAAGGTGTGGAGAGACAGCTTTCGTGCGGTTGTGGGTCTGGAGAAGGGTCAGTCATCCAGGTGCAGTCATCAGCTCACCCTCCCCAAACCAAAATCCTTCAAATACCTGATCAAGATGGATTTGGAGGAAAGGTTGTATGGGGGAGTGAAGAGAAGGGGGACCCCTGGTGGTGACTGCTATCCACAGCAATCCAGCTCTGACCCCAAACTCATCCCCACCCCAAAGAGCCAAACCTCTGGGCTCTGCGTGGTGGCTCATGCCTGTAATCTCAGTGCTTTGGGAGGATCACAAGAAGCCAAGAGTTCAAGACCAGCCTGGGCAACATAGCAAGATCCTGTCTCTACAAAAAAAATTTAAAAATTAGCCAGGGGTGGTGGCACGTGCCTGTGGTCCCAGCTACTCAGGAGGCTGAGGTGGAAGGATTGCTGGAGCCTGGGAGGTCAAGGCTGCAGTGAGCTATGATCATGCCACTGCACTCCAGTCTGGGTGACAGAGTAAGACCTTGTCTCAAAAAAAAAAAAATTTCTCTGCCATTCACAGACCTCACTCTTGTCCCTTAGAGGTCTCACCCCTGCCTCTCCCGCCAGAACCCTCTCTGAAGTCTGGCGGACAGGGTTTGCAGAGATCTCTTTCTGGTGGGATTGTAGCACCTCCCACAGGTCAACTTCCAAACTCTACCCTGACTCTCTGCCTGCAACCAAGCCATATGCCCTCCGTGCCTTTGTTTCTCCATCTGTATACATGAAACACCCAAGCCCCAAGCCTGCTCACAGAGAAGGGAGAATGGCCTTAGATCTCCGAGAAGCCCCCAAGACCAGCACCGCTGGTGTGGGACCTGGAAGAAATCCACTTCCTTTGCAAAGTGAGTAAAGCTTATTTAGGAAAGCACAAGGTTGGGGAGAGGGGGCCGCGGAGGCAACACACTACTGAAGAGAAGACCAAGAACTCTGCCAGGGGCTCAGAAGGCAGCAGAAATCTCTATCTGTAAGAGGCTCCTCCTGGCCCCCCATGGAACCCGCAGGTTCCCCAGAGGCAGCTTCCTGTCCCCTGCAGGAGAACAGGAGGAAATGTTGTCCTAGATTACTGGGGATGGACCAAGTCAGGATAGAACTCAAAAACTAGCAGTGCAAAGCGAGTCCTTGAGAACCATCCCCTCCCCTCAGCCCCCCAGCTGCCTGCCTTTCAGCTGGGGGGTAAACAGAAGTGGGGACATATCTGGATTAAGAACCCAGAGCAGTAAATGTTCCCTTCCAGATTGTGCAGGGTGTTAGACCCTGGTTCAGTTGTCTCTCTCTTTATTAAAAATTCCACACTTCCCTCCCATGCGCCATCCCCTCTGGCCCCTCTGGAATCTCTTCCCTGCCTCCTCTCTCCTCTCCTTCCATCAGAAAGTTTGGTGGAAAGAGATGGCCACACCCTTGCGGTAACACAGCCAGCTGCCTCCAAGCTGGGAAGCCCCCAGGCCTCTCTCAACAGAGGGAATGCTTACCTCTCTCACACAGACACACACACACAAGTGCATACTGACACAAACAGAAAAACACAGGCATACAGAAGAGGGGTTCACTGTCACACCCAACATACACACAACACACAGACAGGAATATAGAGACATACACTCCAAGATAGACACAAAAACACAGATAAACCCACAGATCCAAATACAAAGCATTAAACACATAAGACCACAAACACACTCAAAGACAAACACAAAGCACAGAAAGAAGCATCCAATGTGTTAGCCCAAAAAAACACCCACAGGCACAAAGACATCTAAACCCATAAACAGAAGACTCGAAACAAACTCACGGGGATGCAGATGGACAGGCGCAAATATAACACAAATTAGAGCACACACGGCCAACAGCAGCAAGAACAACATGATACACAGAGGCCACCACTCAGGCTCACAGACATACCCTCAGGAGCTACGACAGGCACACACAGGGCTGTCAACGCAGATGTCTTGGGAGAGCAAGAGGGCGGAAGGAGGCTGGTTCTTACAAAACTGGACCTTGGTCAGTTGCTCCCAAAACACAGACAAGGCCCAGCCAGGCTCTTTCAGAACTCCTTGGCATCCTCTTTCTTGTTTTGGTCCTTAAATTCCTCTCCACCCCACCACCTTGGCCATTTTCACCCTGAACACCCGGGTGACCCCAACAGCACGATCTGCGTCACAGCTAAAGGCGGGAGGGCAGGGAGTGCTGCTGAGGTGGGGGTGGGGGGGTCTCTCTTGTGTCCCCTCCTGTTGGTTTTCCTCCCCAATGAGGACAGTACAAAAGAGGGGCTCAAGAAGTTAGGGTTTCCCTGCCACTCCCAGCTCCAGATGGAGCTCACATGTGGTAAACCCACACTGGGACATTGTCCCTGGACATACTTCAGTGGCTACAGACAGAGGCTGAAAATCAAGGTCAAATCTTTCCAGAAACCCCAGGGCTAAACTGCCCTCCAAACAGCCCCTGATCCTGCCTGAACTTAAATTCCCAGGCGCACTCACTAGCATCTTCCTGCCTTCCCAGCCACAGACCAGCTTAGCCTGACTGATTAATAGGGAGAGATCTGCAACTCATATTTAGCACTCAACTGGAGGGATTCACAGGTAAGAATTCTATTTTAAAAAATAAAGTGCCCACCAGTACCTGCATCCAATGATAGGCTAACAAAATTTTTCTGTGCAGTTAGTTCTGAAACAGTAAACTAAGAAATGAACTCAAAAACCAAACCCAGATTCACTAATCTTGAAACATCCACCAAAATAGCACCAAACTTTTAAACCATGCTCGCTTCCTGGAAAATAAAAATATCAATTGTCTTTTTAAACCTCTATAGTATTTTGTCAATATTTTTTTATTACAGCAGAGAATGTATAAATATTTTATTATAAACCAAAGGCCTAAAATAAACAGTTTAGTAAATAGTTATTACATTACAAGGAAAAACATCTGTGGAAACTGCTTTCCATGTAATTATTCTTGCTATTTTACATTAGCGCTCAACGTGAATTTCTTTGGCACTAATGTTTCACTTGTTCTAAATCTTCCTCCTTGTTGCTATTATTAAAATCTTAAAAAGGTGCCAAATCTTAAATGAAGAAAAAAAAATGATTCACTAGAAATTATTCATATCACAGTGAGCCACTACTAAACCTGGCAGGGGTGCAGTATTTTCGGTGAAATTAACATAAAATATACAACTGCAAATTATCCAGGAAATAGCTATGTTCTTTACGGCATGCTTTTACATTGGGAAAAAAAAATGTTCTTCTTCATCTCGCACAAAGCCGCAAACAGCTCCATTCCGGCAAGTTTTAAAGGGAAAGTAATAGATTTGTCAAAGGAGCACGGGCTTTGAAAACAGACTAACAAATAGCTCAGGGGTGGATCAGCCTTAGGTAATTACCAGAGACAACGTCAGCCCTGGACAGCCGGAGTAGATAGAGAAGGCAAGAAAAACAACAGCCCGCAGCTTCCTTCCCCCTCGATTCCAGAGAATGTATTTCCTCTCGAAGGCCTCAGCCCTTACTCCTAAACACAAGAAAAACTGTAACACCATGTAAAATGCAAATCTTGCTGTAAATATTTTATAAAATTGTTGCATACATCCCAAAAGCTATAGGTCTTAATTGAGAGCAGGCGATTTTTCTAGTCAATATATGGAAATGGAAAATGCTAATTTGTGTTTTTCTACTTATGAAAAACCCTGGAGAACAGCAAGCCACAAATGCACTCACTTTAATATTATAAATATAATTTGGCTCCCTCTCTACCATCCCCACAGCCCTGGCTTTTATCTCCCCGTGGCTGCAGGAGAGAGACAGAGAATCGCTTTCACAGCATCAGCCCGGGAAGGTGGCCTTGCATGCTGTGCAGAGGAGGGGGATGTCAGGCACAGGGCTGTGTGCTTCCCCACTCCCACCTCTTCACCCCCTAGGGATTGGCAGGCAGGGATGGAATATGGCAGGGCCACACGCCAGGAAGCACAGCCCAGCCATTCTGTTCCAGCAAGGGGCAGAAGCAAGAAGGATGCCTGGGGTTTCGGCCACGTGGCTCCTCTCTGCCCTGTTGGGTCGGCTTGGGCTTCGGGCTCCATCCAACCACCTAAGAGCTCTCTCTGGGCATCGAGAGATCTCTCTGAAGGTCAGCCCTGGAGCAGCTGTGATGAACAGGAGCAGCTGGCAAGATGGCTGGAGCACTCCAAGTTGGGAGTGTCTGTTTCCAAACCACAAAAAGAGTAACGCCACTGCCAATGTTCCCCAAGAGCCTGCTCCTCTGGCCAGGGGAAGATCAGCCCACAGCCCAGGCCTCACAATGCACCTCCCAGTGGGAACCTGGGGGAGGAGGGTCTCCTACCTAGAGCTATCCTATCTACTCCAGTTGCCACTAGCCACATGTGACTACTGAGCAACTGAAATGGGGTGGGTCTACCCTGAGACGTGCTGTCAGTCCAAAATACACACCATATTGTTAAGGTTTAGTACGATAAAAGAATGTTAAAAAAGTCTCATTCATAATTTTTAAGTTGATTATATGGTACCATCATAATATTTTGGATATATTGGGTTAAACAAAAAGTATACTCTTTAATTTCACCGGTTTCCTTTTAATTTTTTTTTAAATGTGGCTAGTAGAAAATTTGAAATTGCACTTGTGGCTCGAATCCTATTTCCTTTGGACAGCCTGCTGTAGAGGATGCTCCAGTCTGCCGTGTGCAAGCCTGCCTGGTGTCCATGCATGTCGGTGCCGTTCTCTTAGGTACCGTGTAAATGGGAGGCCCCCAACATTATGATTCTAGAGCTCTGCAGTTCTCAGAGTTTGGGATTCTGTGATTCCAACAATCTGCAAGTCTACAGCTCTAAGAGGGCACAATACTCAGAGATTATATTACTATTGGTTCTCTGCATTTAACACAGACTTTACAAATACCATTATGAAGAGGGCAGGACCACAGCCCTGGCCTTGTTCATTCCTCAGTCAAAAAGGGCTGGAATATTTGGTAATCACAGCTACCTTCCCCGCATCCTCTCCTAAACCCAAACATAGCTCAACCCTCCCTACGGCAGCCTCCTGGGTGACTCCCACCCTCCCTTACTCTCCCCTGCCCACAATGCAGAACAGGTCCTCATGGGGAGAGCTTGTCAATCACACACAACCTCCTTCCCTGGGTAGTATCTGCTTCCTGGAAACTGTTCCTCAACTTCTCCTCACATGTGTGTATTTGAAGAAAACAGCCAGAAAGAAGACAGGAGTGGTGAGAAGGACACATTTAGAGTTAGGTAGCCTGACTATACCTCCAGGCTGTGCAACTTTCTAGCTGTGAGAGCTTAGGTGTGTTACTGAACCTCTCCTTGCCTCCATTTCCTCATCTGTCACATGGGAACAATAACTCCTACTTTATAAAACTTTGAGGGAAAACTGCAATAATGCACGTAAGGTGCCTGGCCACAGCACACACTGCATAAACAGTGGCTCTTATTCCTTTTACCATCATTATCATTTTTGTCATTCCAGAGCTGGCACTTGGAGCATCATTCCTGGGGGCAGAAGCAGTGAAGGGAAACAGGTGTCAGGCCAGAGTGAAAACCTGTGTAGAGGAGAAAGGGGGCTGCCTGGAGATTTGTGGGCCCTCGCTGCTGACAGACCCCAGCTGGCTGGTGAGCACGCGCACTGGGGACAAAACTGGGTAGGGCATTCCACTGTACAGGAAACTGAGCAAGGGAGGCCATCACGCCAAAAGGCCCAGGCCTGGCCCTGCAATCCTGGCTGTGCAGAGACACCTGAAAGTCCAAGGTAAGAGCTGTCTGCTGAAGAAACTCACTGCTTCACTTCCACATGCTTTTGGAAATATCCAGGGAAAAACTGAAGTGGTCGGGGGTGATGTTAGGACTGGATGCAGATGGTTTATAACTACTGCAGCACTGTAAATGGTTGCTTCTAAAGGGTCTGAAAGTATTAGGCTGAACCACATGAAAATGTCATTTTGGTAGGTTCAAAACTGGATGCTCAACTTACTATCTTTAACACCTGAAAGTGGGGTGACTATTGGCTGGAATGAAAGGCTACATGGTTTCGAAGAAAGCCCCAGTTTCTGAACTGTGAGTTGGAGGCCACACTTCACACCAGGCACCCCGGGCTCAGCAGAAATCCCTCCCTAACTGTACACATGTGTGTGCACACACATAGACACACACAGACATGCACACAACATGCTTGTCTGCCTTTGAAATCGCTTACAGGTTGGAAGTAAATTAAAAACCAAGAAAGAAGGGAGGGAAAAGACACAGACCCATCTAGGCTTGTGCAATGGCAAATTTCCATGTTCCAAAGAAAAAGGCTAGGTTACTTGGCAGCCCTTAAAACTCAAGGGAAACCTACCCTGCACACTCACCCCACTGCAATCAGTATACAACAATCTGCGCCCAAGTGAAGCTCATTGATGTAAAAGGCTCCAGTCCCTCAGTGTTCCCTGGGACTGTGCTGAGCACTTGACCATAGATTCCTTAATCCCCTCATTTCACAAATGTATAAACCAAGACTCAGAGAGGTTAAGGAACCTGCAGAAGGTCACACAGCAAGTGAGTGGCAGAGCCGGATCCCAAGACCCCAGAGCCAGGATTCATAGACAACATGGAACACAGATGGGCTTAGCAGCACTGTGAATAACAGCCCAAATCCAGGTACAACCCAAGCACCCAGCAACAGTAAAATGCACATTTTCCCATATTCACACAGTGCAACAAACACACAGCAATACAAAGGAACACACTGCTGATACACACACAACACGGATGGATCTCACCAACTAAATGTAGAGCCAAAGAAGCCAGACACAAGGACCACAGGATGCATGGGGCGATTCAACAGAAATGACACTCAGAAACAGGCAAAACTCATCCACCGTGGAAGACGTCAGAACAGTGATTGCCTTTGGTAGGGGTACAGGGGTATCAGCTAGAAGGAAGCCTGAAGAAAATTACCGGTGAGGAGGAAGTGCTCAATTTGTTGATGTGGGTGCTGGTTACACAGGTGTACACACTTGTAAAACTGTATCACGCAATACCATAAGATCTGAGCCCTTCACTGTATGTAAGTTAAGCCTCAATTAAAAGGGGCAAGAGGCCGGGCGTGGTGGCTCACTCCTGTAATCCCAGCACTTTGGGAGGCTGAGGCACTTGAGGTCAGGAGTTTGAGACCAGCCTGGCCAACATGGTGAAACCCTGTCTCTACCAAAAATACAAAAATCAGCCAGACATGGTGGTGCATGCCTGTAATCCCAGCTACTCAGGAGGCTGAGGCAGAAGAGCGGCTTGAACCCAGGAGGTGGATCTCAGCTCAGTGCAGTGAGCTGAGATCGCGCCACAGCACTCCAGCCTGGGCGACAGAGCAAGACTCTGTCCCTAAAAAATAATAAATAAAAATTAAAAAAATAAAATAAAAGGGGGCAGATCCTCCCAAGTTATGGAGGCAGCAAGGACCCTCACTCGGGCAGCTCTCCCCACAGGATGCGATGAATTCGTGCAGCCCTGCAGGAAGACACCCCAAAGCCAAGCCAGCAGAAACAAGAGTCCCCTAACCAGCCTCACAATTCTAAACTCAGGGTCAGATAGACACAATTCTGGGCAACTTCTCGGTCTCAGTCTTCCATGGCAAAAAGTGACAGGAAGGGCCCCCACAGCAGGGGAGATGAGGCCCAGCAGGGAACCATGCGCCATGGCCTCCCCTCTCTCGTGGGGAGCAGGAAGGAGCCGGCCGACGTTTATTACCCGCCAGCGGCAAGATTGACTGCAGCCCTCCTCTGCCCACACTGCGCCATTAGCTCGTAATGGCCCCGAAGGCTCCCTCGGCCACAGACCCAGGCCGGAGTGAGTGCTCCGGCTCCGACACCAAAGATACTAATGACTACCACATTGCCGAAATAAATCACCGTCGCTCAGGAGGGGCTCCGGCCCGGCCGGCGGCCTCCAAACTTCATTTCACGAATTTCCCCTTAACACTCAGCTGCCTTACTGAGGGGGTTCTCGGGTGGATGCATCATCGGAGAATTTCTCTGATATGATGTTTATAAAGAAGGAGAAAAAAGAAAAAATGGGGACTATTAATCTCTGCAACTCCACAGGAGTCCACATTGGTGGGAATTTGGAGGTTGGAACAAAATCCTTGTCTGAGACTGGACAAGGCATTCAAGGATTCGGAAGGGCCCATGTGCTGACGACGGACTAAAAGGGTCTCCTAGAGAACCCGGCTCCCTCTAGGTAGATGCTCCAAATTGGGGACAATGTGGCATGGTGGTGAGGCACACGGGTTCCACAGCCATACCACGCGGGTTCCCATCCTGGCTCTGACATCCGCTGGCTGTGTCACCTTGGGCAGGTCACTTCACCTCTGTATTCCTCAATTTCCCCATCTACAAATGGAGAGAATAGGGGTATCCCTTTGGGGCTGATGGGAGAATTAAGTGTTTAGAACAGGGCCTGGCATATAAGTGCTATACACTCATTTGGGATCAATATTACTGTTGTTATTATCGTGTTAAAACTCTGAAACTTCCCACAGGAACGGAACCTGGTTAACATTGTGAAATGCTCCTTACTCCAATTCAGCCCTGGTATTGTTGAAGTGTGGATCCCAGAAGGGGAGTGACTTGTTCAAGGTCACAAGGCACATGGTGGGGACAGGCTGGAGTCCAGGCTGTGGCTCGTTCACATAAAAGGCAGCCCTCTCTGTAAACATGCAACGTCAATGACACAGGGGTCTGCGCTGCACAGCAAGTGAGCCAGGGAGAGCTGCAAGCTTCTCTCTGGGCTCAGTCAGCCTGTGGTCCCCCCTTGGCTTTGGGACCTGCAGGCGGTGCTCAGGAACACAGCCGCAGCTGGAGAGCATCCTCCCTGCCTGTCTTCCTAGAGGAAGCAGGAGCCAGGGCGGAGGAAACAGATGGGCAGCCTCAGGCAGGGGCTTGTTCCTCAAGACCCTGAGTCCTCCTCTTCTCCCTCCTTGACACACAACCTTCATGTCTCTAGGTGATCTGGAGTCTTTCCTATAAACCTCAGCTTTGGCTGTGGAGACTTGTTCCAGCTCTGACTTAACTCTGGTCCCAGCACTGGGTCTTGCATACAGTTGGTGCTCAATTATTGTTTGGGTGTCATTACATCTCTGAGCCATAAAGCTATGCCAGCCTAGGCTCCCCGGCTTCCTGTCCTGGACCAGAGATGCTCTGTTCTGAATCTGACTCCCTGGAAGCCCCGAAATAACAGAGAGGGGCTAGAGTCCAGTTCATCACTGCCTCCGCCAGGAAGGCCTCCTGACTTCTTCAGCACTCCCTGATGGCTGTTCTGACAACCAGTCCTCCCCAAGCTGCTCATGGCCTAATTGCCCACACCCTCAGTTTTGCTGCCAGCCCCTGGAAGGCAGGGTGTGAGGAGGCCCTCCTCATCTTTTCTGCACTCGAAGAGTTTCACCGTAGAAGATGTCCACAGCCTTGACAGCCCAGGCTGAGGGTGGGGGTGAAGGTCAGGAGGGGCTGCACAGAACCAGGTCAGCTGGCAGGTCATGAAGGTGTCCATAGACCAGGGCACACTCAGCGAGTTTCGGGTGGGGGGCAGTTTCAGCAGATTCCTCCAGGTAGCCTAATGTGGGAGCAGAAGTGTAAAACCCGGCAGCCCCATCCAAGTGCCTTCTGCCCAGGAAAACAAGTGCCTGGGCTCCAGCCGCAGGCCCAGGGCACAGGCTGGGTGTGGACCAAATTCCTTCTCAGCAGCCATGCGTTTCCAGCATGCAGGAATTGCTCCTGCCGATTCAAAACCAGGTCAGAGAAAACCGGCTCTTGTTTCCGGCAGGGGTGAGTGTTCCTCCCAGGGAAGGGCTCCGCAAAAGTCTCCAAACCGAGCACAAGAGACAAGTGGGAACCAAGCCTCATTCCCTCGGTGGCCCCGCGGCTGCCAAAATTACTGACAAACTGACCTACAAAGAGAGTTTCTATTTTGTGAGCAAACCCCAAAGGTTAACAGCGGAGCTGCCGGCGGGCGATCAGCACCGAGGAGCGGAAGCTTCCCCAGCAGCGCCCGCGTGGAGCCCTGGCACCTCGGTTTCGCAGAGAAACGTGTCCCTGAAATGCCAAGGAGAAAGGGAGGATGGGAGGAGGAGGTTCCGAAACACTGGTGCGAGAAAAGGGTCTGGATGGGAGGATACCAGCCCATCACCAAGCAGCCTCTCTGTCCCAAAGTTCTGGATCACTGTCACTATCTGGGGCCTGCTGCAGTGATCTCTGGCAGGGCCGCCAGGGACCACAATGTAAATGGTGTCCCCTAGAGTTGTGCAGTAGACAACCTGCACAACCATATCCTGCAGGCCTGTGTCCTGTGGGGTTCCTGTCACTCAAAGAATCTTGCCTCCACACAGCACTGGCTTCAAGGACGTGTAATACATGCAGTCACACAGGTTCCTGAATTTAGAAAAGCCCAGCATATGGTTTTATACCCTACTGTCACTGTCTAGATTTTTTTTTTCTTCAGACGAAGTCTCACTCTTGTCCCCCCGGCTGGAGTGCAGTGGTGTGATCTCAGCTTGCTGCGACCTCCGCCTCCCGGGTTCAAGTGATTCTCCTGCCTCAGCCTCCAGAGTAGCTGGGATTACAGGCGCCCGCCACCACGCCCAGCTAATTTTTGTGTTTTTAGTAGAGACGCGGTTTCACCATGTTGGCCAGGCTGGTCTCGAACTCCTGATCTCAGGTGATCCGCCCACCTCGGCCTCCCAAAGTCCTGGGATTATGGGTGTAAGCCACCATGCCCGGCCTAGAAATTCTTAATAATTTTCTGACATACAGCCCACATTTTCATTTGGCATCAGGTCCCACAAATTATTCA
The DNA here is from genome assembly GCF_000001405.40 of Homo sapiens. Lineage (NCBI taxonomy): Eukaryota > Metazoa > Chordata > Mammalia > Primates > Hominidae > Homo > Homo sapiens. Next base: position 49,603,781 of record NC_000016.10, read on the forward strand.
GCTGATCTTTCCTCCATGTCTGAGAGCACCAGAGCCATGCCTGAATAATTTATACCAAAAGTAAGAAAATAGCCTCCCTCCTTCCTCATCCTCCAAGCAGTCCCCTTGTGGCTTGCCAGGAGCAGGGGTAGGGCTTGGAGAGCCCTGGGGACAGGCAAGGGCACAAGGATGCCAGAAATCTCCAAAGCCAAGCCCTGATACAGGGAGAAGCTTTTGATAGCAGGAACCCATTTGAGACGAAAGGCCCTTGGGTGTTCTCGTACGATACCGGTGTCTGAGCTGCAAGAACAGCCCCTGGTTGTGGCAGTGGATGAGCAACAGAAAGCAGGCCAGATAATATGCACAAGCAGGCGGCAAACAGGGTCACCATCAGCACCCCGCTGGCGGGCACCCGGGCCCCTCACCACTGTCTCTCAACCCAGGCCTCTCAAAGCACCCACGGCCACTGACATTTCATCACATCTGACCAGCCACCTGTGAGAGAGTGCCCTCACCATTGGGGTCACAGAGGGCTGAAGACTGGCCACAGCCACCCTCCAGGACAGGCCTGACCCACACCTCCCCTAGCCCTGGTAGTGGCACAGTGGTCCAGGACAGAGCTTTCCAGTGAAAACTTCAAAGGACAGAACAGAGCAAGGCGTCACCCAACCCCATCTAGTTGGCCCACGGGCACCTGCCTTGAACACGCTGCCACACTGCAGTTTGAGAACCAGTGATCTAGTGGCCTCGTTTCTAGTCTCCATCAATATTAAATAGTTGCATCACCTCAGCAGGGTTCCTAAACCTCACTCTATTTCTGTATCCATAAAAGGGGCATCCTGGGTTTGTGCAAGAGCTCAGCTTTTTTGAGGGATGCACAATCACGGTCAGTGCAATCCCTGCTCCCTCTGCCCCTGTCCCAACTTCCAGTCTGGCCATCTGGTCATGCAACCTGAGATCCTTCTCCCATCCTCAAGGCTCAGAATTTTGCATTGCTCTGCCCCTGTGTCTGACCACCAAACACCAAGAAGCCTGCTGCATCCACCCCATTCCTGGGCTGCCACGACCACTGTCCCTACTGGTGTGATGAAAGCCGGACACTGTCCCCTCCAGAACCCAGACTGTCCACATCACCAGATCCTGGGAGGGCAGAATCAGAATGCAAAGGAACAGTTGAAAGAAAAATAAATCACACCCCAGAGGAAAGGGGGAAATGTATTACCACTTTCAACTTTTGCCTCGGATGCTGCCTGGCTTAATGTATTGGCTTCCATGCCCATAACAGCCCACTCTTCTCCTCTTGCCAAGGGTATTGAGGGTTCTAGAAATAGTCCCGGCCCTGGGTCTGGGCCACTGGGTCCCAAAGTCCCAGCTCCCAGGTTCCCACCGAGCTCCAGGTCTCACCACCAGCAGATGTAGTATCGACCAGAATTTCCCAGACTTCCCTGGAGATACAAATCCTGGGGGTGGAGGATGCTTGTTGGCTACCCAGATTTCCAGGCCTCCTCACACCCAAGTTCCATCTCTTCTCTCGTTCATTAAATACTTATTGAATGAGATGGAACTTGGGCGGGTTTGCATCCATCCCAGCCTCTGGCCAGCTGTGCAACCTCGGGAAAGTGTCTGTCCCTCTCAAAGCCTCAGCTTCCTGAAAAGTAAAATGGACCACTTAGTCGTGAAGCTTCCAGCTTTTTCTTGGCTTCAACAGAGCAGCAAGCCCCTTCTAGACACTGCTCCAAACAAAGAGAGAACTCCAACTCAGCCTTCTAAAAGAGAACCAAGCCCATCCCACCTCCTTCCATTCCCCAGAACAGACCCTCAGGCCCCCTTCTGAGCGACAGCAGACACTCCCTCGGGAGAATTAAAATACTATTTTTCAATAAATGAAGCCCCGGCCCTGCACCAGCCCTGGAAGACTGTGAGCTGGGCGAGGTGGCTTCCTGCATGTGCCTCACTTATTAAGACATTGCCACTCTGAAGAGTGGAGTCATTCCCAAGGCCCCCGTTGTCACTGGCAGGCAGCGGTTGACTGACAAGTGTCAGTTGCAGCTTGCTGAGCAGCAGAGGCCAATAGACTGTGAAACAAGGAGCAGATGTGCTAATGACAAAACTTTCCAAACTGAAAACACAAGGAGCAGATTCCCGGGAAAGGTGTTTCCCCAACCTCTACCTGGTGATGGGACGAATGAGAAAAACACTAGCCAAACACAGAGCTCAAAGTCATCAAGACTTCGTAATGAGAATGCAACAGGGGCTGAGCAGAAAGAGGGAAGGGCCGCTGTCACAGCCGCGTGCACCTGCAGCCAGCGCCATTGTCATAGCAGCTCTGAGGATGTAACAAGAAGCAAGCAACTGTCATCAAACTGTAAACAGAGTGAAAGCTGCAGAAGGACATGTAGGAGTCACTTTCCTATGGGAAAGTCCCATCCTTTGGAGTTAGAGCAAAATAAAGTCCTCTCTTAGACGCTCTCCTGTGCAGTAAGAAGAAACATCTGTAATGCCCACCGACAGCAGAAGGGGCCTGGCATGAGGGTATGTGACTGGGAAGACACACGCTGGACCTAGAGAAGCCAGCTTAAGAGCGAGGAAATGGTGTCATGCCAAGCCCATGGTTAGAATTCAGTAACACTTGCTGAGGAGTGGAGGGACAGAAAGAGTAGAAAATAGGGTAACCAGCAAAGTTGATATGCAGAATGTTTCAACAACTGGTGCACCAGGGTCCCCACCAACCTGAATTATCCCAGGGGGTGATGTGGTAGCCCTGATGGACTGGGGGTTATCCCCTCAAGTGCTGGGGATGCCCAGGGGGCTCAGGTCCCAGAGGGAGAACCTGTGGATAGGGGTCTCAGGGCAGAAACTATTTGCTAGGTGGTTAGGAAGCACATGAATGTTTTATCAAACAGTACAGTGGTACTGGTGCATACCAGCTAAGGTGTCCTGACACAGGTGCCTTGGTGAACAGTGATCACAGGGGCCCTGGGATGGGTGAGAACACAGCGAGGAACATTCTAACTATCTTTTCACTTATATGTTCCTTTAACTGACTGAGTAATGCTCCTGCCATCTCTGAAACAAGGCCTCCCAAGTCTCCGAGCAGAGAAGTGGGGACCATGCAAGCCGTGTGAAGGCCATTGGAACCAGAGCAGAGCCCACCGGGTGGGGGTCTGCAGGGAGAGGAGGTCACCAGGAGAAAGAAATGAGCTGCCCCAGGAGCAGGAGACAGAGCCAGATGTCTGAACCCAGATTCTGATCCTGATGCTGCAGAAAGAAGCCCCAAAATGTTTTATGGTGAAACGTTAAATGTTTTGGATTTTTTTTTTTTTTTTTGTAAAACAGATCTTGACAGTTGAGAGAGTCAGAGTCCTTCATTCACACAGGTGACTACTGAGTTGTTGTTTTGTTTTTCCTTTAAGGAAGCAGGCCTTATGATAAACCCTTCATGAAAACCCCACTCAGGATAGCATTTTTTGTGGTCCTTGCATAGTGAAAGGTGCCTTTTGTGGCTCACTGCAGCCCTGCATAACAGGCCACAGAATTCAGAGTTCATAAACATAAGAAGATTAACTAAGCCCAGCATGGACTGAGGACCTCAACTTCAGCATCTTTTAAGGATTCATGTTATCAGTAGAAATGACTACCTTTTTCCCAAAGCTATGGGTTCTTTACTGTGTATGTTGATGTTTGATGGGAATCTAATCCTAAGCCAGATTCTGGGGGCAGATCACCAAAACTGAAGAAGCTGGGTTTGTGTCACAGAGCTTCTTGATTTCAATCAGCCCCTGCAGCTTTAAAAGAGCAGCCCACGGAATCCTCTTCCCAAAGTGAAAGGGCTGGATAATGGGGTTGTTTTAGTCATATGAAAGTAAGGATCATTCTGTATCTTAATAGGCCCATAATTAATTCACACATTCAACTGTTAAGTCCAGAAATATGTTCATGTTGACAATTTGCATTTGATGCTTCAAAAACAATCTGGCATGTTTTTATTTGCCTCGAAATCTCAGGAACATCCACCCCTTTCCATTATCCATCCAAATGCTACAATTCCACAACAGCTTCCTAAGGCCCCACCTGTGGGAATGCGGGGAGGGGGCTCAAGATGCCCAGTCAGGAGAAGTGGTGTTAGTGCGAGAGCTGTCCTCCTTTGAAGGACAAGACCACCATATGGCCAGTGGAATTTCCGTCTGCCCCTCCCAACTCCCATGACAACTTTTAGCCCTAGGCATCAATGACTGGAGATCATTCTACCACCCCATATCTTCAACACTGGATCAGTGATTTTCCCCTCAACCCCCAAGCACCAGTTATGCCCCACCTTTGCCCAGCTCCTGGTCTACACTATGAGTGCACCCATCTGATATGTCAGGTGGGACCCCACCCCAGCCTGTCTACCTCATCAGCTCCTAGGAGGATAAAACCAGAGTGAGAAGGACCATCGGAGGGAAGAATATAAAAAGCAATGCTGGCACAGGAACAAGGGATCGTTAGTATCAACGTTTACTGCTAGGCTTGATTTACAACTGCCACCAACAGGCGAGTCAGAAGAGGAGGGGAGGGGGAAGGAGGAGGGGCCTGAGCTCAAGCCCTCAAACTCTTAGCTCCAATTTCCACACCCTGAGTCCTACAAGCTAGCACAGAAGTTGCTGTGGAATAAAACAATGTTTATGGAGGTTCTCAGTTGCCTGTGCTGCTTCCAGATCACTCCCACAGATGTACTATTCCCTATTCCTCTGTCGAAGTACAACTAAAACCCTGAACATTATATATGAAAGAAACAGAAGAAGATTCAGAAAGGCAGAGAGAAGAAGCCAGACCAGCCAGGGACCCAAGGAGTGACAAAGCGGTGAGGATCCTGGGTTTTCTTTTTGCTTCATATATCCCAGACTAGGACCTGACAAAACTGGCAACCCAGAAACACCAACAAGGATTTTGCTTTAAGCCTTAACCAAACCCCACTCTTTCTAGCCAAAGGACCAGGAAAGATTTTTGCCTGGCAAAACAGAAAACGTTTAGACAATAACAGCTCTGCTCCAGGCAAACCCCACAGAAGAAAACTATGACCCCACCACCATCCACTCCAGCAAAGGCTGAATGGAGATCTGAGACTGCCGTGCTGGCAAGGCTTATATAATGAGGCACTCACCGCCCGCTCTTCCCATCCCTGTTAATGTGGCATCAGAGAAACCCTAGCAGGGAGCCAAGACAGTCATACTTGCTGGGCAGTAACAAGGCCTTTCCCCATGGTGTCAGTAGAGACCACATGGGGAGCCTGGACTCCCCTCCTACCTAACAGTAACAAGTGCCCTAACCCATCCTCCTGGTATAGTGGAGACCATGTGGAGAGCAGAAATGATGCATTCCTACCACGACTGCTCAGAGAGGTATGAGTGGAGACCTAGGGAGGAAACGAGCCTGGAATTCTACCCACACCTGGCAGTAGCAAGATGGCATCTGCACCCCTTCTGCACTGGAGTGGGGTCAAAGGAAGCCAGCTAAAACAGAGGGTTTAAATAAGATCCACAGTGTCATTATGTAATACATAAAGATTTCAATCAAAAATCATCTATCCTACCAAGAAACAAGATCTCAAATTCAATGGCAAAAAAGTCAATCAATATATGCCAAAATCAAAATGACAGAGATGTTGGAATTATCTAATGGGGAGTTTAAAGGAGGCATCATAGAATTACGTCAATAAACAATTATGATCATCCTTGAAACAAGTGGAAAAAAAAAGAAGTCCAGCAAAGACCTAGATAGTTTTGACAAAGAAATAGGAGATACAAGGAGGCACTAAATGGAAATTTTAGAAATGGATAAAGGAGAAAATCTTAAAACCCAATGAATAGGCCTAACAGCAGAAGAGAGAAGAGAAAAAAAGAATCAGTGAAATAGGAGATAGAATAATAAAAATCACCCAGAGTTTCAGGGGCCAGTGGGACTATAACATTTTTGTGATTCAAGTCCCAGAAGGAGATAAAAAAAAAAGAGGGCAGGATTGAAAATGTACTCAAAAGAGTGATGGCTGAAAAATTCCCAAATTTGGCAAGAGATGTAGATGTATTCGAGAAGCTGAGTGAAACTCAAAAGGAATAAACACAAGGAAATCCACACCAAGACAAATCATATTCCAACTCCTGAAAACTCCAGGACAGGAAAAAATCTTGAAAGCAGCTGGAGAAAAAATGACACCTTATACACAGTGAAAAAATAATTCAAATGACAGCAGATTTCTCATTAGAAACCATGGAGGCAAGAAGGAAGTGGCAGAGCATTTTTCAACTGCTGAATAAAAAAGAACTGTCAATCCAGAGTTCTTCTACATCCAGTGAAAATGACCTTCAAGAATCAAGGGAAAATTGAGATACTCTCAGATAAAAGAAAACTAAGAGAATGCGTCACCAGCAGAATCACCCTAAAAAGAATGGTTAAAGGAAGTTTTCTAAACAGAGAGGAAATGATTGGAACATTAGGTAGTAAGAAAGAACATGGTAAGGAAATTTTACTGTAGATACCACTAATTCCCCTTCTCTTCTTGAGTTTTCTAAATTATGTTTGATGTCTAATGTAAAATGTTAACACTGTCTGATGTAGTACTAAATATATGCAGAAGAAATAGTTAAGACAGTCATAAGTAGGGAAGAGTAAAGGGACCTACGGGAGGTAACTTTTCTACATTTCACTTGAACTGGTAAGATTATGACACCAGTAGTCTTTGATAAGTTATGTGTATATAATATAATACCTACAGTAATCATGATAAAAAGCTGTATCAAGAAATGAAAACACTACAGATAAACCAAAATAAAATTCTTAAAAATGTTCAAGTAAGTCACAGAAAGGAAAAAAGTAAACCACAAATGAAAAACAGAAAATAAAATATAAAATGGCAGACTGAAGCTCTCACATATCATTAACAACATTAAATATAAATAACCTAACTATACTAATTAAAAGATGAAGATTGGCAGACTGGAAGGAAAATGACTCACCTATGTGCTGTCTACAAAAAACTCACTTAAAATATAACAATACTGGCAGGTTGAAAGTAAAAGAATGTAAAAGGATATATCTTGCAAACATTCATTGAAAGAAAGCAAAAAGGCTATATTAATATTATATAATGAAGGCTTCAGAACAAAAAATTAGCAAGAAAGAAAAGAACATTAAACAATGATAAAGGGGTCAATCTACCAAGAAAATCTTAAATATGTATGCACCAAACAACAGAGCTGCAAAATATGCTAAGCAAAAGCTAATAGAGCTGACAGAAGAAATAGACATATCCACAATTATAGTAGGAAACTTCAGAACCTTTCTCTCAATGACTGATAGGACAACTACGCAGAAAATCAGAAAAGATACAGAAGAACTCAAAATCATTGACCAACAGGATCTAATAGACATTTATACAACACTCCACCCAACAATAACAGAATGCACATTTTTTCAAATGCGTAGAGAACAAATACCAAGACAGACCATATCATGGGTCATAAAACAAATGTCAACATATTTAAAATAACTGAAATCATACATAGTGTTTTTTCCTATCACAATGGAACCAAACTAGAAATTAATAGCAGAAAGGCAGGAAAGCCTCCAAACAATAGAAACTATACGACGTACCTCTAAATAATCATGGATCAAAGAGGAAGCTCATGGGAATTTTTTAATACACTGAACTGAACAAAAAAATAAACTACAACATGTCAAAATTCGTGGGACACAGCTAAGTAAAGGCTAAGAGGGAAATGTATAGCAATAAATGCTTAATAAAGAGAAAAAGTCTCAAATCATTAATTAAGCTTCCACCTCAAAGACCTAGAAAAAGATGAAGATAAACATAGAACAAGCAGAATGCAGAAAATAATAAGGAAAAGATCAGAAACCCTGAAACAGAAAACAGTAAAACAAAATTGAAAATCAATTAAACAAACAGGTGGTGTTTTAAAAGATTGATAAAATTGACAATTCTTTTAAGAAAACTAACAAAAAAAGAGAGAAGACACAGATTACCAATATCAAGAATGAAACTGAGGATATCACTACAGACACTACAGACATCAAAAGAATAATAAGGGAATAATACTATGAAAAACTCTACATACATAAATTTGATAAATTAGATGAAATGATCTGATTTCTCAAAAAATACAAACTACCAGAATACACATAATAAGAAATAGATATTTTGAATAGTCCTATTCTATTAAGGAAATGGAATTCATAATTTAAAACTCCCTGTAAAGAAATCCCCAGACCCAGGTGTTTTACTGGATAAATCTAACAAATGTTTAAAGAAGAATCAACACCAATTCTACATAACTTCTTTTGGAAAACAGAAGAGGAAAGGGCACTTCCCAGTTTATTTCAGTAAATTAATATTGCCCTATATTAAAACCCGGTCAAAGACAGGACAAGAATAAAACTTCAGACCAATATCCCTCATAAACACAGATACAAAAATCCCTGACGAAGTATTAGCAAATAGCAGTTAGCAATATATAAAAAGAAGTATACACCATGACCAAATGAGATATATATATATCAAGGATGCAAGGCTTACTCAATATTTGAAAACTGGTCAATATAATCCACCATATTAACATACTTAAGAAAAAGTGCATGGTCTCACAATAGGTACAGTAAAAAAAAAAAAAAAAGACAAAAACTTCAGGCATTTGACAAAATCCAACACCCATTCATGGTAAAAAACAAACAAACAAACAAACAAAAAATGCTTAGATAGAAGGAGAATTCCTCAACTTGATAAGGAGTATCTACAAAGAAAACCTATAGCTGTTATTTTACTTAATCGTAGAAGACTGAATGTTGTCTCCCTTAAGATCAGAAATAAGGCAAACATACCCACTCTCACACTACTGTTACTCAGCATAGTGCCAGTAGGTCTAGCCAGGGCAATAAGGCAAGAAAAGGAAATAAAAGGCATACAGATAGTTAAGAAATAAATAAAACTGTCCCAATTTACAGATGGCATGATTGTCTATGCTGAAAATCCCATAGAATCTACAGAAAAATTCCTACAACTAAGTTGAGCAAAGTCAAGCAATACAAAAATGAACATTCAAAAACCAACTGTATTTCTATATACTAGCAATAAACACATGAACACTGAAATTAAAAATGCAATACCATTTATAATTGCTCAAAAAATTAAAATAATTAGATACATCTAACAAAACCTGTACCAAATTAGGATGTTGAAAACTTTAAAAAAAAAAAAAAAGATGAAAGAAATCACAGGTCTAAATAAATGGAGAAACATACCATGTTAATGGATTAGAAGACTCAAGACAGTAAAGATGTCATTTCTCCCCAAATCAATATACACATTTAACATGATTCCAGTCAAAATTACAGCAAGAATTTTGGTAGATACAGACAAGATTATTCTAAGATATATATGGAAAGGCAAAAAGAGCTAGATAGCAACAATTTTGAAAAAGACAATCAATAAAGAAGGAATCAGTTTATTCAATTCCAAAACTTATTCTATAGCTATAGTAATCAAGACTATATTGTATTTGGCAGAGGGATAGGCACATACATCAGTGGAACCCAGAAACAGACCCACAGAAATATGCTCAACTGATATTTAACAAAGGTGCAAAAACAATTCAATGGAGAGGCTGGACAATGTGGCTCATGCCTGTAATCCCAGTGCTTTGGAAAGCTGAAGCAAGAAGATTGCTTGAAGCCAGGAGTTCAACACCAGATGGGCAACATAGTGAGATCCTTCTCCACAAAAATTTAAAAATTAGCCAGATGTGGTGGCCTATGCCTGTAGTCCTAGCTATTTTGTTAGGGGGGAAGTTGGTGCTGAGGCAGGAGGATTGCTTGAGCCCAAGAGTTCAAGGCTTCAGTGAGCTATGATCATGCTACAAACACTCCAGCCTGGTCGACAGAGCTAGATCTTGTCTCTAAAAACAAACAAAGCAATTCAATAGAAGAATGATAGCCTTTTCATCAAATGATACAGGATCAACTGGACATTCATAGGCAAAAATAAAAACAAAAACAAAAAACTTCAACCTAAGTCTTATATTGTATATAAAAACTAACTCAAAATGGACCATGGCCTAAAATAAAACTATAAAACTTTCAGGAAAAAAAAAATAGGAGAAAATCTTTGCACCAAAGGTATAATCCATAAAGGAAAAATTGACAAATCTAATTAAACAAAATTAAAAACTTTTATTCTGCAAAAGCTCCTCTTAAGATAAAATGACAAGCTCCAGACTGGGAAAAATATTTGCTGACCACATACCTAACAAAGGACTAGTACTTAGAATACATAAAGAACTCTCAAAACTAAATGGTAAAAAAGCAAATGATCCAATTAGACAATGGGCAAAATTTATGAAGGAACATTTCATCAAAGAGGAATGGCTGGCAAATAAGCCCATGAAAAGATGTTCAACATCATTAGCCATTAAGGAAATGCAAATTAAAAGCACAATGAGATATCACAATGCAACTATCAGATTGGCTAAACTAAACAAATAGTGACAGAACAAATGCTGGTGAGAACGTAGAGAAATGTGATCTTTCCTACATTGCTGGTAGGAATGTAAAATGGCACAGCCACTGTGGAAAACAGTCTGGCAATTTCTTAAAAAGTCAAACATGCAAGTACTACAGACCTAGCAATTGCACTCTTGGGAATTTACCCCCAAAATAACGAAAACTTAAATATAATTCCATTTATATAACAGTCTTGAAATGATAAAATTATAGAAACAGAGAAGAGAGTAGTGGTTTCCAAGGATTATGGGTAGGAGGGAAGTGTCTATGGCTATAAAAGGGCAACGGGAGGGATTCTTGTGGCAATGGAAATGTTTTGTAGCTTGACTGTATCAATGTCAATATCCTGGATGTGATATTGTACTCTAGTTTTGCAAGATGTTACTGTTGGGAGAAACTGGGTAAAGTGTACAGAGGACCTCTATGTGAATCTGCATGTGAATATACAATTATCTCAAAATAAGAACTTTATTGTCTTTAAGCTAAAAATGTTTAAAGGACAAATAAAAGCCCAGGAGGGGCTTTAAAAGAAGGGGGAATGGATAGGGAGCAGTGGCTCACAACAGTAATCCCAGCACTTTGGGAGGCTCTGGCGGGTGTATCACCTGAGGTCAGGAGTTCAAGGCCAGCCTGGCCAACATGGTGAAACCCCATCTCTACTAATAAAACAAAAACTGGCCAGGTGTGGTGACGCTTGCCTGTAATCTCAGTTACTCAGGAGGCTGAGGCAGGAGAATCACTTGAACCTGGGAGGCAGAGGTTGCAGTGAGGCGAGATCGTGCCATTGCACTCCAGCCTGGGCAACAAGAAAGAAACTCCATCTCACACACACACACACACACACACACACACACACACGGGGCAGGGGGGTAATGAGCACCAGCATTCTTCCCAGGCTAACTGGCTTGAGGCGTGGAGAGGGTGCAGGGTTGCCAGGTAAAATACAGGACGGCAGGCAAATGCAAATTTCGGACAAGAAATAATGTTTTAGTAGAGTATGTCCCATGCAAATGAATGGAGACATACTTCGACTAAAAATGTATTGGCTGTTTATTTGTAATTCAAACTTACTTAGCCTGTATTTTTAGTGGGTAAATCTGGACACCTAGAGGGGAAGGATGGGACAGGAGGGTTCTGGAGCCCCCAGGGACAGTGGGCTGAAAAAGGCAGGGTGGAAACAGGGAGAAGTAAAAGAGAATGAGCAAAGGGATGCCAGAGGACCAGAAAGGCACGCAGGCTAGGCAGTCCCATGGTGGGGGCAGAGGGCAGTCACAAGCTGGGAGGCCTGAAGTCCCCCAGCTGCTGGTGAAACAACCCTGTGTGGGGCAATCAGGCAGAAACCAGAGGTCTAAAGAGCAGATGCTGGAGTCTCGGTAACAGGGGGCCTGGCAGCCTGACCAAGGGGCTCCTCTAGGCACCAGGAGCATCACCCAGTTAAGCCCAGGCCAACCCCTGGGCCTCTGTCGCCATGACCTGGCTCCACCCAAATGGTCTCGCCTCCCTACAGGGAAAGGACGTGCTGAGCAGTGGGTTCAAGTGTTCAGGTCGGTGGGCAGCCACGTGCTTGACCAAAACAAAAAATGCTTTGATGAGACTTTGCTATCAGCCTGCAAGTCAGTTCCAGGGAGGCCGCTGCATACGTTTCATTTTCACCTTGCTCCCACACACACCCAGGACCCGCCCTTCTCTTCTGTGTGGTACCCATCACTATTGGACACAATCAGGAGCTCTTACTTGTTCTCTTAGTGAACACCTGTCTGCTCCCACCAGACACTATGCTCTGGGACAAAATGGCAAAGACTGTTCTGCTTGCTGCAATATTCATGCTTACTGCCTGGCACACAGTAGGTATTCAAGAAAGAAAAATAACTTGGAACTGGGGGACATTATGTTAAGTGGAATAAGTCAGGCACAGAAAGACAAATGTCCCATGTTCTCACTCATTTGTAGGAGCTAAAATTTAAAACAACTGAACTCATGGAGATAGAGTGCAGAGTGATGGTCAGCAGATGCTAGGAAGGGTAGCAGGGAGGGAGGGGAAGTGGGGATGGTTAGTGGGTACAAAAATATAGTTCGACAGAATCAGTAAGATCTAGTATTTGATAGCACAACAGGGTGACTACAGTCAACAATCATTTATTGTACATTTTAAAATAACTAAAAGAGTATAATTGGATTGTTTGTAGCACAAAGAAAGAATAAATGCTTCAGGTGATAGATACCCCATTTTCCCTGATGTGATTATTATATATTGCATGCCTGTATCGAAAGATCTCATGTACTCCATAAATATATACACCTATTATGTACCCATAAAAATTAAAAATTAAAAAAAGAAAACTGAATGAATGAAGGAATAAATGAAAAATCGGCTTGATTGGAGCTACTCCTTCTGGGTCTGTCCTCCAGGCCCAGCCCCTTGGAGTCTTGACAAGGCAGAGAGAGGGGGCCATTCTTCTTGCAGAAAGCCCTCAGGAGCATCCTCTGAGCTGATAAGCACTGACATCTGGTATATAGGCTTAGCATGGCCGGTTTTTCCTCTCTAAACTGGGACTCTATCATCATCATCATCTAATAACACTAATACAATATTGATAGATAGAATTTATTCAGAACTTAACATGTGCCAGGCAGTGTGCTGGGACCTTTTCATACATTTTAATTTATTTAATCCTCCAAACAGTGCCAACCAGTAGGTGTGGTGAGTTGCACTGTTTGTGCTGCCCCTTCTTGTGGAAATAAAAGCCCTCTTTCTTTTCAATAATACCCTTCCTACTTCCACTGCTGGGGGGCAGACACCCAGGAAGGGCAGGGGTCACCAGCCTGACCAGATAACCAGCTCCACCTCCCTGGCCATAACGATTGGCTCATGGGCAGCTTCAGGACGCTCCTGAGGCCAGTGGAAGAGGCCTTCCACTTTCTCCCCGCTGGGCCCCAAGGATCCAAGGCCAGGTCTGAGGCTCTGAAGCCCACTGGGTGCTCAGGACAGAGGGGACCAAGCTCTGGGGCCACTGGCCACAGGACCCTTGTTGTCTGCTGTTATTCCAGTAAGGCTCAGCCAGAAGCAGGTATGAGGGAAATTGCCCATGCATCAGCTGCTGCCAAGCAGCCAAATGACATCAAAGGATGCTCAACAAAGTCAGTTCAACAATCCAGGCCACCAAGCCCATGTGACATGACAGCAAGAAGAGAAGAACATGCTTATGAGCCGGCTCAAGCAAGATGATGCCAGGGCTCCAGTGCCAGCCCCTCCAGGACCAGCTCCATCAGCATCTCCCTCACTTCCATCCTTCCTCTTCCCCTCCCTGCTGGATCTCTCTCCCGAACCTAGAAACACACTTTGGTCTCTCTCTCTTAAAAATGCAAATACTTCCTGTTACCTTTGGAGCCTTCCAGCTCCCACTTCTCTCCCTCCTCTCCCAGCCTGGAACCCGGAAAGTCCACTGACACTGCTGCCCACCCCCATCTCCTCCTGACCCCTTCCATCTGATGCCACTGACCCTGCTCACACCCAGGACACAATGGCCACTTGTTGCTGAGCCACACAGACCCTCTTCAGCCTCCCTCCCAGTGCACTTTTCACACTGCACCCAATTGATATTCCTGGAAACACTGCTCCTTCAGCACCAACCACCCTACACTCCTCACTCTCCAGGCTCCTCCCAGATGTTCTCACCATCTATGCTGATGCCGCTGGATCCTCTTCCCCAGACAGGGCCCTGCTGGCCCTCAGATCTCCATGGGTATCTTGTGCAAGGCCACATTATCACAAACACTCAAGCCCACCAAACGTGATGAGCCTTCAGGTGCAGGGGTTAAGGGCGCAGGCCCCGAGTCACACTGGCTGAGTTCAGGTCCCTACCCTGAAACTAGCAACATTGGACATGACACCTCAACTCCCCATGGATAAAAGGAAGTAATGACAGCACGTCTCACAGGGTGTTGTGAGGGTGAAGTGTGATAACACCTGCAGATATGGAAAGAAGGGCCTGGTGCTGAGTAAGCTTCATTAGATGGTACTGACTGATACGGTTTAGCTCTGTGTCCCCACCCAAATTTCATCTCGAATTGTAATCCCCATGTGTGGAGGGAGAGACCTGTAATCCCCACGTGTCGAGAGAGGAAGGTGATTGGATCATGGAGGTGGTTTCCCCAATGCTGTTCTCATGAATGAGTTCTCACAAGATCTGATGGTTTCATAAGGTGCTCTTCCCCCTTTGCTTTCTTCTCTCTCTCTCCTGCCGCCATGTAAGACGTGCTTGCTTCCCCTTCCACTATGATTGTAAGTTTCCTGAGGCCTCCCCAGCCCTGCAGAACTGTGAGTCAATTAAACCTTTTTCTTTTATAAATCACCCAGTCTTGGGTAGATCCTTACAACAGTGTGAGAATGGACTGCTACATGAACCACTGCTAGCATCATTGTCTTCTCTGCCAGTCCCTAAGAGCTCTTCCTCTGGCATGGTATCATCTGCCACCTGTCACCCAAAACCTGGTCACCTGAGACCTTTGAGTCTTCCTAACTTCTCCCCCTCCCATGTCCACTCAATAAGCAAATCCTGCTGGTTATGTCTCTTAAATGTTTCTCCAGCCCATATCCTCCTATCCAACATCCTCACCTTCTCTCACCTACTCTACCTCATCCCCTTTGCTGTGATCCACCCACCTCCTGCCTCAAAGTTTGTTCTGTTGCAGTACTGAATTGTGTACAGTGTCCCTACATACTACATGGACCTCTTTTCTCTATAATTGGCTTGTACTAGTTTCTTTGCCTGGAATTCCCCTCCCACCTTACTTCTTATACTCTGAGACCCTGATTAGGTGTAACCTCTTCCAGGAAGTTTTCCTGGAATACCCAGATTGGGCAACATGCCTGTCCTCTGAGCTCCCTTATCTTAGACTTGTGACGTTACATTGACCTTGCAGGTTATCATCTCCTGAGCTGGGTTAGCGGCCCCTCACAGAGCCCACCGAGGATTTTAATAGTGTTTACTGAACATGAAGGTATGAGGTTACTACTAGAAGAAACCTCAATGACAGAGGCCTTCCCCCAAAACAAACAAACAAACACATACGCATACAAAAGGAACTCAAGAAAATGAGAAATTTTCCACTATTTTAAAATTCAGAACTGATGGATTCTCCATAGACCTAAACAGCTTCCTCGAATGAACCAACGGGATTCAAAGTCAGGGAAACCAAGTCCTTTGGGCTGGTTCTCTCAGCCAGGAAGACTGTTGAGGGGGAAGTGACTATGCCCTAGTTTGGGGGTTTGGCAACGAAAAAAAAAAGAATAAAAAAGAATTGGATTATAGTCTTGCTGTACAGGCTTGTTATTCTGACAGAACAGTTCCAGAACCTGAAACATGATCTCTGGAGGGAGAGGGAGACATTTTTATCACATATTAAGGTTAGACAGATGTTTTGGGTCTGGTGTTACCTGAATCAAAAGCACCATTGAAGAGCCTGACACAGCCCGGTTCAGCAACACGTGATCCTGGCAGAAAGGAGACAGGAACCCCTTTTTCTTTTCATGTTCATGAGATTTTCCTCTGTGGTTCTATTTGGGTTTTTTGTATCTCCCTGGAGCTGGGGCGAGACACTGACTTCCACTCCAGACTGTCCTCCTTGGACCAGAGACTCCTTCCCCTCCAAAATGCTGCAGGCTGGGCCTTCAGCACGGGGCCAGGGTCCAAATGGCAGCTTGAACAGTGGGCCCTGGCTCTGCAAGGTGGTTTGAAAGTATCTCCAGGGATGTGCTTCATAAAGACTTGTAAGGTAGAAAAACCCTCTCTCTGTCTGTCTCCCTCTTTCCCTCTCTCTCTTCTACACACACACACACACACACACACACACACCACACACACACAACACACACATACACACACATACACATACACACACAGACACACACATACACATACACACACAGACACATACACACACAGACACAAAACACATGCCTCCCTCCAGGTTGGCCAGGGCCAGTCCTGCCACAGTGACAGGGGAGGGCTGGGGACAAGAGGACACACAAGGACAGAAGCTGGCACTGGGGACACTTTAAGAGCCTGGGCAGGAGGCAGGAGGGGTTGATTTTCCAAACACCCACTTCCTCCCCCATGTATTTGCCCCTGACAGCAGAGCCCAGCCCTTGAAGGCACCCAGGGAAAGGGCCGGCGTGAGCATGAAAAGCAGGCCTCCGGAATGACTAATGCCCCACCGGGACAGGCCTGGCTCTGGCCTGGCTGCCCGCCAGAGAGTCCACAGCCACTTTCCAAGGACAGCAAGGGCAAGCGTTCCTGACAAGATTCCCTGAGGACCATCCCTTCCCAGCCCTGACCCTCCCCGGGGCTCCCCCAAGGGGCCCGTGAGGCCCTGCGTGAGGACGTCCAGGGGCCCAGAGGCTGAGTCACTCCCTTGGGGCCAACCTGGGTCATGGCAAGTTTGTTATCTCAAGGACAAGTTCTCAGACCCCTTATCCAGCCATCCCCACCCAAAACAAACTAAAAGTAAGGCCTCTCCAGCAAATCGGCTTCCTGGGGGTCTCCAGACTCAGGCCCTGCCCCCCAGGGTGAGGTGCCATGTGCCCCAGGAGGGCAGTGTACATACATTATACATATATGTTCAACACATGTGGGCAGACCCACTGCTCCTCCCTTCCCAGCCGTGGGGGACCAGCTTCCTCTGGGCCAAGCCCCCCATAAGCCTCCCTCTCTCTCCTTCAGCAGCCCCCCCGGGGAGCCCAAGGCAGGGGCCTCCTGCAGAGCAATTTCCTGGGGCGGCAGAGGTGGGAGTCATCCTCCCAGAGTCCTCGGAGGGGGTGAAGGGGAGGTGGGGAAAGGGCGACTGGGCAGAGCTGGGTCAACCCGGCAGGAGGCCACAGCACAGAGCTCTGGGCTGCTCCAAGTTTTTCATGTGCCTTCTGGGGGAGGAAGTGTCAAAGCCATTTCAAAAGCTGGGGGAGTCCCAGGGAAGGGGCCTCATTCTCCATGCGGAGGGGGGATTTCAAAGGAGACCCTGCTATTGAAAGGTTTCCAAAGACCCTCGCCTTTCTATCAGATCCAAATCACTCCCCTCCAAGCAGCAGCCAGGAGAGGGGTGCTGGGAAAATGTTTCCAAGGAGACATGTCCCTGAGTCATCATAACTCCCAGGGTCTCCGGGCTGCAGAGCCATGCAGAGGCCCCCGCTATAAAAAGGCCGGTTTACCGCCCCGCAGGGGAGCTCTCCAGCAGTCCGGGTCCCAGGGGAGGCCTGCCTCAGACCCCCAAGTGCCCTGAGTTTATGAGAAGGCTGCAGAGCTGAACAGGGCCACTTCTACCCACCAAGTCCCCCTGGTGCCACTAAGGGGGACTTTTACCCCCGTCAGCGGCAGGGCAGCCACTCTGGGCTCAGACCATTTAGCAGGAGAAGCCATCCACTGGGACACTGGGCCCCAAAAGATTTACTGGGATTGCAGAGCCAGCCCCAAACCAGGCCTGCAGTGTCTGCCTCTCACCATTTCCCCAGCAGCCTTCCCAAGCCACCAGGGCCAGCCAGAATCACAGCACAAGCCACATCTAAGTTCCATCAACTCCTCTTCTCCCCCTGCCCTGTTCACTCACCCCAGGACCACACCAGGTGGGTCTTCGTTCTCTTCCCAACTGGTTCCTTCTCAACACCGCAGCCAGATTCTTCTTCCTAAGGCTCAGGCCAGGATATACCCTGCTCTGAAACCTTCAATGGCTCCCTAGCGCTTAAGTCCAAGGTTTAAACTCAGGTACCCACAGGGACCAGGCTGGAGACTTAACTGAGCAAGACCATGATGCCTGGGAATGCATGCCTTGCCTACATACAGGAAACTGCTGCTGCTGCTAAGTCACGCCAGGTGGGAATGATGATTGCGGGAATGTGAAGCCCTTGCTGCCACCTCTTGTGGTTTTTCAAGAGAAGCCTAGTAAACCATAGCCAAGGGGCCCCCAAAGTTGGACCCTGGCCTACGGGGTGAAGGACAAACCCTAACCCCTCCACTTGGTATCGGAGGTGCTCCATGGCTCACCCCAACCCCCTCCCCATTCTCACTCCCCACAATGCCTCAGTCTTGGCCAAGCCAAGCACCTACAGCCCCCCAGACTCACCTGCTCTGCTCACCCCCCATCCTGCTATAGGCAGTGGCTCATCACCCTCGCAGCCTGGCAGAAACCCATTGTTCCAGAGCCTCCTCCTGATGTTCAGCCATCTCTCCGAAGGCAACGTCCCCCCTCTTCATCCTTCAATGCCCAGGGGGCCCTGTTCTGGGAGCACCCACATCACTGCACTGCAGTTACCTGCATGCCCATCAGCCTTCCCCTGGAGAGGGAACCCTGAGGTCTCTCCCACCACAGGCCCTGGCAGGGGCTCCAAACACAATGGAGGGACCCTAGCTGTGGTTCAGACTCTGCCTCCATTACTCAGGCTGGAAGGACTTGGGTAACTCACGTAACCTCTCTAAGCCCCGGGTTCCTCATCTGTCAGATGGGGAACTAGTGCCCATGTAAAGTGCCTGGCACATAGAAAGGCTGAGTCAGTAGCAGCTGTTAGCATCCTTATTCAATGTGACCTCTTTGCTGCATGCTATGTGCAGTGTCTTCTATGGGATGATCTCTGAAGCAGAGACCATGTCCCCTGTACTCCCGTCACCCACAGAGACCGCTGCAACTCTCAACATGCCATAGGTGCTCAGTCAAGGTCCTCTGGTAGACTGGGTTGATGAGGCTCGGGGAGGGCAGGCAGGTAGGGAGTGCAGGTTAGAGCGAGAGGGACTGCCCAGCCACCGGAGGTCTGGCTCACCCGGGGTTCCATGCCGCAGTGAACTGGAATCTGCACTCGGGGACCAACCAACCACTCCCTGCTGCCTGCTCTCCAGGCCTCCAACTCCCACGTTCCTGGGCTCCAGGTCAGCTGACAGCGCTGCAGGGCAGGAATGGGCAAGGGGACCTGTCCAGCCCCCCAGCCAAGGCGCCTTCCCTCAGAAGCCCGGCCCACAGCTCATACACAGGCCCAAATGCCCCTCACACCCTCCTTTTGTGTTTCCCACAACTCTAGTTAAGAGCAACCCCCTTGCCTTGCACTTGAGGACACATAGCTTCCAGGCTCTGCACTAAAGGCAAGGTAGAAGAGAGGAGGGAGGGGGCAGAAACACCTCAGAAATCACTGCAGTCCAATTAGCCAGGCTTGCGCCCTTCATGCTTACAAACAGGAACGCGCATTAACATCTGCTACAAAAGCAAACATTTTTAGATATCTTCATCTTCACCTCCCTGACACTCCGTGAAAGGACTCTCAGCAGCCAGTGACTGACAGGGGAGTGCCCCTTCTTATCCTTCAGCAGGGGGCTTTCAGACGGAGAAATTAAGAAGCCACCAATCTCCCTGTCAGGCCAAGCTCCCACAGCCCCCACCTGCTCTTCCTGGGCCCCTCCTCCCCACTCTCCGCCAGGTGAGCCCCACCACACACACGATTGGGAGTCAGTGGCTGCAGGAGACTGGCTCCAAGGCACTGGGGGTAGAGGCTGTCAGATAGGTTGGGGGTCAGGGGGACTGGCCAATGCTGTGGCTAGGTAGGGACCAGGGGACCCATACCTGCCCTGAGAGCACCTTCACTAAAGAAGGGCCTTTGCAATGCAAACCTTAAACAAAACCTTGATGGCTGTACAAATTTGGAGCAAACTCCAACTCTCATACACCACTGGTGGGGGCGTTAAGTCCATACAACCACTTCAGAAATGTATTTGTCAGCATTTACTAAAGGTGAACATCATTTAACCTGTGACTCAGCAAGTCCATCCAAATCCTATATTCCCATTTTATATACATATTTACACATATAAAGAATATAGTATATAACAGTATATAATGTATTATATATAAACGCAAAATATAATATCTATATATTCCTATAATCACAATAAAATCACATACATATGTTCATCAGTAGATATGTACATGGGGCCAGGTATGGTGACTCATGCCTGTAATCCCAGAAATTCGGGAGGCTGAGATGGGCAGATCACTTGAGGTCAGGAGTTTGAGACCAGCCTGGCCAACATAGTGAAACCCTGTCTCTACTAAAAGTACAAAAAAATTAGCCAGGGGAGATGCTGCATGCCTGTAGTACCAGCTGCCTGGGAGGCTGAGGCAGGAGAATCACTTGAACCTGCGAGGCGGAGGTTGCAGTGGGCAGAGATCGTGCCACTGCACTCCAGCCTGGGTGACAGAGTGAGACTCTGTCTCAAAAAAAACCAAACCAAACCAAAACAAAAGAAGACATGTCCATGAATATGCCAGCACTATTTCAGAATGGGCCCATCAAGAATCAAACAGATAAAGAGTGGTTGGCATGCTCCTGTGACAGATTATTATACACCAATGAGAGGCATGATCTCTAACTAGAGGCAATAATGTGAAAAGTGAAAGATGTCAGGTGCAAACGAGTAGAAACTGTGATTCCATTTCCATAAACTAGAAATCAGGCAAAACCAACCTATATTATTAGACATCAGCATCGTGATGACCTGTTGGTGGTAAGGGAGGGCCTGAAGGAGCCCAAGAGGGAAGCTTCTGAAATGCTGGAAATAGTCTGTTTCTTGATCTGTGTGTGGGTTACACAAGTGTGTTTAGTTCATGAAAATTCATTAAGCTTCTCACTTATGAGAAGTTTTCTAAATGTACGCAGTAAAGGGTTTTGTAAACCAGTACTCCGATGGCATAGCTGTTAAGACAACAATGAAAAGATGCTAGAAGAAGAAAAACAGAGATGAAGTAAAGAAGTAGTTCAGGCCAGGCGTGGTGGCTCACGCCTATAATCCCAGCACTTTGGGAGGCCAAGGCGGGTGGATCACGAGGTCAGGAGTTCAAGACCAGCCTGACCAAGATGGTGAAAAATTAGCCAGGCGCAGTGGCAGGTGCCTGTAATCCCAGCTACTTGGGAGGCTGAGGCAGGAAAATCGCTTGAACCCGGGTGGCAGAGGTTGCAGTGAGCAAAGATTGCACCACTGCACTCCAGCCTGGGTGACAGAGTGAGGCTCTGTCTAAAATAAAAAATTAACAAAAAGATGAAGTTCAACCCATGGCTGCAACTTCACTGCTCAGACTAGAGTCTTGGAGAAAGTGATCACATGTCCAACAAAGACCCAGGGTACCAGGCTTCTTGAAGCTCTCCCAGGCCCCAGCCCATCCCAGGCCAGCCCCTTCCCTTAGAACCTCCATGCCTATCAGAACATCAGAACATCCAGCTGTGCCCTCTCCTACAATGAGGGCACCCCTAGCTGCCAAGGAGACCACATCCACCCATCCAAGGTAGAGGGGACTTCACAGCTTCCCAGGTCTCTTGTGCCAAGTGTGTGAACTCCATAGAACTTTGCAAGCTGCCCTTCTAGAGAGGCTGAATTTTCCAAAGTCCAAAACCACTTGAAGAGGAATGGGAAAAGTACTGAAATAACTTTGTAAGCGTTCTGTTTTGACAATGTGCCTGAGGAATTCACCATGTTGAGTAGGGAAATGTGAGCAGTTAAATCTATTCAATGTCATGACACACAAAATTGAAGCATAATTGCTCCTGAGTGCTTGACAATTGGAAAGCACTTTGTTTCAGAAACGGAGGGAAATTTATGCTGGAAAATGGAAGAGATTGTCAAAAGTTTGATTATAATGTGAGTGGAGCTGCGACAAGAAGGCTCAGATGGAGAAAGGGCCCCCATTCTGACATTTTCACTCCCATGTGCAATGTCTCAGAAACAGCAGCAGTGACTCTGTCCTTTGGCCTAAAAGCCAGTAAAATGATGATTGGAACCGCAAATTTAAAACCCCAAAGAGTAGCTCCAGCATGGCTGGGAGGAAATGCTCTCTTACCAATCATGTGGTTGGCAACGTGGATTTGGATCTCTCTCTCGTTCTCGAAGGTCATCTGGCACTTGATGCACTGGTATGTCTTTTTCTGTTTGGA
Organism: Homo sapiens; assembly: GCF_000001405.40. Lineage (NCBI taxonomy): Eukaryota > Metazoa > Chordata > Mammalia > Primates > Hominidae > Homo > Homo sapiens. Next base: position 49,626,264 of record NC_000016.10, read on the forward strand.
AACCAAAAATAAAAGATTTAGAGAGGCAGGAGGTAGGAAAAAGGAGAAAGCAAAAGTTCCTAGGGGGCCTGGGTCAAGACTTTCCAGAATGGTTCCAGTCCCCTCCTAGGTCTCCCCAGGCCATTCTCTTCCCACCTTCCTCTAAATCCAGCTCTACCAGACTGAGGAAGGGGCATGAAGCTACATTCCAAGGGAGCTGCTTCTCTGCTAGATCTGGGAAAACTGCCATCTCAAGGTGAAGCTTTAAGGGAGCTGAGGGGAGGCCTCCTTGCTTAGAAGGGCAAATCCATCTACCCATGCCCCCATCCATCCAAACATCCACCCATCCATCCTCCATCTACCCATCCACCCATCTACATACACAATCACCCATCTACCCATTCATCCATTTACATACACACCCATCCATCCACTCATTCATCTATCCATCTACCATCCATCCTCCATCTACCCATCCATCCATATACCCATCCATCCACCTACATACACACCCACCAATAGACCCATCCATCCATCCTCCATCTACCCATCCATCCATATACCCATCCATCCATCTACATATACACCCACCAATAGACCCATCCATCCATCCTCCATCTACCCATCCATCCATCTACATAATACCCACCCATCCTCCATCTACCCATCCATTCATCTACATACACACCCACCAATAGACCCATCCATCCATCCTCCATCTACCCATCCATCCATATACCCATCCATCCTCCATCTACCCATCCATCCATATACCCATCCATCCATCTACATATACACCCACCAATAGACCCATCCATCCATCCTCCATCTACCCATCCATCCATCTACATAATACCCACCCATCCTCCATCTACCCATCCATTCATCTACATACACACCCACCTATCCACCCATCCATCCATCCTCCATCTACCCATCAATCCATTTTCCATCTACCCATCCATCCATCTACTCCACCCATCCATCCATCCTCCATCTACCCATCCATCCATCTACATACATACCCACCCATCCATCCTCCATCTACCCATCCATCCATCTACATACATACCCACCCATCCATCCTCCATCTACCCATCCATCCATCTACATACATACCCACCCATCCATCCATCCTCCATCTACCTATCCATCCATATACTCCACCCATCCATCCATCCTCCATCTACCCATCCATCCATCTACATATATACCCACCCATCCATCCTCCATCTACCCATTCATCTGTCTATATACATACCCACCCATCCACCCATCAATCCATCCTCCATCTACCCATCCATCCATCTATTCCACCCATCCATCCATCCTCCATCTACCCATCCATTTATCTATACTCACTCACCCATCCACCCATACTCCATCTACCCGTCCGTCTCCCCACCCATACATCTACACACACACATACCCATATACCCATTCATCCATCCTCCATCTACCCATCCATCCATCCATCCATCCATCTTCTATCTACCCGCCCATCCATCTACATAAACACCCACCCACCCATCCACCCATCTACATACATTCCCACCCATCTACCCAGTCATCCATTTACATACACACCCATCCATCCACCCATTCATCCATCCATCCAACCATCCATCCTCCATCTACCCATCCATCCATATATCCATCCACCCATCTACATACACACCCACCAATAGACCCATCCATCCATCCTCCATCTACCCATCCATCCATCTACTCCACCCATCCATCCATCCTCCATCTACCTATCCATCCATCTACATACATACCCACCCATCCATCTTCCATCTACCCATCCATTCATCTATATACATACCCACCCATCCACCTATCCATCCACCCTCCATCTACCCATCCATCCATCTACTCCAACCATCCATCCATCGTCCATCTACCCATCCATCCATCTACATACATACCCACCCATCCACCCATCCATCCATCCTTCATCTACCCACCCATTTATCTACATACTCACACACCCATCCACCCATACTCCATCTACCCATCCATCTCCCTATCCACACATCTACACACACACATACCCATCTACCCATTCATCCATCTTCCATCTACCCACGCATCCATCCTCTATCTACCCACCCATCCATCTACATACACATCCACCCATCTACCCATTCATCCACACACACATCCACCCATCCACGCATACACCCACCCATCCATCCATCTATTCACCCATCAGTCTATCCATCCATCCACCTACCTATTGTCTGTCTACCCATTCGTCCATCTACACACATATCCATCCATCCATCTATCCATCCATCCATCCATCCATCCATCCATCTATCTATCTATTTTTCTACCTATCCAATAACCTTCTCATCCATTTACTTACCCTAATAACCATGTGGCTGAGCAGGGGACACTGTTCCTGCCAACTCTGGTGTTCAAGGGTGGCTAAGGAACTCCTCATCTGCCCTAAGCACAAATGACCCCAAGAGTTCCTACAGCTGGTTTCCACACACAGGGGCTAGTACCAGCTGCCTGTGGGAGCTGAGGGCAGAAAAACTGAGATGAGAAGCTTCAAAGCTTCTTGAAGAGTTGTTCCAAAGAGTGAACCTCACTCACACAACTAATCCCAGATGGTTCTGAAACACCCCAGGGACAGAGGTGGTGTTGCCCATCTGAGGGAAGGACTGTGGCTGTGGGGTTTTTTGAAGAAAGAGGGGTGGTATTGGAATCACAATATCCAAGTTTTTTGAAGACCACTTTGGTTCCTGGGATGAGAGGGCTTCTCTTACTTCTGGAAAAGGGAGCAGGACTTCACACTTCTTGGCCAAGGTCCCAGGCCCAACCCTCAACTATGCAGCCAGATGAACCACCAGGTAGCTTAACCATCTCAGCTCCTACTTCCCTCTTTATCATTCTGAAATGTTATGATGAGCTCTTGCATGGTGCACACTTTTCTTTCCTTTTACTTTTAACCTACCTGTGTCTTTATATTTATAGTCCAGGCCCTGTAGATAGCTTTCAATTGAGTCTTGCTTTTTTCTTTGCATCTAATCTGACAATCTCTACCTTTTGATTGAAATTTCAACTCCATTTATACTTAGTGTAATTGTCAATATGGTTGATTTTAAATCCTACCATCTTTTGAATTAATTTCTATTTTATCCTACCTGTTCTCTGTTCCTATTTCCCTCTTTCCACCCACACCCACAGTTCCCTAAGTAACTACAGGCCTTTGCCTGTGCTGGTTCCTCTATGTGCAACACCCCCTCCATCCTTGACTCAATTCAAATGTCATCTCTTCTGAGAAGACTTCTCTTTTCACCCCAGAATGGGTCCAGGACCCCCTCCACATCCCTGAACTTATGCTAAAGGACCCTGGGTAATTAATACATTGTTGTGTCAGGGTGGATTGGTTCATCTGCTCCCCTCTTGCACCATGAGCACCCAGAGAGCCAGGAATGTGTTTTGTCTACCTTTGAGGCAGCACATGAAGTGCTTAACAAGCATTTGCTGAACACATAAAGTTGCAGAATAACATATGCAGAGGAGTCTATTCAGGCAGAGGTGACAAAGAGAACCAAAGATGACTTCAGTGTCCTGGACCCACACCACCCTAGCGCAGGCCTTACCTAGAGTCAGTGCATAATAATTATTTAACTTTTATTACGATTATTATTGGCGCTAAGAAAATGCTGCTTGAACAAATGAATGAATGAAGAAACAACTGGAGAAGCTGAAGCTGGATGCGTCAGGCTCCAGGACCTGCTCTGACAAAACCAGGGGCCTTTCCCACAGTGTTTCAGAAGACCTGGGGGATTCGCTGTGTCCTGAGTACAGGCCACAGCCTGGGGCCCAGACACAGGCACTCTGCATGGAAAGGCCCTGGGAAGAGCTAGGTAAGTCGGGGGCAGGGTGGAGAGAAAGACAGGGCTGGGGAGTCCAGCCTTGCCACAGACAAAGGAAGACGTCTAGGCCACAAGGAGACTACAGGGCCTGAGGTCTTCTCAGGAGATGCAGCCCAGAGTACACATCTCAGGTCAACTCCAGGGCCATGGTCGTGGAGATGAACCACCTCGGGTGTCTCCAGCATCAAAACCATCCCTTCTGTCTCACATGTGCCCCCACCTACTCTGCTTGGCAAAGTGCAAGAGCCTTTGGTGGTTGAATGAATGAACGAATGAATGGAATGAGTGAATTAATGAATGAAGCACATCCCAGGAAGGGAAGCTTCATCACAAGGAAGCCCATGGGAGGCCTGCTGGATGAGGACCGCCCAGGCCTATAGGTGGGTGGGTGGGAGGATGGGGTTGGTACCAACCAGCAGCAATGGCTGCGGGCAGATGACCACGTCCCCCCTCCAAGGATGGCGATTTGCTTGGGTGCAAGTCTCTAGAGGCTGCAGCCATGGCTGGTCCAGAGGCATGCAGGGAACAGTCCATGATCACAGTGACTTGGTTGATCTTCTCAGGGGCAGGTGAATAAAGGGAGCTCACTGTGCTTGGAAAATACATCCCCAGGGGCTTGGGCAGGAAAACAGGCTGCCCTCAAATGCCTCTCTGCCACCCCTTGGTAATAGGAAGAACACTGCCCAATAACTGAGCCCCTCCTGGTGGGGCACTGGGCTTCATAGGGTTCAGAGGGTTCCCAAGGGAAGGGCCGGGAGAAGGGCTGACCCCTCACATACACACAAGACACACACACAGATGTGCAAGCACACGTATGCATTCACATGCTCACTTTCACCCCAACTCACCAGCAACACACAAGACCTTCACAGACACACCCGCAACCCCTACACACAGCAACCTGTAACACAGATACATATGTGCAACCCCCAGAGAAGCAGGGCCATCCACATGGGTGAACAAGGCCACACAGATGGGCATGTTCACACTCATCCAGAGACCCTGCCTTCAGCTCACTCACCACAACCCCAGTACACACACCGGTACTCCCAAATACGCCCACAGACATGCATGCAGCTTCTGACACAAGTATACACACAGACCCATCCCCACACGTACCACACACCCTCATGTACACACATGTAGACTCATAAGTGCTCACATGTGCACTCACACATAGGCACATACACACACAGGCTCACCAGCCCCCAAACCCTCCAAGCATGGCTGGACTCCAGTCCTCACCCCAACATCTATTCCTAGTCTATCCCCACTCTCAACCCCCCTGGAGACCCCCTCCTCCTGCAGCTTCAGCCCCCACTAGGAGATATAATTACAGAAAGACAGAACTTGGCACTCAAAGCACCTCCCCTGCCATAAGCCCCTTCCCTGGGGCCCAGCCCAGGAGAACTAGAGCTGAGTTCCAGGGCCTGTGGCCAGGGCTGCCTCCCCCAACACAGCCCTGAGCAACTGCAGAGGGGGGCCCCGGGCAGGAAGAAAACACACTTGAGAATGGCAAAGACAGGAGAGGGAGGGCAGGGAAGAAATGGCCAGGCCCTTCAAGACAGGAAGGAGAGAAGGAAAAGCCAGCCAGAGCTGTTATATTTCCATGATCGTGAGCACTGCCAATGTTCACTGAGCACTTGCCATGTGTGGGCAGCATTTATGCTAAATACTCACAAACCCTCTGCAAGCTCCACCCTAGGGATGGGGTAAGTGGAGTTTCAAGAGGCTGCATCACTTGGTCAGAGCCTCTTGCTGGTGAGTAGGAGAACTGGAATTCGATGCCCACTGTCTGAGCTGCCATTCTCAGCTCCATGTCCCAGATCTCCTGCCAGGCCTGGTCTAGGTGACAGAAAGCTAGTGGGATCTGGATAGGCCCTCTAACCTTGATATCTGTTTACTTGGCTGTAAAATGGGTATGAGAACACCTGGCCTGTCCCACCTAGCAGAGAAAGGCACCGTGGGGATCTGCAGGATCAATGGATGGCCAGGGTCTGCCCGTGCTGGTCTCGAGTTGGGGTGATGTTGTCATTACCCATAAACAGAGGGGGAGGTGGAACTTCAATGCTTCATGCTCCAGCCGACAGCAGCCTCAGCCCCACAGGAACCCAGTCCTCTGAGAGCTGGTTGCTATGGATACACTCCCGAGGGTCCCAGCCTGCCAGCCCCCAAGCCCCTGTGAAACCCCCAGAGTCTGTTCTTACATGAGTGGGTCCTCAGGGAGGGAAGGGGTGGGCTAACTGACATCTGGGCCCCTGTCCCCAGGTGTGCCCACACAGGGGGCAAGGCCCCAGAGAATGCCGCCTTGCCTGGGGAGGTACCTGGGCTTTGTTTCTGCAATGGCCCATCTCCCCAGGCCTCCAGGCAGGCAGAGCCATGATTTTCAGCTCATCCCTGCTCACACAAGGCCCAAAGGCAGGGAGAGGAAGGCCTGGGGGCCCCCAGGAAACACGGTCCCCTTGAGTTTCAGTCCCTGCACAGCCGCGCACAGCTGTGCATCCTTGGGTATATGGCATCACCTTTCTGAGCTGGAGCCCCTCTTTACCAAAACACAGGCCACAGCAAGGTTCCTGGATTGTTGCTACAGAGATGACCTAAAAGTTGGTGCCCAGCAGAGCACCACTCACATAGTAGGGGCTTTCACAAAGTGGTGCTTGATGCCGGATGCAGAGCACTCCAGGGAGGCTCACACAGCCCAAGGCTTTGGAGGCTCTAGAAACAGCTCCCTGGCCATCAGAAAACCCAGCACCATGGTGGGCAGTGCCAGAAAGGGAGGGGTGATCTGGGTTGAGGGGCACCCAGGAGAAGCGGGCACAGTGACCCAGCCCAGCTGCACTGCCCCACAGCCTGAGCACAGCTGTGACCACCCGGGACCCCACCCCAGCTGGCCTTTCCCTTCCTGCAGCCAGGATGTGGTCCAGAGCTGCTGGGTGGACTGTTGGTCAAGATCAGGGGCTGTGGTGCAGATGCTGCCTGCCTGGGTTCAAGTCTCCTCTCAGCTCTCGAAAGCTGGGGGCTTGAGGCAAGCAACCTCATTGTGGTATGCCTCAGTTTCCTCATTTACAACATGAAATATTGTAAGGATTAAATAGAAAGTGCTTGGCAAGTCCTTACTCCTCAATGAGTGTGGATTGCCATTGTAAAAGGGAAAAATATCAGCGACATTTACTATGTGCTTGGCACTTAATTTACACATTTAATCCTCAGAGCAAAACGCTAAGGTCAGCATGAGAAATAGTCACAATGGTTCACAAATGATGGGGAACAGGCAGTGACCAATCAGAGCAGATAATGGTTAAAAAACCAGAGAGGCCCCCCAGTTTCTCCCTAGATGCAGAGATGTCAGCCCAGGAGAGACTCTATTACTATTCCATTACTATCACTATTCATTACCACTGCCACTACCTCTGGCTTCGTAGTGGAACACAGAGGCCCAGAGAGGTCAAATTACCGCTGGGTCCTGGGAGAAGGAGATTTTAACCCAGGCCACCTGACTCCAAGGCCAAAACATTCCCTGAGAGCACCTATGCCCCCCTAGAAAGGCTGAGGGGGACAGAGCGGGGCAGCAGAAACCAGTGCCCATGCTCAGCCCCTGGAGGGGGTCCTCCTGGGGCCCTGTTTAGAACCCTGGCTCAGACAAAGGGTCCTGAGAGGGTGGGGTACTGCTATAGCCCCTAAAAGGAGCTCTCCACTCCAGACAGGACTTTGAGGAGAGACTCCAGGCCCCAGCCAGACATGCAGCTCTGTTTCTTTTTCTTCCTTTCTTTCTTTCTTTTTTTTTTTGAGATGGAGTCTTCCTCTGTCACCCAGGCTAGAATGCAGTGGTGTGATCTTGGCTCACTGCAACCTCTGCCTCGTGGGTTCAAGCAATTCTCCTGCCTCAGCCTCGTGAGTATCTGGGACTACAGGTGTATGCCACTATGCCCACCTAAATTTTTGTATTTTTAGTAGAGACGGGGTTTCACCGTGTTGGCCAGGATGGTCTCAATCTCCTGACCTCGTCATCCACCTGCCTCAGCCTCCCAAAGTGCTGGGATTACAGGCGTGAGCCACCACACCTGGCTTTTTTTTTTTTTTTTTTTTAAGGAACAGGGTCCCACTCTGCCACCCAGGCTGGAATGCAATGGTGTGATCATAGCTAACTGCAGCCTTGATCTTCCAAACTCAAAAAGTGCTGGGACTATAGGTGTCAGCCACAGCACCCGGCCTCGCTATTTTCATTCAAGTTGTCCTCTCTTCAGGAAGATATCCACGGACGGGTCCCCTGGCCCTCTTGGCTCCCGTGGGCCTGTGTGTAACACCAGAAGTCAAGGTCAGCAGGCACTGAGGCCCCTTCCGCTGTGGGGTCCTCCCTTTACTCTCTCTGGCCCTCTTCTCTCCCCCTCTGCCCTCCTCACCCCCTCAAAATCACAGGGTCCCAGGAAAAACACCCTCAGCAAACACCCCTGTGTCCCAGCCGGTGCCTATGGCAGATGGCCCTTCCCCAAATCCTGCCTCCCTGCCAATGGTGCCAGCAGCGGTCCTTGAGGGAAATATACTCCTGAGATCCGCCTGGCACCTCCTTGGTCTGGAAACAGACAACACAGACTCAATGGGAACCCCACACCTGTGCTGTCTGACACCCAAGGGCCACACAGACTCCAGGCCCACCATTGGTTGCCCCTCAGCCCCTGTACCCAAGGCCTGTGTGGGCCCATCCATAGCCTAGACTTCTCCCCAGCTCATTGAAAGCCACTTATCATGGGCCTGTGGCTCCCTCTGGTCCACAAGTCCCAAGTCAGGGTCCATTTCTGGTTCTCCTTGGCTCCCAGGCACCTCCAAACATAATGGGTGCTTTGATGAACAGGGAAAATTTGATGAACGAATCAATCAGTCATTAACAATAACAGCAATTGAAACCACATCAAAGGGCCTTCCACATACCAGCAACTGCACTAACTGAAATGATGCCACTGGTGATAAGAGTACCAGCTGGTGATGACAGCCAGCACCACTGAGCCATGAGTGCTGGGCTCTCGGCCCCTTGTGTGTGTGTGATCTCTATGAACTGTCAAAAGAATCCTGGATCTAAGGCCCAGAGAAGTCAGTGACTTGCCTAAGGAGACCCAATAAGCAAATGAGTATGTCATACCCCAGCTCAACAACAAAGACACAAGCCACCACCCATGGTGCCCTCACTGTGCATCAGCCACTGTGCCAGGCACATTACCTGTATGATGTCCTCGGCCTCTTACAACAATTCTCTGAGGTTGGGACAATTATTATTCCCATTTTATACATTAGCATTTGACAAATGAGACCCAGAGAGATAAATAACATGAGCCCATCACATGGCTGGAAAGGCAATGGCAGTGCTGAGGTTCAAACTCAAGGAGTCTACAGCACAGCAGTTCTGTTTTGCCACTGCGCGATAGCGCCGCTTCTTGGAAACACGGCACTCAGGGTACGTGGCTCCTGTGGGGACCAGAGGAGCCCCAAGGAGAGGAGCAGGGAGCAGGATGAGGTGGACTGCACTTACCCGGGGCACTGGCGATGTCTGGGTGCCTTTCCGGGGCCCACTGGTCTCCGGCGTGAGGTCACGGTGGTCCACCTGCATGTGGCTCTCCAGGTCTTCGGCACTCTCAAACTTGACACTGCACTCGGGGCAACGGAGGCCGGCACAGGGCCGGTCGGCGGGCTCGGGCGGGGCCAGGCCACCCACCTGTCCGTTGGCGCTGCGGGCCATGCAGCCGGCGCAGAGGCCGTAGGGCAGCCCATTGACGTCAAGCTTCACCAGGTCCTGCTTGCTGCGGAACTCCTTGAGGCACAGGGCGCACTTGTAGAGCTTCTGCAGCCCCTGGCCATTGGGGGAGGACGCCGCTGAGCTGCCCGCCAGCTTCTGCATGTGGAAGGTGCCATGGATCTTGAGCTCAAGCGTGGAAGTGACTGTCTGCATGCAGACCACACAGCGGAAGCCCGTGAGTGAGTTGCGCAGGTCAGGGTGCATCTGGCAGTGCTCAATAAACTCCTCCTCGCTCTGCAGGGGCATCTTGCAGATGCGACAGGTGCCCGTGTCCAGGCTCTTGCTGTGGGTCACCTTGTGTTCGGTGAGCGTCAGCAGCGAAGGGAAGCGCTCACCACAGATGGGACACATGTAGTGCTTGGCAGGGCCCCGGTGCGTCTGCAGGTGCTCCCGTAGCCCGTTCTCCGAGAAGAAAGTCCGTGAACAAACGTTGCACTTGTGACTGCCCTTGATAAACTCAGCCTTCTTGCGTGAGCCATCATCCTCGCCCGGCCGGATATTGTGGTCCCGCAGCCGGTGATTCTGCAGCAGCACCTCCATGGTGTAGGCCGCCCCACAGATGTCACAGCCGTACATGGGCTCCGACGCGTCCACGTCATCCTCGCTGGCCTCATGGCTGTTAGGTGCCTCAGGGTTCTTAAGCAGCATGCCCTGCAGGTCAGCAGGCTCAGCTTTCTTGGTGGCCATTGGGGGTACCCCATTGGCCGTGCCGTTCTCGGTCGCAGCATCAAACACACAGTGCTTCTCCCGCAGGTGCTTCTCCAGCAGGATGATGGCGTGGAAGGCCTTGCTGCAGAACTTACAGTTATACTTCTTGCTGTGTGTGGTGATGTGGCACTGCAGCTCCACCTCGGTGCTGAAGGTCTCCCCACAGAAGATGCACTTGTGAGCCTTGGCCGGGTTGCCCAGGTGGCTGTGTTTGACGTGCACCTGCAGGTCAGCCTCCTTGCGGAAGTCCCAGTTGCAGGCCGTGCAGCGGTACATCTTCTTCTCATTGCTGTGCTTCACCGCCAGGTGCACCTGGATGGACACCTTGGAGTCGAAGACCTCCTGACACAGGGTGCAGTGGTACAACACAAAGGTGTGCATGTCCAGCAGGTGCTTCTGCAGGTCATCCACCGAGGAAAATTGCTTGTCGCAGCTCTCGCACACATAGTGGGTCGACGTGGTCATGTAATGCACTGTCAGGTGCTGCAGGAGGGACTCCTGGGAGTCAAAGTCCTCTTTGCACTGGGGGCACGCTTGCTTCCGCAGCAGCAGCTCCAGGTGCAGCTTCAGGTGGGTCTGGAAGCTCTCAAAGTTGGAGAACTTGAGGTCGCATTGATTGCAAGGATACTCCCCATTGGAGATGGAGTTGGCGCTTGCTGAGAGCCGCTGCCGCTTCGGGGAAGACACCTCCACATCGGACGAGACTGGGCTCTGCTCGGCCTTGGACTTCTTGCTGTGGGCCAGTGGAATGTTCTTGTGGTTCTCCTTGATGTGCTTGGTGAGTTTCAGGATGGAGCCAAAGATGGGGGAGTTGGTGCAGTAGGGGCAGGAATAGACCTCCATGAAGGACTGCGTGGGCTGCACCACCGGAGACTCTAGTTTGGCACTGCCCACACTGCAGTGGGCCTGCTGGATGTGCTCGGTGAGGGAGGACTCAGTAAGGAAACCCATGGAGCACTGGTTGCAGAAGAAAGCATTATTACCGTCAGAGGGGTTGGCGTTGGGGCCGCAGTGGGAGACGCGGATGTGCTCCTGCAGGCTATTGATGTCGGCGAACATCTCGGGGCAGTAGTTGCAGTGGAAGGCAGAGATGTTGCCAAACTGCATCACAGGGTAGGCATGGTTCTTGTGCAGCTTGCGAACGTGCTCGTTGAGGTTGTAGAGGGTGGGCATGGAGTCCAGGCAGATCTGACATGTGTGGCTCTGCTGGGGCTTGTCCGCGTGGATGGTCTTCAGGTGGATCTCCAGCACGGCCAGGCTGTTAAAGTCCCGCTTGGAACAATAGGGGCAGCTATAGACCACCTTGGTCCAGCCCTGCCCGTCATCCCGCATCTTCTTCTGCCCCCGCAGCGGCTTCAAGGTGGAGTCCGGGGTGGAGCCACGCTCCACAGAGGCGCTGGAGTCGGGTGTGGCGCTGCTCATGGAGGCCACGCTGCCCAGTACAGGGTCGGGACTGACACTGTGGTTGCTGGAGTCGGGCTGCCGGTGGCTGTCCAGGTGGCAGTAGACACCTTCCACTGAGGAGAACTGCTCAGGGCACATGGGGCACTTGTGTTTCTGGTTGGCGTGGGCTTGGTGGATATGGGCGAGCAGTGTGTTCTCGTCGACGAAGACCTCAGGGCAGTGAATGCACTGCAGGTCCGCCTTCTCGGACAGCTGCGGGTGGCGGGTGAGCACGTGCTTCTCCAGCTCCTCCGTCTGGCTGAAGGTGTCCTCGCAGTAGTCGCACATGAAGTCGTCCTTCTTGGCTTCCTTCTCCGACTTGGCCAGATGCTCCTTGTTCTTTTTGTGGGCCTGCATGTGGCTCTGCAGCGAGCTGGTGGAGGAGAAGCCGCGCTTGCACACAGTGCACTTGAAGGGCTTGCTGGAGCTGTGGGTCTTCAGGTGGATCTTGAGGTGGTCGCTGCGGGAGAAGGCTGCCTCGCACTCGTGGCAGTGATACTTCTTGTCGCCCGTATGCAGCTTGATGTGCCGGTCACGGCTCCTCTTGTGCTTGAAGAGGCGGCTGCAGTAGGTGCACTTGAACGGCAGCTTGTCGCTGTGGATCTGCTCGTGCCTCTTCAAGTAGCTCAAGCGGATGAAGGACTTGTCGCAGAACTGGCAAGGGTATGGCAGGCCCGTGCCCCCTTCCTCCTCGCCGAGGCCGAGGTCACAACCATCTCCGATCATCTGCGTGGGTGACGCAACATCCTTGCTGGAGGGAGACGAGGCCACCCAGGAGAGTTGTGGGTCGTCATCACCATCTGCAAGAGAAGGCAGAGAGGATATTAGAGGCAATTCCCAGGGCTGCCGAGAAACAAGGACAGAGCCAGCTTCTCGACAGCACGCGGGCTGAGGCTGTGCAGCTGGCCAACGGCTGCAGGGGGCTGTGGGGAGGGGCAGGGGCCGGAAGCAAGTGGACACCAGGGCCTTCCTGTCTGCAGAGGGCACGCCAGAGGGGCGGCAGATAATGAAGGGGGAGCGCCTTTTCCCTTCACAACACTTGCCTGGACCTGGCAGGACATGATACCCCCCATCAGAGGGGAGGCTCTCGGCCACTTTCCTGATAGGGAAAGGAGGGGCAGCCTGGACAAAGTCACTGGAAACGAACTCACAGACCACCAGTCCCATAGGCCAAAAGGAAGACAAGTCCTGTCACTTGATCCACACCTGGGAGTCAACTCCCCTCAAATCCCTAATCCTGGAGGGAAGGAAATCCCACTGGTCCTTATGAACACAGGCAAAATTTTGCAACAACAAAAATGCCCTTATCAGATTGGCCATAGAATGCACCATTCTCTGGGTATGGGTGGACTGATGGAGCTGGAAGCTGCTGCTTCAGGTGGTAGACAAGACATAGGAGGTGTGAAATCACAGGGCAAGAGACAGCAGACTTCAGTGCTCAGGTGGGAAGGGAACCTAGGGCACTGAAGAGGCATCTGTGGGTTTCCTGGCCCAGGCCATCCTGAGACCCTTGTTTTCTTTGTTCCCACTGCACCCCTGGATTTGCCCCAACCCCACCCAGGATCAAGACAGATGGAGAGATGGTGACAGTGATTGGAGGATGAATGAGGACATGGAAGGCCACAGAGCTCAGACCCAGGCGGACCCTTAACCCCACTGCAAAGGCAAGGAAGAGACAATCCTTGTACAGACTCCAGCCAGTCCCACCCTCCCTGGGGACAGCCCCCACAACCCCCCTCGTTTGCTGGCCCGGCTAGCCTCAGAGGAAAACTAAACAAACCTAAGGGTAGGCCGTTTCTGGGAAAACAAAGGCACACAGGACACAGTGAATAAAGCTAGAGACATTCCCCGGCGGGGGCCGAGCAGAGCCAGCCCGGGCAGGGAGTGAGTTCCAAGGCTCAAGTTTCTCTTCGGCTGGATTTAAAACTTAATAATGAATGAAACAGACCGCAGGCTGCTGCGGGCAGGGGAGAGACAAACAAAAGCTCAGATTCGGCTCCGCTGACCTTGCTCTTGTAACCCCGAGGAAATAAACCACTGCCCCCGCCTCTCCAGCCGCCAGCCAGCCTGGCTGAGTCTTCAGAAGAGCCTCACAGACGTAACCCAGACGTAACCTTGGCCCAGAGGCAGCCCAGACCTTCAGGAAGGGATGGGGCAGGCGCACCATGCTCCCAGCACGGGTGAACACTGGCACACAGATGCGCATACACACGCCTACCTACATACACACACAACACCCACCATCACACACATTCATTCACACCATCACTCCCACACACTCACACTATCACTCACAAACTTAAATATACATGCACACGCTCATGTACACACATTCACCTGCAGACACACACACACACACATCACAGACCTGTGGTTTCCCTACAAGGCTCTCCACACAAGCTGCCTCTGCTGTCCCAGGCCGATCCTAAGACTTAAAGAGAGAACAAAGGCTGATTGGGGGGTCTTGAGGGGTCCCTCACAGCTGGGGCTGAGCCTGGTCCTAGGCCCCGCCCCCACCCCCTGGCCCCCGCAGCGCTGATTGTGTGAAGATCCACCTGACCCCCCTGGCACCATTGGCACAGCTCAACCGGGATGCATGCGGCTCTCCGAAGCTCGCAGTTCTCCAAAGCTCCCGACTGCAAGGCTTCCGGCAGCCAACCCACCTCTGAAGCCCAGCTCCCCAGCCCAGCTCAAGGGGCCTCCTGGAACACCCTCCCAGAGCACCAGCACCTTCTCCCCCGGGGGCCTCACATGACGGGCTCGGCAGACGGGAAGGATGCAGCAGTCGTGGCCAGCTCCCCAGATGAGATGCAGTGGGAGGCGCCCCAGCCCCTGCCTGCCAATTCCCAGCTCTTGCCAGCTGGGCTCTCTGGGGCACAGACAAAAGGGACCCCAGGGAGGAGATGGCTGGGGCCAGGGGACCTACTCGGCCCCCGCTCCAGGCCAGGCTGGACTGGCTTCTTATTATTTTGATGTCTTCACTCAGACTCACTCAAACTGCCACTGAGCCCTTCCTGTGTGCCCAGCACTCAGTGCTAAGTGCTTTCTCACAACTGCAAATGAGTGGCCAGGTCCACTCCCACTGGACAGACGAGGAAACTGAGGCACGGCCTCAGAGACTTGCTCTGGGAAATGACAGTGCCAGAGACTGATGCCAGGACTGTCCACATTCAGGCCCCTTGATCGTGATGTGGGCCTGGACCAGCTTCTGGGGGCCAAACAGTCAAATAAGACCACTCCTGCGTGGGTAAGAAGGGGAGAGGCCCACGTGTAAAGCCTCCAGGGTCCTCAGGACTTGATCTCCTTGGAGCCTGCCTTGTGAAGAGGGCTGGGGCTGGCCCATGATTTGCATTTCTGGGAGGGGCTCATCAGGGTTCAGAGAGACACAGGAACTGGCTGGAACCCACCCAGCAACTGATGTGTGGAGAAGTCTCAACAACTGGGCAGGTGAAACCACTATCACTCTTGTCCCTAGGACAAGCCTGAACAGATATTTCTGCCAGGGTTCATTTGCTCCTAAACCTTTCACACCACCTGAAGACCAGAAGACACTCACTCAGAGCCAGAGCCCTCCCAGCTCCTCTATGAATTCATCCATGCCCTGAACATTCCTCTTAACCACTCACTTTACGCATCTGAAAAAAGGGAATCACTGGGAGGAGTGGATGAGAAAAACTAATGGGAGAAAGCACTATTATGCCACTGACATGAGATGTCCAGAATAAGGCGCATCTGAGACAGAAGGCAGGTTAGCAGCTGTCCGAGGCTGGAGATGGGAGCAGGGACTGGCTGCACAGGTGACAGGGATCCTTCTGACATGAGGGAAATGGTCTAAAACTAGACTGTGGGTGAAGACTGCACAGCTCTGTAAACTTACCAAAGACTGGCTGAGTTGCTCACTTCAAACAAGTGAATTTTATGGTATGCAAATTATACTTCAATAAAGTTGTTAAACAAAAGCACTATTTTGCCAATAATAAGAATTAGTACTAATTAGTGCCACAAGTGCTAACAATATTAACAGCTCCATTTATTGAGAATGTCCCACGTGCCAGCACTGTGCTAAGTATGTCTATTATCGCAATTAATTTCTATTCATCCTCACAACAACCATATCTGGCTGTCTGCAGTAACATTCCCATTTCTGAGATGAGGAAGTGGGGTTCAGGGAGGTGAGGAACTGGCCCCCAGTACCAAGCCAGATGCCCCATTTAGTGTCTGGCCAAACTTCATCCTGTAGGAGTACAGAACCTGGTCCCGAGGCCCCACATCAGTCATTCACCCAGTAGGCTTTGAAAAGGAGAATCTTAACCTGCCCGGCACCAGAGTACCCAAGGTTCATTGCAGGCTGGCTGCTTGGCTTTATTTTTCTGCAAACAAGTTTTGAAACTAAAGCAAAGCGTATTATTCTGGGAGCAACAAGCTGAGCCACTGCTGAGATTATAATCATCTGAATTGAAATGAAAATAAGGCTCCTTAAACTGAAAAGGCCCAATCAGGGAAAATGGGCATGTTGACATATAAAGTCCCAAACTCAGATTGCCCTGTTTAAAGTCTTTTATTCAAAGAACATTCAACCTCGCCTGCTGCCATCCCACCCCCTCCAAATGCATTTTGCTTTGGGGGGACTTAGCTCAGTGCTCTAGAAACAGGCTAGAGAGATAAGCTAGGGCCAAAGCTCGGGATGTATCTACAGGGGCGTCAGCAGAGAAAGCGGTTCTCTTTTCTTTTTTTTTTTTTTTTTTTTTTTGGCAGGGGCAGGAGGGGAAGGAGTCTCGCCCTGTGGCCCAGGCCAGAGTGCAGTGGTGTGATCTCGGCTCACTGCAACCTCTGCCTCCCAGGTTCAAGCAATTCTCCTTCCTCATCCTCTCATGTAGCTGGGATTACAGGCACATGTCACCATGCCCGGCTAATTTTTGTATTTTTAGTAGAGACAGGGTTTCACCATGTTGGCCAGGCTGGTCTCGAACTCCTGACCTCAAGTGATCCACCCGCCTCAGCCTCCCAAAGTGCTGGGATTACAGGTGTGAGTCACTGCGCCTGGCCCAAGGTTCTCCTCTCTTATAGCAATGACACTTTCCTCATGCTGGATGCTGGACACCACACACACACCTGCAACTGTGGCCAAGGCAATCCCAAAGTCCCCTCCAACATGAACATTCCAGAATTCAGGAAGAAGGTGGGTTCAAGGAAAGTCCTGTTCAGTCGCTACATTTTTATTTTCAAGTAAATACTTGCATCGATTTTGCTGTGTGCCAGGCATTCTTCTAAGAGTTAATGTGTACTCACTCATTCAATCCTCTCAATAGGCTAATGAGTTAGGGACTGTTATAATTTCCATTTACAGATGAGAAAACCAGGGCACAGAGCGACTGAGTGACTTGCCCAGTGCCACACAGCCAGCAGGCAGCAGAGTCAGGATGTGAACCCCCCCTTAGTCCTGTTCAGTCAGTGTTTTCACCCACAAGGCTTCACTACCCCCCACCCCCCACTTTGGGAGGAGAAGCATGAGAAAATCAAGTGGGAAGTACAATGACTAATGACAGACCCATGCTTCCCCTGCCCCCCAGAGTAAATGCAATCAAAGAACTATAACAAAAATGAGTTAAAAAAACACACACACACTTGCAAAATGGAGATTAAAGTCATTTAAAAATGACTAATCCTGCAAAAAGGCCAAATAGGAAATGGGTTATATGAGGCTTTTGCTGTCTGCTGCAGGAAGAGAAAGAAAACAAGCATAAAAGAGGAGAGAATTTTTGATAAAAATTCAATTAAGTTGAAAAAAGAACATTAACTGGGCTTCAGAACACGTCAGCAGCAGAAAGAGCCAGGTGATTCCCAAGCTCATGTGGTCACACTTGGTGACCAGCATGGAGCAGGACATGAATTCAGCAGGCTGATGCTACAGTGTGTAAAACTGCCTCGGACACACCTCATCTAGGCTGAGCAGTGCAAGTGGCCGCCCAGAATGGCTGGGAGCCACAGCTCACGGCTCCTCTGTCACAGAGAATCAAGGTCAGAGATGCTGGAGAAGGTGCTCGGGCCAAGGCAGGAGAGTGACTGGCCCACAGACTCACAGGAGTGGGCCGAAAGGGAACCTTCCTGCAGTGGGGGGCACACATGGAAGAGGAAGTGAACTCCTGCCATCGAAGCTATGCAAGAGGCCCTAAAAAGAACACTAGGGGGACTCTCTGCATTGAGTTTGGGGGGAAGATAGCTGAGCCCAGGAAGTTCCAGGTTACTAGGACATTCCTGAGCTGGGCAGTTCCATCTGTGTGAATAAAAATGACCATCCAGCCGGGCATGGTGGCTCATGCCTGTAATCCCTGAACATTGGGTGGCTGAGGTGGGAGGATCGTTTGAGGTCAGGAGTTTGAGACCAGTCTGAGCAATATAGCAAGACCCTGTCTCTTAAAAAAAAAAAAAAGAACAAAATTTACACAGGCATGGTGATGTGTATTTGCAACCCCAGCCACTTGGGAGGCCGAGGCAGGAGGATCACCTGAGCCCATGAGTTTGAGGCCGCAGTGAGCTATGATCATGCCACTCTAGCCTGGGTAACAAGAGTAAAACTCTGACTCAAAAAAAAAAAAAAAAAAAAAAAAAAAAAAAAAAAAAAACCGTGAGCCTACAGAGGGAACAAGAGCTCATCCAGCCATTGGAATAAGGTTTCCATCCCAGTCCTCAGGGCCTCTTGTGCCCAGGACTGTGCTGAATACTGCAGGGTCGCCTGGGTGCATCCCACCTTGGTCCTGCCCCAAGGACATTCCAGACCATGCAAAGGAGAGGCCAAGTAGAGCAAGAAAGGCACCAGTGGGAGTCATGCTGGGGCAACGGGCAGAGAGTCCATCAGGAGGCTGGGCCTCCACTGCCTCTGCTGGCTCATGGGAAGCTGGAATTCATGCTCTCTATAGCCCCTGCCATATGAATATAAAGATCACCTTGTACAATACTCCAACCATCAAGACCATCTTCATGATAGACACAAAATGGCCTTACAGTGCTTCACAAAGTCCCCAAAAAGACTCCTTGCCACTCAACTGTTTCTTCAGAAAAATGAAAATTGCCAAGGAGACCAGTTCCCGACAGGACAAAGCTTTGTAATACACCAAGCAGAGCTTCTCTGCTGCCCCCATACAGAGCTCCAAGAATAGGAATCACTGTGGCCCTTCCCTAAGCTCAGAGGAATGGGACCCTAGACTCAGGAACCAACTACCCAATCCCACATGATACAGATGGAAAAGCTGAGGCCCAGAAAAGAGAAGAAAACTTACAAGCCCAGCTAATTGGTAGTGGTTGCCTAGAATCCTGTGTTCAGAAGGATTCCAAGGCCTTATCTCAGGTCCAAAGAAATGAGTGCTGCAATCAACTGATGATGTCTGCCATGAGCAGAGACATGTAGGAATGGAATAGTCAAAGGGCACTGAGCAAACTGGAAAGAGGAGTCTCCTGACTCCCAATGCTAGATGCTTTTCAGGTTTCCTCTTCCAAAAAAGGAGCTGTCCATTCTCTTTGAGAGATGAGGCTTTGGTGTTCCCAAAATCCTGTTGGTCACAGAGAGACAAGAGGCCCTGACAGATACCGTATGATATGGTTTGGCTGTGTCCTCACCCAAATCTCATCTTGAATTGTAGTTCCCATAATCCCCACTTGTGGTGGGAGGGACCTGGTGGGAGGTAACTGAATCATGGGGGTGGTTTCCCCCATGCTATTCTAGCGATAGTGAGTAAGTTCTCATGAGATCTGATGGTTGTATTAAGGGGCTTCCCTCTTTGCTCAGCTCTCATTCTTCTCCTTCCTGCCACCATGTGAAGAAGGACATGTTTGTTTCCCCTTCCAACATGATTGTTAGTTTCCTGAGGCCTTCCCAGCCATGCACAACTGTGAGTCAATTAAACCTCTTTCCTTCATAAATTACCCAGTCTTGGGTATTTATTCACAGCAGCATGAGAATGAACTAATATACTGTAGAACTGTGTTGGAGTCTGGAGAGGAATCTCCAGCCAGATAGGTCAGCTGTGACATCAGCTGATGGTGAGGATTGCCCAAAGTGGACACAAAGCAGCCCGGACAACCGAGGAGAGCCAGTCAGTGTTTCCTAGAGCCTGGGGTAATAAGAGCTGCAAGACCTGAATATGCTTCAGGGCACACTGTAGATTGTGGTTCCCACAGAGGTAGCCAGAGCCTAAGCAGGTGGCTTTCCAGACACGAAATGATCCAAATTGAGCTCAAGGGGCATCTGGGCATATTCCTGATCACTTCTTGGGAAACCAGGGGTACTTGCACACACCTGATGCCAGAACTAGCCATCCATCCCAGAATACTCCTCAACTCAATTACATCCCTGCCTGTAAAACTAGCATCAGTGTATTGAGGGCAAGAGAGGGTGCATAGCTCCTCCCTCATCTTATTTCACTGATGGAGAAACTGAGGCAACATGACAAGTCACAGGCAGATCCAGTGGTTACTGTTTATGGCACATTTTCTTTTCTTTTTCTTTTTTTTTTTTTTGAGAAGGAGTCTCGCTCTGTCACCCAGGCTGGAGTGCAGTGGCACGATCTTGGCTTCCTGCCACCTCTGCCTCCTGGGTTCAAGCAATTCTCTGCCTCGGTAGGAATCCTGAGTAGCTGGGATTACAGGCACCCACCACCACACCCGGCTAATATTTGTATTTTTAGTAGAGACAAGGTTTCACCATCTTAGTCAGGCTGGTCTTGAACTCCTGACCTTGCGATCCACCTGCCTTGGCCTCCCAAAGTGCTGGGATCACAGGCGTGAGCCACCACGCCCAGCTGTATGACACATTTTCTATGTGCCAGGTCCTTTGCCAGCTTTTTCTCAATTGATTCTCACACATTCCCTATGAGGTAGGTACTATTAACAACCCCTTTTTATAACTGTGCAAAGTGACACTCCAAGAAGGAAAGTAACTTCTGAGCGCACAGACATTGCAAGTGGCAGATGCCCCCACCCACTTACTAACCACCAGGCTACACTGCTTCACCAGGCCCTGGAGCCAGTCCAAGGCCCATATCCCTGCTGGACCTGCTCCCTCTTTCTTGAGGTCCACCATGCACAAGCACAGTACCAGGCCCCGTGACTTGAACCAGGTACAGGTCTTAAGCTTTACAACCCCACCTGCCATTGAGGCAAAGTCAGTGGTGGATGACCAGGCTAGGCTGGGTCTGATGCCAAGCACTAATGAATGTTGCTGGCCTCTTTCCTCACTGGATGGCAGGTAAAGTAGCCTGCTGCTTAAATAGCCTATGCAGAAGCAAACCTGGAGATTGTGGTAGGCAGAATAATAATTACCCCAAAGATGTCCAAGTCTTAACTTCCAAAACATATGAATATGTTACGTTACATGGTAAAATGGAATTAAGGTTGACAATTGGCTGACCTTAAAATAAAGAGATTATCCTGGATTATCCACATGGGTCTGTTGTAATCACAAGGGTCCTTAAATGTGCAGGAGGGAGGCAGAAGAGGAGGTTGAGGTGATGCAATATGAGAAGGACCCAACCAGCAATTACTAGTATTGAAGATGGAAGGAGGCCATATGCCAAGAAATGTGAGCAGCCTCTAAGAACTGGAAAGGCAAGGAAATGGATTTTTCCCTAAGAGCATCCAGAAAGGAATGCGGCCCTGCCAACACCTTAATTTTAACCCAGTGACATCTGGGTCAGACTTCTGACCTACAGAACTCTAAGATACTATTTTTTGTTTGTTGTTTTAAGCCACTGTGCTTATGGTAATTTGTTACAGCAGTAATAGCAAACTAATACAGATTTTGGTACCAGGAGTGGGGTGCTATGAGAACAAATACCTAAAATCATGGAAGTGGCTCTGGAATTGGGCAGCGATCAGAGGGTAGAAGAATTTTGAGGAGTATGATTTATTTAAAAGCCTAGGTAACCTTGAACAGATTAATGGAAACATAGATATTAATGACTCTGTTAATAAAGACTCAGAAGAAAGTAAGGAACACATCAGAGAAAACCTAAATCACTTTAGGAAATATCTAAATCATCATGAACAGACTATTAAGAGAAATATGGATATTAATAAAGGCACTGACAGTGAAACTGAAGGAAGGGGGATCCTTGATACTTGGTGGCAGAAAGCTAAGTGAAATTATGACTCACAGTTATGTGGGAAGCAGAACTTTCATGGATAAACTTGGATACTTAGCTAAGTAGATTTCCAAGCAAACTGTGGAAGGTATGGGCTGGTTTCTTCTTGCTGCTAAAAAGAAAAAAGATTAAGAAAAGAACTGTTAAGCAGGCCAGGCGCAGTGCTCACGCCTGTAATCCCAGCACTTTGGGAGGCTGAGGCAGGCGGATCACCTGAGGTCGGGAGTTCGAGACCAGCCTGACCAACATGGAGAAACCCCGTCTCTACTAAAAATACAAAAATTAGCTGGGCATGGTGGCACATGCCTGTAATTCCAGGTACTCCCAGCTATTCAGGAGGCTGAGGCAGGAGAATCGCTTGAACCCAGAAGGTGGAGGTTGTGGTGAGCCAAGATCATGCCACTGCACTCCAGCCTGGGTGACAGAGCAAGACTCCATCTCAAAAAAAAAAGAAAAAAGAAAAAAAAAACTCTAAGAGATTTACTTACAAGAAAGCATGCTCCGGAGAAAAAGCTGAAGGTAGGACTGCACATATTGCTAATATCTCAGGAAAATCAAAATGCCAGAGTATTGAGTATTCAGTCACAACAAAGGCTCTTTGGTGAGATTAAGGGTGTGACTCACAGATCTCCTAGATCAAATTAGAGAGCATCTAGGAAATTTGGGGGTATTGCTCTGGAGCAATCTCAGCAAAAGACAAAAGTAGAGAAGGGATTATCCAGGAAATATCTGTAGAGGACCATCTTGAATAATGGAGAAAATACCCATGACATACACAGGAGACTCACAAGGTTCTTGAAAAGTTTATACTGACAGAAACACTGCCAGCTTAAACCAAAAAGGACAGAGAGAGTACAGGATGAAAGAAGTCTGTTGGACACCCAAAACTTCACAAGCAGGAAACAGGTTAATAAAACTACTCAGATGAAAGTACATGCTACCTTTCATGGGGAAAAAAGGGATGACTAAGCGGGCAGAACCTCAAGCCCAGAGGGTGGAGCCATGAGCCATAGTGGATGAGATCACTACTGGACCAGGTTCAGATTCCAGAACTGTGTAACCATGGGCAAGCATATCCCCTCTTTGTGCTTTCATTTCCCCATCTCTTGATAGAGAGAATCCGACGAACAGGTCTCTAAGAGGCTTTGTAGCTCTTACAGTCTGTTATCACTTAATGATGTCTGTGCCTGCCCTGGGTACAGAGTAAGTCTCAGGTGGTAGGTATCCCAGCTCTCTACTATCTCCTAGTTCGGGTGGTTTTTTAATTCAGCACATATTTAGGATGCCTGCTCTAAATATCCAGTTTTCCAAAGGGTGTAGAGGTACCCAGCATTCTTAGGTTTCTATGCTCTTATCTGTCCAATCTCCGTGTCAATTAATTACTGTTTAAACATTAAACACTAAAGAAACCCTTTACTGCTTTGAAGTACACACACACACACACACACACACACACACAGGGAGAGAGAGAGAGAGAGAGAGAATCCCTTCAATTGTAACATCAGTACTGCACCTAGATATCTGACAGGAGAAGTGTAAAGGATTAAGTTTGACCCCTGGGACATCAAAAGTCCACCCTGGGAAAGGAAAGGGATGAGGCTATTGGAGGTTCTTTCCTCAGAGGTAAGCCAAGGAGCTCCACAAAGGTGACCAGAAGCTGACATGGCTCTTCCTGAAATCTCGAGTTAGAATTATGCTATTAGCAAAAATAATAGCAGCACCTATTCACTCATTCCTCCTCCAGGGAGCTGAGAGTTTCTTACGAATGGGATCTCATCATCCCCAAAGTATAAGCAAGGAAAAGTAGGGATCATTCCTTCGGTTTGGGAGAAAAAAGACTCAGAGGTCACTGGACATCTCAAAGACAGAGACTGACCAGGCCTGCCCTTCTCCAGCCAGCTCTGGGGGCTGCTGAAATGCCATGTGACAGTGAACAGCTGCCACCAAGGCCCTTAACAAAACTTCCAGGGACTCAAAACTTAGCTTAGGCTGCTAAGCTTGAAGAAACTCAGTCAATTGCAGGGAGACGTCAGCCCTGAGGGACAGCAGAGCCATGAGTAAGAGTGTGCACTGGCTTGCTCAGCCATCATTAGCTGTGAGACCATGGGAAAATTACTGCCCCTCTCTGAGTGCCCATGTCCTGGGGAAACTAAAAGTAACTACCTTACAAAGTGGTTAATGTTTACATACTGCTAAACATTGGATGAACATTGGCTAAATAAGATAAAGGGGTTCCTAATGTAACTGACACTATTATCATTCATCGTAAATCCCATAATCTACAGGGCATTTAACATTTTGCGCAGCACCTCACACCCATTATCCATTTGACATCTGGAGCAACTCTGTGCAGTGGTGGTGGTCATGGTGGTTTTGTTATTGTTATTATCCCCATATTACGAGTAAGTGGGGGGCCACACACCCAGGCATCCTGGGATGGAACCCAGCATCCCATTCAGTTAGTGAATCCCTCTCACCCTCATAAACAGCTGAGCTTACACAGTAAGTTGTGTGGTCACCCCAGTAATGAGGAAAAAGAACAGAGAGGTTAGGTCACATCCTGACATCACAAAGTGACTGGAAGAGCTAGGCCTGAACTTCCAACCCAGGGCTCTTAGCCAGCTGGACTGGGAGAAATGATGCCCTGAGCAATGGGTCATAGGTCATCATGGCTGTCCTCCCACTGGACAGTCTGGGGGCCACCCAGTTATCAGTATTAGTGATTTTGTGAAAATGCCAACATTTACAAATCAAGAATTCCCAACTTTTTGTTGTTGTTGTTCCTTAATTCACAGTCACTTTTGGCTTTTTTTTTTTCTTTTTTCTTAGAGACAGGGTCTCCCTCTGTCACCTAGGCTGTAGTGCAGTGATGCAATCATGGCTCACTGCAGACTCAACCTCCTGGGCTCAAGCGATCCTCCTGCCTCAGCTTCCCAAGTAGCTGGGACCACAGGTGCGTGCCACCATGCCTGGCTAATTTTAATTTTTTTTTTTTTGTAGAGACAGGGTCTCTCTATGTTGCACAGGCTGGTCTCAAACTCCTGGCCTCAAGGGATCCTCCTGCCTCAGCCTCCCAAAGCACTGGGATTACAGTCATAAGCCACCACGCCTGGCCCACTTACGGTTTTTCTTGAAGGAGAAGAAGGCCTGGGAGCACAGACTCTGCATCTGGCATGTGGAAGATGGAGCTCAGCTGGGGCTTCTTGGAGGAGGGACCCCCACCCCCCTGCATGCCCAGCACCCCAGGACTTCCCTCACCATTAGGGGGTGTCCCGGGCCTTGGAGACATCTGTGTTTGCCTGGTGGCTGAGAGCCGGCAGCAGGGCTTAGACTCCCAGCTCCCCCACTTACTATGTGTGTGACCTTAGCCAAGTGAATGACCCTTGCTCAATTTTACAGATGGAGAAACCTGTCTCAGTTTTCACATCTGTAAAATGGGGATGACTATTTATAGACCCAACTATAGAGTTGTTTTAAAGATGAAATCAGTGAATATCTGTAAGGCGTTATATATGACAAATGTTCTATAATGCCTAAAATAGTCACTGGCTACTGGCTCCCAAATCACCATAAGGTGGTCACAGGACAAGGAGAGGCTGGCAATGGCTGGAATGGTTTGAGGGGACACAAGACACAGTGTCACCTCCCTGAGCCCTGATTGATAACCAACAGGGTCTAAGCTAAACCTACAGTTACCCGTGCACAAGATGGTTTTCAAACAAAGCAAACTCAACCTGCCAAAATTCTCAGAGGGCCCCTGCCATTTACAATCCCAGGACATCAGCCCTGAAAGGAGCTTCAAGACCCCTCATTATACAGATGGAGCCCAACGCTCTCATTACACAAACAGAGAATCTAAGGTACTGGGAGCCATCCATGGCTTGGATGTGGGTCCCTCAGCTCATGGTGGAGGGGGTGGGGGATGAGGCTCAGACTCCCAGAACACTCCCTCCCCCGCCCCCACATGGCTGCTGGACATGCAGGGCAAGGACGCGTCCACCTTTCCCCTTGAAGCCTCTGACCTCGCAGAACACACAGCCTGCCAGGCAGCTCCATCCCTTAGACAAATTTACTTAGCACTGATATTGAAAATGCAATTGAGCTCGAGTTTTATTGCAGAAATTAAACAGACTAGGAAAGGGGAAAAAAAAAAAGCCAGTGCTCATCAGCTCACCCGAGAGCTGGCTGTGATCAAACTTGCTAAAGAGGAGCCTAGTGATCAACTCCTGCCAGCAAGGAAGAGCCCCCCAAGTCTGCCCCTACAAGGGACTCCCCAGGGGCACGAGGAGCTCAGGAGCTCCGGAAGGTTCTCCTGCCAGCCTCCTGGCGTGGACCTCCTGCGCACCCTGACATCGCCTGCCCGCCTCTTCACAAGGAGTTGGCGCCTTGTGAAGTCATCTCCGTGAGCTTCATGAAGCAACACCGCCAAGGGCCTGAGCAAAGGGCGCTCTGCTCCACTCGAGTGAAAGCAAAATGCTTTCGGGGTTGAATCACTGTTTTTCTTGACTCCCTTTGGAGATCGGCAGAGCCCACATTCGGCCGTGTTCGTGGACCTGGGACTGGAAACAGCTGCGCTCTAATTACATGTAAAGTGTACCAAAACATCCCTTTTATCACAGACTGGAAATCTGTTAGCATCTGCCTCTCCTTTGTTTCTTCCACAAGATACAAGCTTGTTTCTACATTTTTCTCACCTGTAGCAGTGATTAAAATTCATTATAAATGAAAGGAGTGAACAGAGAAACAAGTTCCTCTGTGTACCGTTCTAAACTCAAATTAGAAACAGCTGTTTGCTAATTCATGCAGTGATGTTTTGTCGTGCTCTGTGAATCAATAATAACTCACCCTATTGCTGCAGAAATTTTTGGATAATCCACATATTTAACGCGGCATTGGATTCTCCAGGCAGGGCTGCAGCGGCAAAACCTCAGGCGGGTGGGAGGGGACTTGGGGTCCCCACTCTGGAGGCGTCCCCTGCTGCCCAGACAGAGAACCCCTAACTCAGAGCTGCCCAGCACCTCTACCCACTACACAAGTCTTGGGAGGACCTGAAGGAAACCCTGAACAGGCGCCTCATCTCCTTCCCTCCCCAAGAACCACCAAAAAAAAAAAAAAAAAAAAGAATTCAACTCTGATTAAACGCAAACCACACACATCCTCCAGCCGCCGGAGGGAACAGCAAAATTAAAAGTCTAATTGGTACCCGGAACAATTTAAAACTATTAAGTATAGGTGAAGCTTTTCTGTAAGAAAATAATCCTCTGATTGGGATTAGGCATGTTTGGATAGCATTTTTCCCATCCACACATTTTAGCTGCAGAAGTTACAGCTAAGGTCTGGACATGCTCAGGAGCCTCTGAGAAGTGTTCAGTCATCCCCTTTGCCACCTCCAGGGAAAGGGGTGGGTGGGGTGCAGAGCTGCATCCCCATCTGATGGCTTAGAGGGAAGCAGATGCTCTCTCTCCTTTGCAGGGAGGGAGATGGACAACACTTTTGGAGGCTTGTACTGCCACTGTGGCATGCCAAACCTACTCTATCCTGGCTAACACATGCCCATCCTTCAAGACACTGCCTCCCGGAAGCCTTCCCTGACTGCCTCTGTCATCCTCCCTGACTTCAGGGCACTACCTGTTTATATTTGAGTGGTTGGGGTGTCCCTGTGTCTCCTGCATCTTTCTAGGTCTGGGGCATTGTCATAGTGAACCACTTTTTGAACTTCAGACTGGTAGCCTCTGCAGAGCCCTTTCTGTGGCCAGACACAGTGCCAAGCTCTTCGTAAGCTCCATTTTGTTAAACTCTCACCTGCATCCTATGTGGTGACCACTACCACCATTAACCCCCATCTTACAGATCAGACATCTGAGACATAGAGAGGGCGAGGGCCCTGACTTCCACAGCAATTAAGTAGAAGGAGCTTGGAATGACTCCATAGATCTCCAGAAAGCCATCAAGACCACCCACTGTCATCAAAGATGTATACCGAGCATGCCTCACCTGCTCCAGCTCCTGAGCCTTCATTCAGGCCATGGTGGTCACTGCCCCCGAAAGCCCAACCCATGACTTGGGGGCCAGCTCTGCCCACCTCCCCAAGCATCTCACAGGTGGTGGTGGGAAGGGTGGTCTCCTGCATGGCTAAGAGTAGGTCCTCATTTCCTCCTTTCCTGGTGTTCATCTGGGCCTACAGAAGATGGCAGTCCAATACGTCCTGGGGGGCGTAGAGCACAGGCCCCAGGCAGGGGCATGGACAAGGAGCTCATGCTGTCCCTGCAGGGTTGTAGGGAGCTTTCCCTTAGCCAAGGCCACTGGGTGCCAGAAGCTCCAAGCCCGGGAGGGCTGGGAATGGAAATGCACAGATGAGGTGCCATCATGGGAGGCAGGAGCACTCAAATTGGGCTTTGAAGAAGGAGTAGGAGCTCCACTGATCTGTGTTCTTCCAAACATGGGCTACCTCCCATTGGTAGGACCCGTGATCATTTTAGGGCGCAGCCAAGATGGTCTTAAATAACCCTGATGCACAAATGAGAAAGTTAGCGCCCTTTCCATTCTGTTGTCAGCCTTCAGATTAGGCCAGGGAGAAAGGCTGTCTCTAACTCCTCTCCAGCATTTCAGCAAAAGAGAGGGCAGAGTCCACGCTTAGCATTTCCAGAACACAGCAGCTCATGTCTGGAATAGTGTGAGCATGGAATTTTCTTCGGTTTTGTTTTTTATTTACTTTTAAGGTTACTGTCATCTTACAGTAAATGATACTGGTTTTCCATTTGCAGAATTAAGTAAATTAATTAATTTAACCACAAAAGAGCCAGCAAAGACAAATACTAGGTGAATCATAGCATCAGTGATACTCAAATGTTGCAAGAATCACAGTAGAGATATGCAAATGACTAAAGCCTGGGACCTCCAGATACAGAGAGATGGGAGGAGAAGGCCTCCTGGGAGAAGCAATGGCGGGAGCCATGGCTGAAGCTTGGGTATCAGTGGGAGAAGCAGCTTAGAAGGTGCAATGAGAGCCCATCGTCAAGACCTTAAATACCAAGCCAAGGAGCCAAGAACTCCATTCCACAGGCCCTGGCAACCACCAACACTATCTGAAACACTAGCTCATGAGTAAGTGGGATCTGGACTCCCCAGCCCAGGGCTCTTTCTAGACCTCCCATAACTCCAGGTCTGCGAATGACTGAGAGTTAAACAATCACTAGCCTATAAGCAGAACCCATTTCAAGGAAAACAGTGATCAGTGACCCCAACGACCCAGGGCTCTCAACAGCCAAGATCAGGTGCCCCTGCAGGAGAAAACCCCTGCACAATCAGCATGGGGTCCCCTTCCACGTGGGGGCTGAACACTCAAGTCACTGTGGACAGCAGAAGTATCAACTCCCCTCACAAGGATCCCTGCTGGGGCACTGAGGGGGATGGGCGCACCACCTTTCAGTGAGTCCAACCCAGCCAGCTTTTCCTCCACTTTTGGAATAAATTGCCATGTCCTCTGTGTGAAAGAGCCAAGGTGTTCCCAAATACACACCATGGACCTCAACATGCTGAACAGGTGTCTGCTCCCACAGGAGGGGAGTGTGGAAGCCGAAAGCCCAGAACAGCATCCATCTCACGGTCACTTCGCCCCTGAACCCACACCACTGAATTATTTTTCTTCCACAAACCCACGCAGTCATTCCCTTGCAGAGCACATACAATTGAAGCACTGAATGCTAAGTGGGTGCACGAGGTAACTCCAGTGGGGTTTTGTTCATCGGGTCCAGGGCAAGTCTCCAACTCTCCAAGTGTCTGTCCCACCTCCCTCTCTCCTCCCACCCCCACCCTGGCTACCTAGGGACCCGAGTCAAAGGTCTTCTGACTTCCAGTCCTCCATCCCATCTACACTGCAAATCCTTCTGACAGTGGTGCCCCACGTTGGGGCAGTGTAGGTGAGACGGAGGACTGAATGCAGCTGGTTTATGTGACTTTCTTACCAGAGATGCAGACAGAGGAAGCTCTCAATGCGAATAAAGAATGGGCAAGCGGAGGCCAGGTGCAGTGGCTCGTGCCTGTAATCCCACACACTTTGGGAGGCTGAGGCGGGTGGATCACCTGAGGTCAGGAGTTCAAGACCAGCCTGGCCAACATGGTGAAACCCCGTCTCTACTAAAATTATAAAAATTAGCCAGGTGTGGTGGTGCACGCCTGTAACCCCAATTACTCGGGAGGCTAAGGCAAGAGGATTGCTTGAACCCAGGGGGCAGAGGTTGCAGTGAGCCAAGACTGTACCACTGCATCCAGCCTGGATGACAGAGCAAGACTCTGTCTTAAAAAAAAAAGAAAAAAAAAGGCAAGTGGGTAAATGGATGACCAAGTTCATCTTATAATTTTCCCAAAAGCCAGTATCAGAGAAAACCCCATAATGCCTCCAAGCTAGAACTCTGAGCTTAGACCAACTGGCGACACTGAAGAATAATTAATAGATTATACTTTGTATTCTATATCATACATTGCATATGTACGTATAGGTCTAATCAATGATGTTTATTAAGTGCCACATATTTCTTGGGTGTTTGATCCATGTCACGTGTTGTCTCATTTTATTTTTTGTCTCCAAGAAAAAAAATGAGTTGTCTCATTTTAATATTCACAGCAATCTGATGTGTTCCTATTACCAGCCCCATTTTATAGATGAGAAAACTGAGGCTTATAAAGGTTAATTGACAGGCTCAGGGCCTTACAGGTGGAGATGGCCTAGCAGGGCTTTGAACATGGATTCCCTGACCTCAGAGGCTGTGTTCCTAACCACCGCGGGATATGAGTTTATGAACCACCATGTCCCAGGGAAAGAGAGGGAGTGACACCCGTTCAGGGGCACAAGCATTCTGCCAAGGAGGTGGCCTCCCGTGGAGCCCAGCCTGACAGGATGTCTGGATTGGGTCCGTATTCTCAGCCTGGACACCTCTCAGGGTGACACGCTCCTTTGGCTGGAGACTTCCACAGACAAGCGGCACACACTGTGTGACCTCAAATCACAGATCCCCTGCTTCTCAGTCAAATCCCATCCAGGACCTAGCCCCAGGGTCCCACCCCAAGTATCTGGAGGATGGAGAAACTCCCCAAAAACACTCCCTGTCTCCAGCCATGTGCCAGGTGCCCTCCAGCAGCTCCAGGAGACAGTCATGAGCTTGGTCCAATTTTATGGAAGGGAACGCTGAGGGACAGAGGAACTCAGGGACCTGATGTGTGCATCATGGCCAGTGGCCCCCTGGGAATTCAGCAGCTGCAGGGACAGTCTGAGTAAAAGAGCCTGAGGCCCCACCTCCAGGTGTCTGCCTGTCTCAAGTCTGACCCCAAAGGGAGGGGAGGTGATGCCCCCAGGGGCAACCTTCACCTAAAAGGGCCTGGAGCCAGTGGGCTCCTCTGAAGACCATTCCTGGGGCACCCTGCAGACACGAAGGTTTTGGCAGTTTCAAGCCCAGTGGTCTACAGCAGCAGGCTCAACACTGCACCCCAAAATCGGCCTTTCCCTGGCCCTGTCTCCTCCGTCCTACTTCCTGGGAGTGCCTCCTCGCCACATATGTGCACTAAGTCCTTGCTTCAGGCTCTGTGTTCAGGGGTCCTCCCTGCAACACTGACTAAGGTACAACTGCCACAGATGGTGGTGTCAGACTTGGAAGCCATGTCTTTCAGCCTGCATAGCCTCCTCCACAGCCCCTAATCTGCACCTGCCAGGATTTGCCATGCTCAAGTCACTGAGAGGCCACCGTCAGGGTCTGTGTCCTATACTATTACTCAACCTTGTCCTTTCAACGACCTCAGGACTAACAATGTCAGGTACCCAAGTGTAATCCTAAATCATGATATTGATGAAATCATGAGTATGATGTTTTTGTAATGCCCATTAAAATAAAGATGTAATTGGGTTAAACATGCATGAACCACCAGAAACTGGGCTGGGCAGCCCTAGATGTGGCGCAAGTCCTGCTGCCCTGGCCCATACTGCAGTGACTGCAGCTCTTGGTCTGTCCCTCTCCCCCTCCAGACAGGGCAGTGCAGGGACGAGGGCGCACCTTCATAGCTGCTGTGTCCCCAGCACCGTGCCTGGCCAGAGGCAGGCAGGAGAGAAGAGGTGGGCTGGGCGCTGCAAGGAGCCCGGGGCCTGAGGAGGGCCAGGAAGAGAAGAGCCAGAGCATTTTCAAGGATGTGCTGGGCTAGCCAGGCGGCCCCTCTGAGGGCCCCACTCACCCCTAAACTCATCCAAATCTACAACACGACAGAGGAAATTCCAATTTTCCCGATTTTCATGTTTCCACCCCTAGAGTAATTGTCGTCGTGGACTTTGTAGCTGGGCTGTTGAGCCTCATGGCTGAAGGCTGCCCCAGCCCTGCCCGTGATGGGCAGGAGATGAAAACGACTCATCAGGCCTGGGGAAGGCTCTGGGATATGGCAGCAGCAGCAGAGAGGCAGCCACCTGGCCCTGGACCACCACGAGGAGGAGGAGTTCCAGTTTGTTTGGCCAGCACGTCAGGTCCCTGAAGGCAGCTGTGGCAGGGCATTCCCCTGACTGGATTCCGGAGTGTGGGGCAGGGCCCCTGAAGTCCTAGGCATCAAGGCTGGGGCATGTGGGTCCCCCACCCTTTCCCAGCATCGCTGACTCTTTCCTTGGAACCCCCGCCCCAGCACCCTGCCTGTCCCTGCTTTCTCAGCCCGAGTGGCCACCACCTCCTCCCACTGGAACCAGGCCCTCATCTGTGTGCCTCATTATGTGCTCCTGCTCACAAACAGACCTGAATATCAGCCACACTCACCAGACACTTCCTACGTGCCGGGCTTTCTTAAAATCTATATTATTTATTTACTCACTCATATTAGTCTTTGATGTTTTACTTGTTTTAGCGGGGGGTGGTTTGGGTTTTTAAATTTGAAATAGAGTCCCACTCTGTCGCCCAGGCTGCAGTGCAGTGGCGCAATCATAGCTCACTGTGGCCTCAACCTCCTAGGCTCATGTGATCCTCCCACCTCAGCCTCCCAAGTAGCTGGGACTACAGGTGTGCCACCACTCCTGGCTAATTTTTTATATTTTTTTGTAGAAATGAGGACTCGCTATGTATGTTGCCAGGCTGATCTCAAACTCCTGGGCTAAACCAATCCTCCTGCCTCAGCCTGCCAAAGTGTCAGAATTGCAGGCGTGAGCCACTGTGCTCGGCCGTTTTACTATTTAATGCATTTAAGCCACACATAATCCTTTCACTAGACCCCCCATTTTACGATGTATTGTGCATTGTACACATCGGGATACTGAGGCCCTTGAGGTCTGAGGGAGGGACTTGCCCCAGGGCAGAGTCCGGCAGAGCCAGGAGAATCTGGCCACCTGACTCATCAGCCATATGAAATGTTGAGATGTGGGGTTTATGGGAAACACACCCCTGACACACATACTCTCAAGAGGAGGCCGGGTGGACAGTGTAATGCAGGGGAGAGAGAAACTGATGGAGAGCGATCAGTCACCCCAGATCCTGCACATGGCACACGAGGGGCTTCAGGTGCCCACCGCTGCAGGCACTGGTACCCTCCTCATAGAGGGGTCTGGGAAGGGGAGATGCCACCCCCAGCCCAGCTCAGGCTGACGGCACCCCTGTGGGTGGTGCTGGGCCTACAGTCTGCCACAGGCAGCTCCACGGTCCCCAAATGGTCCCCAGCTCCTCCCAGCACCCAGCACACAGTAGGCCCTCAATATTTGCCAAATGAGTCAATGGATGCACACTTTAGTCAGGCCACTCGTCAGGGTGGGGTGCAGGGCCAGAAGGGAGCTGCACCTTCCTTCCTCCTCCTCCACCCGCAATATACCTCTCAACCACTTCCCTTATGCTTTTTTATCTTCTTCCAAGAATGTGATTAAGGTTTCCTCACAGGTACTCCTGGCTTCGAACTGCCTGGAGACAATTCTGATAAGCCCTGGATTCCTGGATCCCTGGATCCCTGGGAGCCCCCACAAGGTGCCTGGCAATAACTATCTGCTCAATGACTGAATGAATGAATGGATGAAAGGGTACCTGGCCTACGGGAAGCTCTTGGTAACTGTGGCATGAATAAATGAATAAATGGATGGATGGATGGATGAAATACTGAAGTCCAGGGCTTCGTCTAAAGGAGGCACTTGAAAACTATGGTATGAATGAATTCAGAATGAGAAAATGAGAAAACGAATGAATGAATGAATGAATGAATGAATGAATAGTCTAATCACAAAGAAGCAGCAAGGAGCCACTCAAGAGGCCCCTGTAAGGTGGGGCCTAGGAGTTGGGGACAGAGCCTCCAGCTGGAAGCCAGGGAGTATATAAGCCTGACCTGACCACCCTCCTGACCACCTGGGTCCAGTGGGGCTGCCCCCAGCAGAGCCTGTCCAGCATCACCAAGGTCCCTCGGGCCCCCTCTCATTATGGCAGAATGCAATTACTCCAGTCTTCAGTGGGGTCTGAATTTGTTATGATTTTATTTGAAAGAGCCTCTTGGAGCCAGGGAAGCAGCAAGGGTGTGGGGGTCAGGAAGCACGGACGGAGGCAGAAGGAACAGCTCAGCTACACAGCCTCAGCCTGAATCCCAGAGAAATGACATTAAAACAAAGGAGACACAGAGCTGGGGCAGGGTGTGGGGGGATGGGGGGGGAGCTTACTTATTCAGACCAGAGCCAAACAAATGGATAGATTTAATAAGATAATAAGCTCAGATTCCATGCTCTTAAAGATACAGACTGGGGCTGGGCATGGTGACTCACACCTATAATCCCAGCACTTTGGGAGGCCAAGGAGGGTGGATCACCTGAGGTTAGGCGTTCAAGACCAGCCTGGCCAACATGGTGAAACCTTGTCTCTACTAAAAATACAAAAATTAGCTAGGTGTGATGGTGGGCGCCTGTAATCCCAGCTACTCAGGAGGCTGAAGCAGAATTACTTGAACCTGGGACGCAGAGGTTGCAGTAAGCCGAGATCGCACCATTGCACTCCAGCCCAGGCGACACAGTGAGACTTCATCTCAAAAAAAAAAAAAAAAAGACACAGACTCAACAGTGGGATTTGGGGTGGGAGTCTCCATATTTTTCCGGGAAAACACCCCTCAAGTGGATGCCTTTCTTCACACACCACACTGGAGAATAAGGGTATGTGAATATGCATGTATATGCTTGCAGGCATGTGTGTCTTCCCCACCAGGGGGGACCCCCAAAACTCACCAGAAACCTCCTTACTTCCTAACCAGGACCTGTGAACAAATGCACCCCTCCACAAGGAACACACAGCCAAGCAGTGCCCTTGTAATTTTTTCAGGAGGAATTCGGGCCAGCCAAGCACAAGTCGGTGTCACCTCCTTCCCAGCCTGGGCTTCCCTGTCTCTGTCCAATGGACCAACAGTAAAAAGTGAGCACTTCCCGCTCATCTTGGGAAACACCTCGCATCCACTCACTCAATCAGCCAGCGACTGCACTGTTGAAATATTTATGGAGTGCCTCTTCTGTGCCAGGCTCTGCTGCAATTCCTGGGGCAGTGAGCACACCCAGCAAAGCCCTGCACCATGGAGGCTGCATTCCGGGGGCATCAGGATCATGTCCAGGAAGGCTCTGGAGCCAGAGAGCCTCCGTTCAAATCTCAGCTCTACCACTGACCAGTGGTGTAAACCAGGATACGTTAATGGACCTCTCTAATCTTCACCAAGAGGGAAAACAGGCAGAATCCCTTCTGCCTCCTCGGGTTGTGCACAGGATGAGATCAGATACCGCAGGTTAAGCACACTGGCCCAGCGCCTGGTACATGGCACATGCTCAATGAACAGATCATTGTGTGTGGTTTCCAGTCCAGTGGCAGCAAACACAGAGACCGCTGGGCAGAGCCGTGGTTCACTGTGAGACCCCCGCCCTTGGGGAACTCCACCCCCACTCCCAGGTTACCCTTCTCGCGGGCATCCCCAATTTACCACCTCCTTATGTCATTCCTGCCAATGTCATGTCATAAAGAAAGCCAGTCCCCCTGAAGGGCTCTGGTCCACCCCAAAAAGTCCTTAAATCCCTTCTACAAAGAGGTTTGGTCCCTTCCAATGAAGGGGAATCCACTCCCTTCTGAACTCCCTTAGTCTGCAGGAAGAAATGATCTCCTGATGAGCCCCAAAGGAGGGCCTGCTGACCTCCTCTCAGGGACAGGAATAACAGGACCCTCTGACTCCAACCATCCTCCAAGAGGAAGGACAAACAGCGAGTCACCTGCGATATGGCAGCCATTTTTTAAAATGACATTGCAATTTACATTCATTTATTCCTTCTATAAATACGAATAAGTGCCTACTCTGCCAGCCCTGTTCGAGGCTCTGGGGATAGGGTATGAAGAAACAAAGTCCTTGCCCTCAGTGAGCTTACAATGCAAAGAGAGGAGACTAAATCTTCCTGCTGAAGAAGGAATAAATCAGTCCGTAGTAAATCACGTGTTGCTATGAAGAAGTGCAGGGCAGGAAAAGGGTGAAGGGTGGGGTGCCACTCTGGACAGGTGACAAGGCGACACTTGAGCAGACACCAGAAGCAAACAAGGCAGCAGGCCAAGGCAGAATCTAGAGAGAGAGGATCCCAGGCAGGGATCTAGCAGGTGCAAGCACCCCAAAGCCAGAGCATGCAAACTTTTCAGGGCACATTTTCTGAGATGCCCACGTGGGGCTCAGTGTGAAGGCATGTGCCCTGCCTTCTAAGATCACAGGCCAAGCTGTCATCCAAAACCCCACAGGGACCCAAAATCCAACCCCAGCATCAACTCACTGTATGATCTGACTCTGGTCTCTCAACCTCTCTGGTCTTGGTTTCGGCAACAGCTAATCAGAACTGAGCATTATCCAAGCAGGCGCTGGCAGAGGAGGCCCCCAGAGTCCTCCCGAGTCTGCAGCTCTATGCAAAGCGCACCCACCATTCCTCTCCACCCCATCGCGCCATTCTCACACCCCGCGCCAGCAACACCACGCAGGATTGGTACTCCTGCCAAAATAGCTATTAACCCAGTAGCCAATAATAACACGTTATCCTATCAATTTGCTTCTGAAACGCTGTGTAATTGCAGAACCTAAGTTTGCCATCTCGGTAGCCTGGTTACCACATAAACAGAAAGAAACTCACCAGCCTCTTCCTGAGGAGAACAAGTGGCTGGCCACGAGAAACACCCGATTACCACTGAGGCCCCCCAGCCCACCCCCCTCGAGGCCCTACAGAATCCATCAGGAATCATAGTCTGGCATTCAGTACTTCAGAGGCTAGTCTCAATGTCCCCTTGGCATGCCGCCCCTGTGACTGGAGAGGGGACCAGTGCCCGGGATGGGATGGCTTTTTAGGTGGCAAAGTCAGGCCCGGCAGCTGCACTCTGGTGGCCTCCCTCCCGGCCAGTGGTGCAGGAAGTGGGACAGACATGAGGCTTCAGGAGGGCACGGGAGAGGGCAGGAGCCAGAGGCAGGCAAGCACTTGAGTGCAAAAACCATCACAGATGCAAGCCAGCCCTCCCCACGGGAGACAGAGGGGACAGGAGGTCAATGGGTGGGGCACAGAGGGAAGGACAGGAGAGAGGCAAGGGAGGGACTCCAGACCTAGGAGTCAGGGTGCACCCCAGGGCCCTCCCCATCCCCATGCCGCAGGGCCCCACCCAGGTCTGACACCCTGGCCACCACCACCTGCTTGGCAGCTGGCCGCCCACTTTTCCTCTCTCATTCCAGAAAAAAACGTTTCCTTCCTTCTGGATTTCATTCCACTCTGAGCAAACATTCCACTCCCCAACGCGCCGGGAGCCTCTAAGGGGACTCGGCGTTCCGGTGCAGACACCAGCCTGTTTTATTCATTCTTCCCCCTTCCAACCCAGCCACCCCCTCATCACTGTCCCATGCCTCCGCTTACCTTTCCCCCTGCTCACCAGGGCGTCCCAGGGCAAACTGGCCGATGCCAAGAGGGCCAGAACCTGAGCCCGGGTTCCCAGCACCCGGCGGCAGGGCAGGCGAGGGCTGGAGAGGCGCTTCCCACCGGCCCACTGGTGATCTCAGCCACGGGACGCATCCCCACCCGGCCGCCTGGGCCGGCGGAGAAGGATGGGCCGAGGGTGTGCTGCTCCCGCGGCGGCGCTTGGCGGAGGACCCAGCTAGCGGGAGAGGAAGGGCCTTGGGGAAGAAAAGGGGCTGGGAAAAGGCACAGATGGGGAGGGAGAGGACAGAGGAGGCCCAGGGCTCAGGCCACGCGGCCAGATGTTGACCCAGTTGAGGGATCCAGGCCCCGGGGGCGACCGAGGAGTTCTGGCTCCCCTGCCAGCTCTGAGATTCTACAGAGATGGAGGAGGGCCTGGGGCCGGCGCCATGCCAGGGCCTGGTGCTGAGGCTGGGGTTAAAGGGAGGACCACAGAAAGGGAGCAAGGGGTCTCTCTCGGACACTGCCCCTGTCTGCCAGGACAGGGTGGGGGGACGGCCCCTGGGAGGCCCCTGGGTGGGGTGGGTGGGGAGCTGTCTGCGGGAAGCAGCTCTCAGCAAATGAAAACCAGGCCTTGGAAACTGGCCGGGCCACAGCCAGGGCACAGCTCCAGGGAAAACCCCGCTGCTCACCGAAAGGTGCCCCAACCAGAGCGAAAGGTGATGTTAAAATGAACGAGCTAGGAGGGGCCAGGCAGCTTGAGCGAGATCGGGGGTGGCCCCTGGCTACAGCCCCACGATCCCTGCTCTTTTGTGCTCTGAACGCCCCTCATTGTGGGCACATTGTACTCCCAAGGCCTGCTTGCCTGTAAGTGCTGTAAAAAGCCAACTAACTGCGCAATTTTCTTCCCTTGGCTTCCCTCCGCTCAGCCTTGGTCAGGTTATCAGCTGAGCTGGGCCTGGGGCTGGGGACTGGCCTGGCTAGGCAGGCCTGAAGTCCCCACACCCGCCATATTTGGAAATTCAACTCTCAACGGTGCATTGAGGCCCAAGGGGTGGCACTTCCAAATTGGTGGGACACCAGGGTTCTGCCATCAAGAGCTTGGTGGGTAGCGGCATTCAGTAAATATAGATGTCACCCACACATCCTTTCATTCATTAATTCACCCATTTAGTTATTCACAGGATGTCTCTGATGTGCCTACAACCCAGCAGGCACTTAGGTGGTGAGGGTAGGAGGGTGAGCCACACTGGCAGCTCTTGGCCTGTGGAGCTCGCAGCCTAGGTGGAGGGACAACATTTGATCCCCTGTGTTTGCTAGGAGAAGTGTGTGGGGCCTGGGGGGAGAACAGGGGCGCAGTAAGGGTGCCAGAGCCCTCCTGGAAAAAGCAGGCTCTCCGTGGAGACCAGCAGGATGAAGAATTCACCAAGTGAAGGAAGCAAGGGGCAGAAATGAGCTCCAAGCGGCAGGACCAGCAAGAGCAAAGGCCTGGAAGTGAGACTGAGGTCTCTGACAGGTTTCACGGAGCCTCCTCCGCTCCTCACTCTCAGCCACAGTGGGTGGCCCAGCCCTGGTAGCACCGCCCCCCACCCCAGCTCACAGACTCGGGGAGCCCCCCATCAGCACCTCTGGAGGCCAATCCCACAAAGCCATCATCCAGCCGTCTCTTTCCCAGCTGAAGTTCTAGTTAAAAATGTTTTCATATGTTTATTTTTAAGGGGGGATGGGAAGACAGAAGGGAGACCTGAAGGTCTTTTTCTTTTCAGAAAAAAAGAAAATTAATAAATAAATAGAGCCTCAAGAAAAGGGCATGGAAAGGTCTCTGCATCTGTAACCACTGAACAAATTAAAATTAGCTCATTTAATCAGCTCCTAATGGCCTGGCTGTCCCGAGTGGGCCCCGGAACACAGCAAACTTCACAGCAGAACTGCGCAGGCCAATGTCAGTTTATCCTACAACAAAGGGATTTTCTAAATAGTGCGATCAAAACGCAGCGAAGGCCGGGGAGAGCTGGGGAGACGGAATGCGGCCCCCCAGATCCTGGCTGGCCCCCGCCTCCCAGCTTCGTCCCTTTGAAAGGAATTGTTCTTTTGGCTTTTGTTCTAATTATCTAAACATGTGTGTAACTCTGTTCTACAAAGAGTGTTTTAACCCGCAGAGGAGGTAACTGTAGCCCCTACCATACGTTACTGGGGCCCTGCTCCCAATCCTCACGCCTTTAATACTTCTCCATTCCCCACCTGCCTTCGACAGAGGCGTAAACACACCTACGACATACAGCCACCTACACACGCCAGTTACATTCACAAACACAGAGTTACAAACACACAGTTCTATACACATGATCACGTATTAAACCAGCTACATACACGTAGTTATAAGTGAACAGTTACATACATGCACGGTTGCCTATTCCACACACATAAAGTTACACAGACACACAGTTCTATATACACAGTCACATATAACACATTACATATGCATGGTTATACTCAATTACATGCATGCATGCACAGTTACATTCCCAGAGTTATATACACCACACACAAGTACATGTGCACACAATACACACAGCTCCTCAAGCTCCTGCCTAACAGCTGGAGATGGGGGAGGCCCAGCTCACCAGACCCCCAGGGAGGGCCGCTGGGTGCACACCTGAGGCCCAGGCTGGTAGTAAGGACTCTTATTTCCCTGGAGTAGTTTCTCTACGCAACTTGCCACCTGGGCTAAATCATTAGGGCAATGGAGGAGGGGAAACAAAAGGCCAGGGGAGTGGGGCTGGGACCCCAGAAAAAAGGGCAGGGTGGGAAAGCATGATGCCAGGGGTAAGCACAAGCCCATGGCCCAGTGGGGAGGAAGGAGGCCAGCCCCATCACCGACTCCATCACCAACACCGACCTCAAATTCCCTTCCCATGGCCTGTAAACTGGCCAGTCTGCAGCTCTGCCTTTAGGCCCAGAGCCTCCTTGGGTGCTCAGCCCACAGGGAAATAAGCCTGGAGTCAGCCAGATCTTGTTGAAATCCAACTCCACCACTTACTAACTCTGAGCCTCCCCTTCCTCATCCAAAAAATAAGAAACAACAGTAGTCCCTATCCCAAGGGGCAGTTGTGCTGATTTCATTAGAGATGCCAGTAAAATGCCTAGTCCAGAACAAACTGGGTCAGTGTTTGCCACTCTGGCAAATGAAAGGTGTGGGCATGGAGGCCCGAGAAGAGACCATCAGACAGTGGGTCGGGGCACAGCCAGACAAGAGCTAGCCATTTGGTGACTTTCAATTTCTTATTCAACCCTCATCCCCCGAGTGAGGAAGGGGAGAATTTTAAAACTGGATAAAAGAAATTAAACAGGGTAAAAAGAGGAACCAACTGGGATGGAGGGAAGCCTTCAGAAAACTTCTGGCCCAGAGTCAGACCATTATCTTCTGAAGACCTGCTCTATAGGTATTTACAGCAACACCCTGGGGTAAAAGCAATTGTTATCTCCATGTCACAGAAAAGGAAACCGAGGGCTGGGCACAGTGGCCCATGCCTATAATCCCAGCACTTTGGGAAGCTGAGGCAGGAGGATCCCTTGAGCCCAGGAGTTCAAGACCAGCTTGGGCAGCATAGCAAGACCCTATGTTTACAAAAAATTAAAAAATAATTTAGCCAGGTGTGGTGGTGCACACCTGTAGTCCCAGTTACTTGGGAAGCTAAGGCAGGGGGATCACTTGAGCCCAGGAACTTGAGGCTGCAGTGAGCTATGACTGCACCACTGCACTCCAGCCTGGGCAACAGAGTGAGACCCTGTCTCAAAAATAATAATGATAATAAAGAAGAGGAGCATGAGGCTCAGGGAGGTGAGAAGCCTGGGCTGGCAGAGGCAGTGTGCAAAGAGGTCTGTGTGGCTGCAAGCTGCATGCTAATGCCCAGCCCCGCTCCACCTTCCTTCCCGAGGCAACCTGTTCTCCCAACTACAAACTTTCTTTAGCAGGACTCCAGCAGGTAGGAGAGCCTGAAGTTGGCTTCTGGCTCTGGGAACTACAAGAGCCTCAGACCACCCAACCCAAACTCAGGAGTGTGGCCCTTTTCCTTGCAGGAGTTCACCAAGTCCTCAAGCCCCTACCCCCCACCCACCTCCCATGCTGAGTAGGAGGTGGGAAAGAACCTGTACACAGAGGCCTTACTGTAAAATGGGAAAACATTTTACAGACTTAGAAACTGAGGCCCCGAAATGGCAGGGGTGGGAGGCTCAAACTCCCACAACTCAGAGGCTGACTCTGCAAACCTTGAGTCCTCCCAGGATGGGACTCCTACCTTCCTTGCCCTTCTCTTGCCCAGGCAGGTCCTCCTGGGATCTATTAGGTGAGCAGCATTGTTGAGACCCCAGGGAGTGCTCAGAAAAAGAACCTGGACACAGGCTCCATCCAGAAGGTCCCACTGGGCTAGTGGTAGCTGTCCTGGTCCTGTTTAGGGATCCTGTTTTCCACTTGATTGGCAGGGCCCAAGCTGACCCCTGGTATGCCTGGAGGTCAGCCAAGATACAGGGAAGGTGGCAGGAGGGTCAGAGCCACCTGATGCAGCCTCAGTACAGGGAGTAGGACCTGGGGAAACAGTTCCCGCTAACCCACTAACGCTGCAGACCCACAGCCTGCAGGCTCTCCCAGCCCCACCCCCAGTAAGCACCAGGCCCCCAGGAGGAAGGAGGGGTGGGCAGGGAGGTAAGCACATGGGCTCGTGTTTGAATCTTGGCTCTGTCATCTACATGCTGTGTGACCTGGGACAAGTGACCTCCCCTCTCTGAGTCACAAACCTCAACTATAAAATGAAGATGGTGACAGTGCATGTCTCCTTCCTTACTTGAGGACTGAAGGGACGTTTCTAGCTCAGTGTCTGGTCCCCCTTCCCCAGTGGTAACCCTTAGTAAGCACAGAGAGTGGGGAGTGGGGAGTGCAGCATGGTCTTAAATCCATCTCAACCATGCGCGGCAGCTCATGTCTGTAATCCTAGCACTTTGGGAGGCCGAGGCAGGCAGATCACCTGAGGTCAGGAGTTCGAGACCAGCCTGACCAACATGAAGAAACCCTGTCTCTACTAAAAATACAAAATTAGCCAGGTGTGGTGGCGCACACCTGTAATCCCAGCTACTCGGGAGGCTGAGGTGGGAGAATCACTTGAACTCGGGAGGCGGAGGTTGCAGTGAGCTGAGTTCGCGCCATTGCACTCCAGCCTGGATAACAAGAGCGAAACTCCGTCTCAAAAAAAAAAAGAAAAAGAAAAAGAAAAAAGAAAAGAAAAAAAAATCCATCTCATCTCCCACATGGCGACCCTAGAGGCCCAGGCCACCATCCCCAATGAGTGGGATATGGGGCACCCTTCTTTCAGATGCAGCAGGACTGTCCCCTGCCCAGCACAGATTCATCTCAGCCATTCTTAAGCTAAGCCCAGCAGGCAGCCGACAGGGCAGCCCAGAGGACACGGCCAGGCCAGGTGGGGTGCAAACCTCTTCCTTACGGGATCTGGGCCCACCAGGCAGGAGTTGGACCTAGAGACCCCTTGGAAAGCCCAAAACTTCCCTCTCTTACCATCAGGATTCAGAAGAGAACCACATGAAAAAAGAGTTGGTGATATCTCCCCCTGCACCCCCTCACCATCCAGGTCACCCCCCACACAGAGCCCAGCTGGGCTGGGAAATCGGGCCCTAGCCAGGGCTCCTGCTTCCCTACTCCAGAGCCAGATGGCCCTACACAAGCCTCCCTTCTACTCTACTCCAAGCCTCAGTTTCCCCTCCTTGGCTCTGCTTACTTCACAGGGCTGCAGTGAGGGTCAGAGGGGAATGATGGCTGTGGAGATGCTTTGTAAACTGTCGAGAGCCATTGCCACACACGGGATTATTGAGGGTAACCAGGATAGGAAGGGGAGGAGACGCCAAGGGCAAGCCCCATCTGTCCGTTCCCCTGCATCAGGGCAGTGGCCCCACCACGAGAACAGAGGAAAAAAGGCCAAGAAGACAAAGTCAGGGAGGCTCACGCCAGGGCTGGATGCTCCCTCCAGGGCCCCAGAGTGCAGGCAGGAGCTGCTGCAGCCCAGCAGTTCTGTTTGGTGACATTGGAAGGGGAAAGCAGACAACATGGGTCTCTGGGATGCGGCCACCTGGCTCGGCACCCAGCACACAGTAGGCATCACCCACTGGTTGAGTTCTCCCAGCCGCCAACCCTCAGACAACCTGCCTCTGCGAGAGTTCAGTGCAGATGCCCACAGATGGAAGCCAGAAAAAAATATGACTCCTTGCAAAAGAAGCAGACTGCACCATGTGTCCCAGCTCAGCAGGCTGGTCCCAAGGCCTCAGACCCCCTCATGGCTGTGGCCCTGTAAGGATGGGAAGGCATGGTTTTCCCACTTCATGGGTCACCAGCAGCTGTCCCTACCTGCCCAACTCTGCCAGCAGGCAGGCTCAACTAGATGCAGGCAGCCAACCTAGTGCCAAGGAATAGGCAGAGGAGGAGTTGGGGCTGCATTCTAGTCCTGCCCACTTTTGCCCCCTGTGCCATCTGCATCTCGGGGACGCCTCTGTTGGGGACTCAGTTTCCCCACATGCTCCGGCTCCCCCTGCCCCATAAGCTGTGAAACCCAAGCAAAACAGCACGCTGCCTCATTCTCAGCCAACGTAGGCTACAATTAATCTGAAGCAGGGATTTTCTTAATTGCTGGGTTTTACAACCCAATCGCAAAGATAAAT
Organism: Homo sapiens; assembly: GCF_000001405.40. NCBI lineage: Eukaryota > Metazoa > Chordata > Mammalia > Primates > Hominidae > Homo > Homo sapiens. The sequence goes on from NC_000016.10 coordinate 49,670,811, forward strand.
TACAGCTAGCTGACAACGCCGGCTTGAGGCGAGACGTTTAAAGCATCCTTTTTAAGTGTGTGGGCTCTTTAAAAAGCTGGTATGATGGGAATGGAATTGTGCTTGCAGCCTAGATCGGAGGCTACTTCCCTTAGGGAGTCAGGCCAGCAACGCCAGGGGACAAACCTCTCGAAGGAGATGTCTTATTGGGGAGTAAAAGTAAATACATAAAAGAAGGGAGGTCCACCTGCAACCCTCCTAATTGCCTTCCTTCACATGCAGCTGCAGTTCCACACTCCACAGCCCCTTCAGGTGTTTCAGCGCCAACAGGATTCCCGGGACTAGGAAGGCCCAGCTTCCCTCATTAGCTGTGCCTGGTCACCCAGGGGGCACAGAAGAAATGGTGTCAGCATGCACTTGGCAGTGCCCTCCAACACAAGGATGACTGCCCCCTGGGAGAGGCAGTGAGGGTAAGGGACGAGGTGTGAAGGGGGTCCCCTCTGATCTTGTTCTTGCAGGGAGCTCAAGGCCTGGCAGCAGCCACGTCCAAAACAGACAAACCATAGGCCCTGGGTCCTGTAGCCCACCCTAGGACCAAGCCCGGCCTTGATAGTTCCATGAGGTCCCAAGCACGCGTCCACCCGCTACAGGGTGTCCCACCTCCAGCCAAGAGGAATAGCATGGGTGTGCATGTGTGCATGCACATGACTTCCAAGCAAACGAGCCCTCCCACCACCACCCACCCCGCCCTGCATGGCCAAGAGTGGGAGGAAGAAAGGAATAGGAAGAAATCCGGCAGTGCTGCTCTGTGTGATGGGTCAGGTGATGGCTCCACCTAATGTCTGCTGAGCAATTATTCCGGGAGAGGTGCCCCACACGTTTTATTTTATTTTTTATTTATTATTTTTTTTTGAGGCGGAGTCTCACTCTGTCGCCCAGGCTGGAGAGTGCTGGTGCGATCTCGGCTCATTAGCAACCTCCACCTCCTGGGCTCAAGAGATTCTCATGCCTTAGCCTCCTGAGTAGCTGGGATTACAGGCAGACACCACCAGGCTAGGCTAATCTGTGTATTTTTAGTAGAGATGGGGTTTCACCATGTTGCCCAGGCTGGTCTCAAACTCCTGAGATCAGGCAATCTGCCTGCCTCAGCCTCCCAAAGTGCTAGGACTACAGGCGTGAGCCACCGCGCTCAGCCCACATCTTTTATTTGCCTGTCCACAACTCCCTACCCCAAACCCAAACCGTCAGATGTGGTCCAAAATTCAGACTTTTTCAGATTCTAGAAAGGTGAGACAGTGCACTTGCTGCAAATTTGGGAACACTCCAGCAGCAGTCAGGCACACTGATACTTCTGCAGCAAAACATATCGGTATTCACTAATGTGAACGAAATAAAGACCATAAATAGCTTCACATCAGCTCAGGTCAAACTTGGCTGCCAAATACATTACAGAAAAAAAAAATTCAGGTTTCTGGCTTTCTGGAATTCAGAATTGTGAATAGGGGATTCTGGACCTCCACTGCCTCTTTAATCTTCCTGGTGACCCTGTGGGGTAGGTACTATTGCTACTCTTGCTTCCCAGAGAGGAAAGTGAGGCACAAAGAAGTTAAGAAATAATTTCCCCATAGTCTGTGGGGCAGCAGGGCGGAAACCATGGCCATCTGGCCTGGAGGGTCTGCACTCTCCATCCCCAGGGTGTCCCATAGTTGACCAAAGTACGGAGCTGCAGTTTAAAAGCCTCCTGAGGCTGGGCATGGTGGTTCACGCCTGTAATCCCAGCACTTTGGGAGGCCGAGGCAGATGGATCACCTGAGGTCAGGAGTTCAAGACCAGCCTGGCCAACATGGCGAAACCTGTCTCTACTAAAAATACAAAAATTAGCCAGGCATGGTGGCACATGCCTGTAATCCCAGCTACTCGCGAGGCTGAGGCAGGAGAAACACTTGAAACCCCAGGCAACGGAGGTTGCACTGAGCCGAGATCGCGTCATTACACTCCAGTCTGGGCGACAGAGTGAAACTCCATCTCAAAAAAATTTAAAAATAAGTACAATAAAATAAAATAAAATAAAAGCCTCCGAAAAAAGAGTGGAGCATCTGTAAATGTACCGAGTGTCCACAGCCTGCCCCACCACGCGGTGTGATCTATGGGCCAGCCTCCACCAGGAGGCACTCACCTAGGAGTTACACAAACCCTGAGTGGCATTCCCACACCTGCCCAGAGCCTTGCTGGAGCCCAGGAGCCCAAGGCGGTCTCCCACCAGCAGGTGAGGCTCACCACCCCGCCGTGGTACACAGGTAATTACTCCCTACCTGACACAGTCTGCACAGATCATTTTACCCACAACAAATATGCTAAACACAGCCCCAGGCCAGGAGAAACATGCTGCAGGTAAATCCCATTTGACAGGGGCTGAGGCTTCCAGCAGGACTCCCAGATGCCTTTGGGAGGAGTGGTGACCCCATCCCATCAAAATGACATTGGAGCCCCACGACTCCCCTGGTCATCTCCAACTTCTCTTGATTGGCAATTTTTTCACCCACTGGGAAAGATTGTTGCATAGGCAAAATCCTGGCATTCTATTACCAAATAATTACATGATCATTTCATAGGCATTAAGACACTCCCACCAGCGTGAGCGGTGGTGTCCAGCGCTAACCGAGGCTGGCCTGGACTGCGGGTGCTTGTTAAGGAGAACTCCAGCATTGAGGAAAACCTCCAGCTGCAGCTCCCACACTGCCCTGGTTTCTAATTAAAAATTAAAGCAGGCATCTTTCCTCAGAAACCCAATTAGCATCAAGCTGATGGTACAAACACACATGTGCACAAACACATGGGCACACGTGTGTCACATGCACATGCTTATGCAAGGTGTGCAAACACGTATGTATGCATGTGCACACACTTGCACATGCACACAAACCCTTCTGCCCATGGGGGGCTACAAACCGCCATCTGGTCATCCATTCAGTCTACCCTGATGAGGATTCACCAAGCATCACGCACTCCACGTGCCCCACAGGAAGAAACCCAGGGCCCTGCCTTCAGGAGCATGAGCTCTAAAGGAGGCTGAGGAAAGTGCACAAGGTAAGACAGTCCATGGTGGGACCTTAAAAGGGTCCTTAGGAAGCCCAGAGAGCTCAGTTCTGGCAGGGTGATCAGGGACACCCTGAGACATGAAGGCCTGCTGCTGGGTCTTAATTTATAGAAAAAAATATAAAAGGCCATGGAGCAGGTAGAGAAAATAGCCAGAGCAAAGGCAAGCAAAGGTAGCTGGCACTCTGAGAACAAAAATTATTCTGAGTGAAAAATAGGCAGGTGGAAAACGGGTAAATGTAGATAACACAAGAGTTCTAGCATGGGTACTTTTTTAAACCTATATGAATTTAGCTGTGTGCTGAGCAAAAAGAAAATTTGTGCACAGGATCTGAGATAGGAATGAGTGTGAAACGCAAACAAAATTTTGCTGTGCAGTCCAACAGCTGATGTTCCAGTAACCTCTCCTAAAGCAAGTGTCACCGAGTGCCTAAGGGATTTGTGGTGTGTGTGTGTGCAGAGCACGCAGTGTGTTCTCGGCTGGGGAGCAGTCCAGTCGGTAATCCTGGCCATGTGCATACGTGTGCTGCAGCCGATGTGTACACGGTGCGTCATCCCACTTTACAAGGGAGGACAGGGTGGCTCTGAGACGTGATGTCACTCTACTGGAAACACAAAACCAGTCAGGGCCAGAGCCCACATCTGACCCCAGGCAGTGTGGCCCAGAGTCCACCCCCTGCACCACCAGGCGGAACAGAGATGTGAACAAAGCTGTACTTCAGGGAAAATAATCAGGCAGGGGTCCTCAAGGTGGGGTGGGACAAAGTGAAGGCACAGACCAAAGCCCGAGAGGCAGCCACGCAGTGCTGTGCAGAGGGGCGGAACGGGGCTGCAGCCACAGGGATGCTCTGAGGCCTTGGAACAGATGGGAAGGCAGGGAAGAGGGCACCAGGGGACTCTGCGGTCTGAGTGAGATTTTCTTCGGTGACTACAGTTTGTGAGCTCCCAGTGGCCGGTTTGTCTTAGAAAGGGACTGAGTCCCAGCCCTTCCCCTCCAATCATGACCACCCCTGCTTCCTCCATCTTGCCCTTGGTGAGAGAAAACTCCAGCACACCAAGATGTCCTGGGAAGTCCATCCTTCCCACCACCCAGGTAGACAGGATGGCAAGCAGGCAACTGAACAGCCGCCCAGGGCAGAGCGGGAGGCCTGTGGTGTGTGGAATTCATCTGCTGTGAGATGATGCTATTTCTTCATGCAACATGACCAGGGTTGGAAAGATAACACTGGAAACAAAGTCAACATTTATAGCTGGTCTACTAACATGCTGTGTGACCCTGGATACATCACTAAACCTCTCTGAGCCTCAGCTTCCTCTAGCTGTTGACTCACTCATGTACAGAGGACCCACTATATGCCAGGTATAAGCTCTGTAGTTGGTGACCTTTGCAGTTGGTCAGTGCTGCATGGCTCATGGGTCTGAAGCCCACCCTGGATCATGCAGGAGAGGCACGTACCCACCCAGGTGCTGGAACCATTAACCTGGCCATCTTTGACTAGGAGGCTTGGGAATTACAGCATTCAGCCACTCCCAGAATCCCCTCCCTGCTGGGGTGATAACCAGCACTGGGGGTGAACTGCCCCACCCCTCCCTCAGCGGTGCCCTCAGCTGGAATTGGGCACGTTAAAACTCAGACTCCGGGCTGCCACGGCCCCCACAACCACGCTGCACCACCCCACCCCCCTCCAGCTGCCTGTGCGCCGGCTGCTGCTGCTGCTCATTTCCAGGCAAATGTTCTAGTTAATTAAAACACACCCAAGTGCTCACACGCACATGGAGCCAAGCTACAAAATCAGTTCTACCAAACAGCAGCTCCTCTGCTCCAGCCTGGGATCGATGCAGGCCAGGACAGGGGTTCCAAAGTTGATGTTACTGGCACCGAGACTTTGCTCATAAGACCCTACCTGTATACACACCTGTACACAAATGTAAAAGCATATGTGTGCACCTACACACGAGCCTGTGTGCACATGCAAGCCATATGTGCATGCACATGTGTGTGTTCTGAACACGTCCATGAGTGCTCCACACACAACACTGTGCAGAGGTGTGCAACATCCACGCACACACGCACCTGCATACATATGCATGGACACACTCACACAGGCATGCACACACCCCACAGTGCCCCCTTCTCCAGGAAGTCTTCTCCAGCTTTTTGGGCCTTCCAGCTCAGAACATCAGCCATGGTTAGTAAATAAACACTTGCTGCATGAGGGAGAGAATGAATAAATAAATGAATCCACTGATCAATGATACAGTGGGCAAACGGGAACAGCCCACAAGTACAATTATGCATCACCGCAGATTGGATTTTCCAGAGACTGGAGGCGCAGCTCTGCCCTTGCAGCTGTGCTGCAGAGCTCCACGAGGCACTAACTGAGATACACACACACGCACACGGGCATGTGGCTGGAAAATGCACATTCCCAGATCTGGACATCCATAACAACCAGGAACTGGCAAGGGAGGGCTGCAGTCATCCAGGCTAGGAGACAGAAATCAGTCACCTTTAATGGGACTTTAGTCCCAGAAGGGAAGGTGCCTGGAGGTCCACAAGGCTGCCTGACATTCTGGGACTAAATCAGACACATGGCCTTCACACAGGCAGGTGACTCTAGGGAACAAAAACAGCCTGGAGTAGGTCAATCCTGCCCTAGCAAGCATGTCCAGTATGCTCCAGGTCCACCGAGACCACCTTGCAGGTGGCCACTTCTGCAGCCACAAACAACTGTTCTTTATGAGGACCTGACACTCATACACAAATGTCAACCACTTGACACCCTAGATGGGCATGGAAAGGATTTCTGTTCATGGAGATGGGGACAGCTGTGCTGGGCACCTCAAACCACATCAGTTGAACAACTGACCTTCTAACTCATGCCACGGGGCTGGCAAAGCTGTCTACAGAGAGCAAAGGACGTGAGAAGGAGGGTTTAGAAAGGAGTGGGGATGGTGGACTTAGCGGCCATGGGAGTCAGCCACTCAAAATGTGGCCCTGGACCAGCAACTCAGCATCACATGAGAGCTTTTTAGAAATGTAGAATTTAGGCCAGGCCTGGTGGCTCATGCCAGTAATCCTAGCACTTTGGGAGGCCGAGGTGGGCGGATCACCTGAGGTCAGGAGCTCAAGATCACCCTGGCCAACATGGTGAAACCCCATCTCTACTAAAAATACAGAAATTACCCTGGCGTGGTGGTGCGTGTCTGTAGTCCCAGCTACCCAGAAGGCTGAGGCAGGAGAATCGCTGGAACCCGGGAGGCGAAGGCTGCAGTGAGTCATCATCACGCCACTGAACTCCAGTGTGGGCAACAGAGCGAGACTCCAACATAGAAACAAGAAAAGAGAAGAGAAGAGAAGATAAGAGAAGAGAAGAGAAGAGAAGAGAAGAGAAGAGAAGAGAAGAGAAGAGAAGAGAAGAGAAAGGAGGGGAAGGGAGGGGAGGGGAGGGGAGGGGAGGAGGGGAGGGGAGGGAAGGGGAGGGTAGGAGGGGAGGGGAGGGGAGAGGAGAGGAGAGAGAGAATGGAAGGGAAGGAAGGAAGGAAAAGAAAGAAAAAGAAAAGAGAAAGAAGAGAAGAGAAAAGAAAAGGAAAGGAAAGGAAAGAAAAGAAAAGAATTTTGTTGCCAGGTGCAGTAGCACATGCCTATAATCTCAGCACTTTGGGAGGCAGGAGGATTGCTTGAGCCCAGAACTTCAAGACCAGCATGGGCAATGCAGTGAGACCCTGTCTCTATAAAATTTTTTTAAAAGTAGCTACTAGGGAGGCTGACGTGGGAGGATTGCTTCAGCCCAGGAAGTAAAGGCTGCAGTGAGCCATGATCACACCACTGCCCTCCGGCCTGGATAAAAGAGCAAGACCCTGTCTCAAAAAAAAAAAAAAAAGAGAGAGAGAGAGAGAGAATGATTAGAAATGCAGAATTTCAGGTCCACCTGGAGCTGCTAAATAAGAATCTGAATTTCATACATTCCATTAGTAATTATGTTAAGAATGAAATGAAAATATGACATTTTTTGGCCAGGCGCAGTGGCTCACACTTGTAATCCCAACACTTTGGGAGGCCGAGGCGGGTAGATCATTTGAGGTCAGGAGTTCAAAGCCAGCCCAGCCAACATGGTGAAACCCTGTCTCTACTAAAAAGACAAAAATTAGCTGGGCGTGGTGATGGGCGCCTGTAATCCCAGCTACTCGGGACTCTGAGGCAGGATAATTGCTTGAGCTTGGGAGGTGAAGGTTGCAGTGAGCCAAGATCGCGCCACTGCACTCCAGCCCGGGTGACAGAGCAAGACTCCATCTCAAAAATAAAATAAAATATTACATTTTATTTGAATGTATGTGTTTTATTTTTTTTTTAAAGCTACTATGCTGTTAGGACATAAATATTTAAGTTGTTTAGACAACTGTGAGGTTTTTGTTTTGTTTTGTTTTGTTTTGTTTTGTTTTGCTTAAGGGGCACCATAAAAAAGTTACCGACACTAAGGTGCCATGAACTAGGAAAGTGGGGCGTTCGAGCTCTGTATCAGGCATGGTTTTGGGTGATGGCAAAACAGCAGAGAATATCACAAAGTCCCTGTCCTCGTGGAGTTGACAGTCCAGTGGGGGAAGCAACAATAAACCAGTAAACAAGTGACTGGGCAAGATGTCAGGGAACTGGAATCGAATAAAAAAATTAAGCAGGGCAAAGTATTGATTGCCACCTACCATGTGTGAGGCACTGGCCTCCCATGCTGTCCTCCCTGTGCCAGGTGCCTGATGGGTGTCTTTCCTCCCTCTCCTCACCCCTGCACTGGGAACAACCTCCAGCTCATAATTTGCACTGACAGATGTTGGGTATGGCTGTCTTTCACTTGAAATTTTCAAAGATCTCACAGAGGTCCTGTAGGTTAGCTGTTGTGCCCTGGGGTGCCACAGCACACAGTTTGGGGAAACCAATCTCAACTATTTATTAAGTGAATGAATACAAATCATGAAGAGGATCTGACATGAGATACAGGAATCAATTCTCAATCCATACAAATGCTCAGAGATACCTTGGAGCACTGGCTCACAACACCAGCCCTCACTGCCCTGAGCCTATCAGGCTCTCTGGGCCTCAGTCAACCCAGTGGTACACAGGTCAGGAGCCCACAGTGACTCGCAAGCACACTCCCGGGCTCAAGGGATCCTCCCATCTCAGCTTCTCGAATAGCTCGGACTACAGGTGTGTGCCACCATGCCTGAAAAATTGTTTTTGTTCAGTATACACAGGGTCTCACTATGTTGCCCAGGTTGGTCTTGAACCCCTGGGATCAAGAAATCCTCCCACTAATGGCAGCAGCACCCAGTCTGGAGCGACCGCTGCAAAGATGCCAGCTGCAGTTGGGGAGGCATGGCCAGGGCTGCGCCCTCCGTGGAGCTGGCGGGAGCCGGAAACAGGTGGGATCTCTGCCCCCTTCCAAGTTGGCAGGGTGGGATCCCCACCCTCCCCAGCACAGCTGCAGCCACCTAGCTCTTGGGAGCCTGGGAGGCCCCCCTCTCCTGTCCTCACAGGCTCGGAAGTGCCTGCTCCTGCTGCCTGGCTTCTCCCTGCTCCCAGCACCCTCTCTGATTTTGGAGCAAAGTTGAGGCCAAGCCCAGACACTGTCATGACCCGGCCAGATGTGCATGCACTCAGGGCAGTGCTGACATGCCAGCCCCCTGCCACCTCAGCCCCCTCCAGACTTTTGGTGCAGATGAGCATGGGAGGGACACCAAGAGGGAGCTAAGGGTGGCTCAGCGTGGGCCTGCAGGTGCCCCTCGGCACAAACAGTCTGGGTGCTGTGGATGATATGATTGATGGTGGCAGGAAGCAGACAGGCTCCTGAGCAGAAAGGGGCGGGTCCCCAGTGAAGCCCCACGTTCTAGCCAGAAATGGCCTGAAACCTGGGGTCTGGGCTGTCAGTTCCAGGTGGAGTCCCAGCCCAGAGTGAGAACTTATGGTGCTGTTTCTGGGACCACCCAAGGATCAATCAGTACGCACTTCCTCCCTTCTGAAGCCCATTACACCAGACTCAGCCAGACTCACAGAGATGTTGGAACTACCAGCTGCAGGAAGGAGCTACCCACTTCGGGTCTCCTGACTCTTCAGGACAACCTACCTGTGGAAAAGAGCTACCCACTGTGGGTCTCCTCTGAGCTGAGAGCTGGACACAAGTTAGTACAACCTGTCTGTGGAAAGGATCTACCCACTGCGGTCTCCTCTCAGCTGAGAACTAGACACTCATGGGGACAACCTGCCTGAGGCAAGGAGCTACCCACTGCAGTCTCCTCTCCACTGAGAGCTGGACCTGCCTGCAGAAAGGAGCTACCCACTGCAGGTGTCCTCTCAGCTGAGAGCTGGGCACTTGTTGGGCGACCTGCCCATGGGAAGGAGTGGCCCACTTGAGGTCTGAGAGGTGTTCTGTCACTCATTGAAGCTCCTCTCTGCCTTGCTCACTCTCCAGTTGTCTGCATACCTCATTCTTCCTGGACATGGGACAAGAACTTGGTACGTGCTGAATGGCAGGACGGAAAGAGCTATGACACAAACAGCACGGAAAAACACTCCCTGCTTACCATGTTGCAGGCAATGAGAAGGACAGAAGAGCTGCAGCCCTTCGGTGAGCCCAGACCTAGAGGCTCCCCAAGCCAGGGCTGTGACACCTTCCTTGGGGTTCTGTGGTTCCTGGCATCTCCAAGCTTCCGGACACCACTGCATTCCCCAGTACTCCCAGTGGAAGCCACTTACAGTACACCTGGTCCAGCCACAGCCTCACATGGAACCAGCACATGGAGCTGCCCGCCCCACCACAGCAGCCAGCATGCCTGGCTGTGTGAAGTGGCCGGACTTCATGCTCACTTGCCTCACGGCTCTGCACCTGGATCACCCTTGGCAGGTATGGGATCCAGGCTGGTAGCATGAGCCGAGCACAGCCTGCCAGGTCAAGGGTGCAGAACGAGCCCAGCAGGCATGAGCAATATAGTCAGGCAGAAGGCACTGCTGGCCACAGAGGTTTCTGGCTGGTGAAGCAACACCCCAAGGATCCTGTGACACCAACTTAGGCTCCCAAAGTGCTAGAATCACAGGTATGAGCCACCATGCCCAGCCAAGGGCAAATTTTCTAAGAAATGTCGGTGTCCAAACAGGGCCCCTCAGCTCTGCACACCTTAGAGTTGGAGCAGCAGACCTTTCCAAGTAGGAGACCAACAGGCTCGCCCAAACTCGACAGTCAGGGATTCCCACTTCTGGTGAACAAAGCAGAAAGCACTATGTGGCGGACTCAGTACAAACTCCAATAGGAAAGGAAGCGAGAAGTGAAGGGTGGATTTGGGGAAAACCAACTGAACACCAAGGTATCTTTTATCCTAAGCCATGACTGCAGCTGCTCTAGTTTGGGGAAAATAAAATCCAACAGCATCCAGACTACACAGCTCCCATGTCTAAATAACAAAATGAAACATGGGCTCTCTTTTGGCAGCTTTCTTCCCCGTCAGCAGGAGAACTTTGGTAACTGAGTGCTTTTTGGGGATACAGAGAGGGGAGAAAAACTCTCATGTACTCACGCTGCCAAGTTCACATCAGCGACAGGCTTTATAAAGCAAATGGGGCAGATGTATAAACCTTGGTGCTGGAAGGATGGACTGGGAGATTAAATGACAGGGTGTGTGCAGCAAAGTAGAGACTAAATGAGACCTCAGGCCGGATCGTTTCACCACGATATCAGGGACTTCAAAGGGATGGCTCCCAGGCCTGGCCTGCCAGCAAGGGCAGCCCACAGGCGTGCCCACCCCCACAGCCTCGGCCACTCCCCCAGGTGCCCATGGGTTCCTGGAGGCTGCAGGGATCTGAATGCTGGCTTCCTGGCCTTTCATATTATGATTTTCTTTTTCTTTTTCTTTTTAAGACAGGGACTTGCTCTGTTACCCAAGCTGGAGTGCAGCGATGCAATCATGGTTCACTGCAGCCTCCACCTCCCAGGCCCAAGAGATCCTCCCCTATCAGCCTCCCAAGTAGCTGGGACTACAGGCACGCACCACCATGCCCAACATTATGATTTTCAAATATCAGAATTCTTTCTGTACCTAACAAGCTCCCACCCCTCACAGCCCCCATGTCTATCTCCCCTTTTGCTCTCTGCCTCCCCTCATCCTTCCTCCATTCCCTCCATTTCTGTCCTCTAATTACCCCCCAGTCTCCTGTTCCTCCTCCCCTTCCCCTTCGGAAGCCAGCTCTCACCCTACCCATGTCTTTGCTAGCACTCGGCCAGTTTCCTCTCTGCTCTCCCAGAGGGTCTGTCCTGCCTTTCTGCCTGCTCCTGTCTTCAGCCTTCCTCCTGCCCCTTTTTCTCTCAACCCCATTTTCCCCCAACCCCATTTTCCCCCCATTCTCCAACCGTCTCCCTGGACCTCAAGAAAGAAAGTGCAAGAGAGTGAATGACCATGCTAGAGCTTGCTGTGAGTGCCAGGGCTGGCCGAGCACATCCCACCCCTCCTGCTCAGGAAAGGAGGGTGGGTGCAGAAGGCCCGGCCCCAAGGGAGAGCCAAGGGATGCCAGATCCTCCCGGTCCACACTTGCAATGCCAGGGTCTGGAGCAGGGACACAGCCTGAGAATTCCCTTCACCTCCCTCTGCAGCAACTGTCCTGGTCTAGGATCCCAGGAGAGGCCTTGCATCTGGCCTGAACAGAACCTCTGACAGATGGGATGCCGCCCCGAGTATGACAGGAGGACATGAAAGATGGGAAGAGAGGAGAGGTTGGTGGGGATGCTGAGCCGAAGGAAGAAGCAGAGGTCAGTCATGAGGACTGCCCAGGTTCAAACACCATCCCTGCTACTCCCTGACTGTGTGGCCTTGGGCAAATTCCCTAGCCTCTCTGAGCCTCAGTTTCCTCATCTGTAAAATGGGAACGATGTCCAAAGAACTCAATAAACAGCAATTATTTTGTCATGATGGCAATTCTTACATCTGCACTGTGTATTGGCGGCTCTGAGTGGGTGTCAGGACTTCGACGGAGTGGGTATCTAGGAGACGCCCCTACCACAACCAGCGCAGAGCCGCAACCCCACCGGGCACCCGTGTCATGCAAGGGAGCCTCAGGGCTGAGGGAGCCGCTTTTCCGCCTGTGCCAATAAAGAAGGGGCCCTTCTCTAGGCTGCAGAGCTGCAGTGCCCAGAGGAGTGGGGACCCGCCCTGGCCATCTCCCTGTATTTCTCCCCAGTAATAATCTTATGAACAGGTGGCAGAGGGGTGCCTGGCGTCTGCCTCCAACTTTGCTATCTGACTATTCACTCAACAAATACTCAGCTCTCCCGTGTGGATCAGTGGGGCATTCAACAGTGACCAAGGACAAGGCAGCCCCTCAAGGAGCCCATTGTCTCCTGCAGGAGACAGACACTGACCAGCAAATTGCACCCTGGAAGTGTAAAATCACTACTGGAGAAAGAGCTACAAATAACTAAATACAAATATATTCTCATCTTAATATTGAAAATACATTCTTATACTTAATATAAGTGTATTCCTTCTTTGGAATCGCAAATTTCAGGATGTGGGCGGTGGAGGAGACCAACCCTCATCTCTAGACAGAGAACTTGACACCCAGAGGACAAAGGACCAAGTTCACTCAGAGCCGCTTAGTGGTAACCCAGGGCTAGAATTCAGTTCTCCTGACTCCAAATTAAAGAAGTGCTTTCCTCTATGCCACAAGGTACATTGAGAATAGTTCCCTTAGGGGCTACTGTCCAAAAAGAAACCGGGAGGAAGAGGGGCCCCCTGGGTGATTCCAATATGCCTGGTCCGATGCTCAACACTTGACCCACACCTAGCACCAGCTCCTCGAGAGGGCATTAAAAGCAGCTACAAGACAGCCTGGCCAACACTGTGAGACTCTGTCTCTACAAAAAATTTAAAACTTAGCCAGGCATGATGGTGTGCGCCTGTAATCCCAGCACTTTGGGAGGCTGAGGCAGGCAGATCGCTTGAGCCCAGGAACCAGCCTGGGCAACATGGCAAAACCACATCTCTACTAAAAATTTAAAAATTAGCCAGGCTTAGTGGCGTGCACCTGTAGTCCCAGCTACTTGGGAGGGTGAGGCAGGAGGATTGCTTGAGCCTGGGAGGTTAAAACAGCAGTGAGCTGTGATTGTGCCACTGCACTCCAGCCTGGGCAGCAGAGCAAGATCTGGTCTCAAAAAATTAAAATAAAATAAATAAGAGCAGCTACAAGGACCACAGACCACAGATGCAGGTCAGACCGTGAACTCCCTGGGCAAAAAAAGCAGAATATATTAGACACCCTCTGGTTGGAATCCTGTAAATTCTCATGTGTGCAGACAAAGACCAACACAAAAGAAATATCATCAGGAAAATAGGGTGTTTGGGTAATGAGGAATTTTTTTCTCAAAATACAACTAACTGTGTTGTCTGAGATTCATCCATTGAATTCTCAGGTTGTAAGACTATAGCCACATGGCCAGATTATATCAGGGATATTTAGATTCTCAAATTGCCCTGGGGAAAATTAAAGAGACATTTGTAACCATCTTGAGGATGTCCATGCCATTAATTAAATGTTGAATGGTGAGGGAAATGGGTCTATGGTGGGTGCCTGATGTTCCCATTTTACAGATGAAGAAACCTCCCCATGGTCTGCCCAGACCTGGTCATGCCTCTGTTAAAAGTCTGCTTTGGGCTGAAGATGAAGAAAAGAGAAGCTGAGCCCCTCAAGGTTCTGGTCAGGATGTGAGTGGCCCCAGGACGTAACTCTCCTTCAGCCCAGAGAGCAAATCTAGGACCCAAGAGCAGCAGTCCAGTTCATGTAGGGGGTGGAACCCGCATCTTCCTATAAGCCCTCCCCTCAGCTTGAGCCCTGGGCCCCTCCACCAGGTTAAGCAGCACCCCACTTCCACCCCAGCCCAGCTGCAAGAAGGAGCTGCCAAAGTTGGTGGACATAAATGAGGGGGCCCTGACACGCGGCCAGCTGGAGTGTGTGAGGGCTGGAGCCAGGCTCTGCACACACCAGGCAAAGCAGATTTCCACGCAATCTAGACAGCGGGCGGAATCTACAGCCCAGAAAGGCAGGGGCACGCGAACCACCAACACCGGCTGATGGCTGTCCTCAGGCTCAGAGGCCCAGCCAGGCCAGCCAAGAGGGTTTACAAGGGAGTCAGGAACACTGGACAGGCTGCCCCCATCTGGGGCCATAACAAGCGGGCATCCGGCAGCCCAGCCAGGCACAACAGCTCAAGCTCAAGCTCAGGGCCTCCCTCTGGAAGGTAGCAGCCCCCAAAACTCAACATCTGAAGTTGGAGGAGGAGGCAGCCCAGGGCAGAATCTTCCCCCATCAAGCAGCATCCCCATCCCAGCAAGTTTTAACTGATCTGCAGCCTTCTAGAGCAGGTCTCCACAACAGATATTAACAAGGCACCTACTGTGTGCCAGGCATGGACTAGGTGGGCTCAGCTAGGGATAGAGCAATGGAGGTTCCTGCTCACATGCAGCATGGGGTCTTGAGGGGACTGAGCAGCAGCCAGGGTCTAGTTCCTTGGACTGACACCCCACTGTCCCTACCAGCTTTGTCCCCCAGGCCCCTGCCCTGGTGCAGTTCAGTCAGAAAAGGGGAAAGACTTCTCTGCCTCCAATCCTATTCCTCCTTCAGCGCTGTGTATTTCAGGAGAGACCCCTCTGTTCACCTCGATGCCCAAGCCAGGAAACCAGGGATCCTCCTGGGTTTCTCCAAAATTTAATCCATTTCCACACCTTGTCAACGTGGTCCCTAGGACGGCTCTCGCACACACCCTCTGTTCTCGGTCCCCACTGCCTGCAGCACCATCCTCTCCATGTCCCCACCTGCCCACGCCCGTCCTTGACAGGGCATTGGCAGGAACTCTGCCAAGGATGAGTCTGAGGATGCCAAGACCCCCACCACCCACACTGCTCCTAGAACATAATACAAATGCCCCACCTGGTCCCACCCGTACACACGCTCTGCTGGCTCACCACGCTCCCCCATGCTGCCTACCACCAATCCCCCCAACATGCCAGCGCCCTCCTGACTTGCAGTCTTCAAACCTTCCGTCTGGATGGCTATCCCCATAATTTCTATTCATTGTTTCGCCCTCGTTTCCAGTGTCCATTCTTCAAAGAAGCCTTTGCTTCTCTCTCATGCCCCATGCTCTTCCTTCCAGATGCTTCCACGCCTAGAAGATAAACGTAGCTATTTATGGGGTGGTTTGTCTAGCTGTCCTTCTCCCCCACAGACTGGAAGCTCCACAGGGGGAGAGTCCAGGCCTGTCCAGCTCACTGTTGTATGCCCAGCACTCAGCACACAGCCTGGCACAAAGTAGGTGCTCAATTAATATGCATTAATTCATATTAATTATGAAAGTCCTGCTGCTTGAGTCTCGGGTAGGCAGGCAGGAAGGCCAGCCTCGCAACCTTCCTTAGCATCATCCAAAGTGCAAGGCGGGTCTCACAGAGGCTCTGTCTTCCATGCTGGGGCAGGAGGGGACCACACCGTCATGAATACCAGGCACGTAGTGGAGGTGACATGAAGCCTCAGGTATCATGTACAAAAACCTTCTGGCCCTGTGGAGCTCACTGCCAGGAAGCAGCCCTGCAGCCACTCGGAGTACACAGGCCTGCGTACGCCCCACACGGAGGATGCAGGTCCCCTGTCAGTGCCCTCCCAGCCTTTCCTGCCAGACCCACCACACTTGAGTGGCCTGGACGCTCCAATCACCCCCTCTCCCACCACACCCAGGCTTCCTACCTGCCAGGCTTCCTACCTACCTTACTATCACTGTCCCCTGACCAAGGCAGACCTCTTCTTCTCATCTCTAAGAGATTTCCCATAAAGACCCAAGTGACTGGCTTCTCTTGGAAATCTAGAAGCCATGGACAGGAACAGATGGAGGAGCAAGCATGATCTCGACTCACCAGCCCCGCCAGCCTGTACCCATGCTTCCTCACCTCCCAGGCAGAACCCCCATCATCATCAGAACCTGCGATCCCTGCACCAGCCTCGCATCCCCATCCCACCTTGGATCGCATGTTCCTAACCATGGAGAAGGCCTCACCTTCTCATCTCTGTCTGCCCCAGGGTCTCCTGCCTGGAGGGA
Source organism: Homo sapiens (assembly GCF_000001405.40). Taxonomy (NCBI): domain Eukaryota; kingdom Metazoa; phylum Chordata; class Mammalia; order Primates; family Hominidae; genus Homo; species Homo sapiens. The sequence continues at coordinate 49,687,001 of NC_000016.10, forward strand.
AGCCCCAGGAAGGGTGTACAGAAGAACCAGATGGCGACACCCCCTCCATGTCTGCCACCTCCCCACATCTGGCAGAGCACCCCTATTTCATCTTGGGTACCTGAGTTACTGTTCATACACCACCCCCGTGGTTTGTCCCCTATAGTTTATTAACATCCACTAATAAACAGTGGGCAGGCCTCCCAGGGCGCCACCAAGAGACCCCTGGCTGGGTGGGCAGGGCCTTCCTTGTCCTGCCCTCTCTCAACACATTTTTCACCATAAGGGAACAATTAGGAAAAACTCCCTCCAGGTTATATTTAGGAAGGGGTGGAAGTGGGGGAAGCTTCCTCTAGTAATTTTCATTCAGTTGCACAGGACTGCCTGTCCCCACCTACCCCTGGGCTAGCACTGCAGGGCAGGCAACCGCCTCTCCCCACACACGGGTGCAAACCAAGCCCAGCCTCTGCCCAGCCCTGATTATGCCCGCGTTTAAAAATAAGATGTGAAAGATGCATTATGTAAGACCTGTAACACTCTCCTGCCCACCTCCGACTCTAGAATCAAAGATCTTCATTTCTGCCATCAAAAAAGAATGAAAGAAAGGCAGGAACAATGAAAATAGCTGCCCAACATGAGCCAGATCAAAGACATGGGCACAGAAAATGAGGAACCAGGGGGGCCTTTAATTACTGCCTGCATCCTCCGAGTCATGTGGAGAGAGGGGAGAAGAAAAGTTTTGAAGGCCACCAGGTTCCGTCCTGCTGCGGCTCCTGTTTCCACAGCCAGCACCAGTTCCCGACAAACTCGTGCCTTTCATTTCCCTCCCTTTTTTCCCTCCTTTTTCTCTGCCCCCCACATGTGAGACAGGACTCCCAGACTCCCCAGTGCTTGACGTCCTCCAGCAGAGAGAGCTCAGAGGGGCTCCTTGGAGACCCCAAGGGAGGGACACGGCTGCATCTTGGAAGGTCCTGGTGGGTCCCAACCCATCTGCCCTCCCAAAAAACAGCCAGAGGGCCTCCAGGAGGGACCCAGGGACCCACAGTGGGAGCGGGTGCTGCAGACCACGGTGCGGTTTTTTTTTTTTTTTTCGCAAGTCTCCCTGGTTGAGAGGGAAAAAAAAAAAAAAAACTCTTCAAATTCACATTGGGCAGGGCTCCGTGGGGCAGCAGATCAAACCTGAGGCCCGGCTGTTTGAGCTCAGCGGCAGAAAAAAGGATTGCCCAGGGACCGAGCTTAAGTAGAAGCTGGATTAAACTTCAAACACAAACTCCTCCTTTTTCTACACAGCAGACAGTCATGGCTAATATTGCAATATGGACTCTAAAAATGCATTACAAATAACTTACTCTGGACCCAGACTTGGGTCTTTTGTATCAAGGGGAGGAGCAAGAGAAATCATTTCAACAGAAAAGACATAGGAGCCCGCCCTCTTGCTCCATAGAGGGAAGCCGCTGGAGGTTTGGGCCAGGGAGGCCAGCGAGATCCCCGAGTGACGGGAACCTTCAGGAAGATGTCTTGCTGGCAGCCCGGGCGGCTCCCCCGGAGGCTGAATGAGGCTTAGGTCTTCCTAAGTTGGGAGACTCTATGTATATTTTATCAAGGAAGAAATGCCAGGCCAAGGTGACCAAAACAGCGGTACATTTCAAATGTCTAGTGACTTAAATAATTAAAGCATTTACAGCACTCATGCTCTTAAAACACATCCACAAACAATGGAAGATGATTGTGTTATTCACGTGATAAATGAGAGACTCAATAAAAAAGGAAAACTTACAAACTCCCGATGCCAGCAGGCAGTGTGGTGGGTGGGGAGCAGAAGACAGATTTCAAGCTGTAGGATTGGCTTCTTTCAGCACCTCCAGTTACCCTGTGGTTGGTGTCCCATTTCTTTGAGAATGGCCACGCTAGTATCCACTCCACGGAAGCTCCTGGGCCAGTGGCTGTCCTCCAGATACTAGCAAGAGCCTAGAGCTGGACCAGGAGCCACCTGCACTACCCTGGCTCCCGAGACAGCATACCAGGCACCTCAGGAGATCTTGGCCAGGAGCACAGCCACACAGGTGAGGATTTGGAGGTTTGGGTGTAGGGATGAGAAGGATTTGTTCCTACTGATGTGTTGATTCATGTGTTTACCCGGGGCATGGGTCTAAGATTGTGTTGTATAATAAAGAATTTGGGGCTGGACACAGTGGCTCATGCCTGTAATCCCAGCACTTTGGGAGGTCAATGCAGGAGGATGGCTTGAGCCCAGGAGTTCCAGACCAGCCTGGGCAACATGGCAAGACCCCATCTCTACAAAAAAAAAAAAAAAGATGGGTGAGGAGAATTAGCCAGGCGTGGTGGTGCGTGCCTGTGGTCCCAGCTGCCCAGGAGGCTGAGTCAGGAGGATCGCTTGAGGGGTCAAGGTTGCAGTGGGCTATGATGGCACCACTGCACTCCAGCCTCGGCGACAGAGAGAGAGACCCTGCCTCAAAAAGAAAAAAAAAGAATTTAGGCCAATATTTGCAAAGATATGCTGCTTTCCTGAAGTATTTTCAGAAACATTAAAAGCGTGCCCCACACCTCCGTGACCTCCAGGAGGTCGAGGGGTGTCACAGTGTCTGTGACGGAACAAGGATATTGCCCTCTCCCTACACTCCACAACACCCAGCCAGAGGCCAAGAGGCCTTGAGAGTTACTGCAAGCAATCCCGTGTGGCACCCCGGGGGCCCCAAAGGCATGGTACACCATTGCTGGTATCTCCACACAACTTTACCAAGGTCAGGAACAGGCAGGTGGTACCTGAGGAGGCATCCAGGCTGGAGATGCATCTGGGAGGGGTGGCTGTCCTTCCCCCGACCAAAAAACCAAGGCAGTCCTCCCTCAGAATGGCCACATCTCTGGATCTCACAAGTCCTGAAAGGCTCCCAGGCAGTGACCCAGCTCTGCCACCAGATAGCTCAATAGCCAAGGACACTCTCCCAGGTCCACTGAGGATGGTAGCCTGGACTGTTTCACTCTGCCCCACCTGCCATCCCCAGGAAAGGCTTCCTCTCCACACCCTACTCCACCTCCCTGCACCCCCAGGGGTGTCCTGTTCTACACAAAAGGGCACAGAACCACCATCTACTAAGTGCAGCCCAGTGTACAAGGCAGTGTGCCAGCCCTTCATGCCCATTACTGCCCTGAACCCTCATCGCCATGCAAGAGAGGCTTCAGTGGCCCCATTTCACAGAGGGGTAAACTGTGGCTCACAAATACGTTAACTGCTAAAGACTGTGGGCAGAGAAAAAATGTGAACACAGAACTGTCAAGATCCAAATCACTGGGAGGCCGAGGCAGGAGGATCACTTGGGGCCAGGAGTTTGAGACCAGCCTGAGCAACATGGTGAGATCCCACCTCTAGAAAATAAAAAGCCAAACATAGTAGTGCACACCTGGAGTCTGACTACTTGGGAGGCTGAGGCAAGAGAATCGCTCATGCTCAGGATTTGAGGCTGCAATGAGCTAAGATCGTGCCACTGCACTTCAGCCTGGACAACAGACCAAAACTCTATCTCTAAACAAAAAACAATAATAATTCAATTTATCTGCTTTTCTTTTCATGATGTGACATCATCTCCCAGGAATTCTTCAGAGCTTCCACCCCTATTAATAAATCCCCTTGCAGAGAAAGTACTGACCAGAGGGGTTCTGGAGGAGGCAGCGAGGGGGTACCACTGGGTTACCATTGGATAAACAAATGGATTATCCATGCCCGACAGGCGGTGCCTCCTGGAAGCCTTATTACACCCTATAGGGGCACACAGAGAGGTACCCCCGAGCGCTCCCAACAGGAGTCACTGGAGGATGGGAGGGGGATGGAGACCTGGAAACAAGGAGATGGCAGGCCCGGGTGGAGTGTGGCAGGTAGAAAGAGGCTGCAGCTCCAGAGACAGCCAGGAGGTCGGTGAGCAAACTAAAGCAACCTGTTTCACCAGCCGCAGGCCTGGGGAGCGTGTGGAGACAGGAGAGGTGAGCTCCCCGGCAGCCCATGGCTCCAGCCTGAGGCCCAGGCATCTGACCAGAGACACTGATGACATCCTTCTCAGAAGCAGCCGTCGGAGGGGGCTGAGCGGCCCTTAGTGGGGAAGAATCAGCCGACCAGGGCAGAGGGCCCGACAGAGGGAGTCAGACAGGTAGACATAGAGAGTGGGTTCATCTATCAAAGCCCTCGCCCTCTTGGCAAGTTCTGATCTTCGAAGTTTCCAACTTGTAGCTAGAAAAGTGGCCACCTTCTATGCCCCCTCCCAGTTGGGAGGATGCTGGGGTCTGTGCAAATATTCACTCTGTGGGATGGTACAACTTGGTGACCAAGAACTTGGGCTGTTTGATCAGACCGGCATGGGTTTGCCTCCAAGCTCCAACACATCCTGGCTGGGTGATCGTGAGCAAGTTACTGAACATCTCTGAGCCTCGGTTTCCTCATAGGTTAAAACAGAGGATCCTCGGCCGGGCGCAGTGGCTCACGCCTGTAATCCCAGCACTCTGGGAGGCCTAGGCGGGCGGATCACGAGATCAGGAGATCGAGAACATCCTGGGTAACATGGTGAAACCCCGTCTCTACTAAACATACAAAAAATTAGCTGGGCATGGTGATGGGTGCCTGTGGTCCCAGCTACTCAGGAGGCTGAGGCAGGAGAATGGCGTGAACCTGGGAGGCAAAGCTTGCAGTGAGCCGAGATCGCACCACTGCACTCCAGCCTGGGCAACAGAGCGAGACTCCATCTCAAGAAAAAAAAAAATAGAGGATCCTCAACGTTCACAAGTAACAGAGATGTTGAGGGTATAGAAGATGGGGTGGGTGGCTGCACAAGGGAAGCGCCATTATGCAGTGACTATAAGCCTGGGGCTGAGCACTTGGCCTCCTCCTGCTGCTGAGGGACAGGGCGGCTGTGGCCCCCTATCCCTACACTGCCCCATTTCTTTTCTTATTTTGTTTGTTTGCTTGTTTGTTTGTTTATTGAGACAGGGTCTCTCGCTCTGTGGCGCAGGCTGGAGTGCAGTGGTGCAATCGCGGCTCACTGCAACCTCCACCTCCCAGGCTCAAGAGATCCTCTAGCCTCAGCCGCCAGAGTAGCTGGGTCTACAGATGAATGCTACCATGCCCAGCTTATTTTTGAATTTTTTTTGTCGAGACAGGCATCTCACTTTGTGTTGCTCAGGCTCTTCTCAAACTCCTGGGTTCAAGCGATCCTCCTGTCTCAGCCTCCCAAAGTGCTGGGATGACAGGGGTGAGCCACCACACCTGACCTGCCCCATTTCTTATGCAGAGCACTTGACATATGAGGACTTCTTCCCATGGGCTATAAGGGGGAAAACGATGAGGCTTTCTCCTTCCCCACTCCTCTCTGGCAGACCCCCAGCACACAGCCCGATGCAGAGCCAAGAGGTCTGCCCCAGGAAACAACCCAAAAAAACCAGAGTGAAGCCAGGCCCAAGACCCCACCCAAACTGACGTGGGACGAGGGACTGAAGTCCGATCGGTGTTGGACCCAAGAACCAGCACCTTAACCCATGCCTGACCCCCACTGCCTCCTTTCACCACGCAGGGTGGAGACTGAGAAGCCTGCAGCCGCCTCGTCCATCTTGCTAGGAGGCACAGAAGCCAAGGGAACAGCCACACAGGGGAAAGCTTGGAGAAAGGATGAGGAGGAGGCAGGGGAAGCTACAATCCTGGGTGGACACCCCTGAAGGACAGGCAAATGCCCACCCACTCACAACATGCTAGACAAAAGGCCACTTTCGAGTTTTTAACATATGCCCACATCTATTCTCTCTATGCAGTCTCTCTGCAGAAGACAATATTGTCTCTAGTGTTTAGATGAGAGGTGAAGAATAAGCAAAGATACCTCTTACATCTCCATGAAGGCAAGGGCTATTTCCTTCACCCCTGTGTCCTAAGCTTAGCCTAGCACTGTGCCAGGCACATAGTAGGTGCTTAATAAATGTTTCTTGAATGAACGAGTGAAAAGCAATCGTAGAATGCCTCTGTGAGTTCCACAAGGGCAAACATTATGATGTATTCACTTGCTTGGATGAGCCATAGAGTTCATGAATAAATGTGTGAATAAATAAAAAGAGTGATAGCTAACATTAAGTGCTTATTACATGCCAAGCATTGTTCTGAGCACTTTAAATTGATTAACACATTTACTTCTCCCTCCGGCTTCCCCTTCCTACTTCCCTCCTTTCCATTCATCAAATATCTATTAAGCATCTTTATTCCCTATGCTAATAATAGGGGTCCACAGAAATGAGCAGGGTGTGGGAAGAACCCGTGAGTATGAGGTATATGCTATCGTTAGTTCCATTTTACAGATGAGGAAACTGAGGCTAAGAGAATTAAGTTACCTGCCCAATGTCACACAGTAAGAAGGATGCATACGTGGGATTAGAACCCACAGTCAGGCTCCTGGTCCTGTCTTATGCGTGAATAAGGTTCAAAGGATGCTTATCAATGACCGTGGTGAAATGCTCCATGCTTTTCAGCCTGGCCAGCATCTATCCCTGCATTCTGTAGACCAGCCCTGTCTTCCTTGAGCAAACACTCCCTACCCGCTATGTGATTCAGGTACTTCAAGCCTGGCCAAATAGCACTGCACCCTCCAGCCACAGTGATTGGCTTAAGGATGAATACATGACCAATCCAGGCCAATCAGCGTGAATCCTGAGACCTCATTACACTACAGGAAAGAGATGCTCTACCTCAGCAAGGAGGCTATGAGCTTGGGGCCACCGGAGGAAGGGGGATTAACTTGCCCTCTTTTAGGAAGAGCCTGGCAGAGAATGAAGCCAACAAAAACGAAAGCAGAGACAAGAACACTAGAGAGATGAACTCCTAAGGATCCGGCCAGGCCTGAAGGTTTATCCTTAAGCCAGTTTGAGATGCGACTCTATTCCTTGCAAATGAAAGATGCCTGCCCAATACTATTATTGTTCAGTTCAACATCCTTCTCTTATAAATGAAAGCTCAGAGCAGGTCAGTAACTTAGTCAAGCTCATAGTCAGTGTCAATGCCAAGGCTAGAGCCAAGTCTCACGAAAACTCCTCTGCCAGTGCAACATTCCTCCTCAGTCTGTCTAACGAGGTTCTCCCCATGCCGTGATCATTTCTATGGACCCCTATTATTAACATAGGAAATAAGGATGCTTAATAGATACTTAGTGAATGGAAAGGAGGGAAGTAGGAAGGGGGAGCAGGAGGGAGAGGGAGGGAGACTGAATTCCCAGAGATCAAAACCTGTTCTTACTCAGCTTGGTATCACCAAGTGCCCAGCACAGTGCCTGCCATACAGAGACCCCTCTAAAAATAATCAGATGTGTGGCGGGCTGAATGCACAGAACAAAGCATGAGTCTTTGCTGTGCCAAGAGAAACAGAGAGGGTTCCATTAAATCCCCCAATTGCTAGGGGCACTAGCAGTAGAATTGGATTTGTAAAGCTACACACATGATTTTGTGCCTCCAGCCCTGAACACCTTTTTGGCCACATGGTAAAAACATCCTGCCTCTGCTCATCTGCAAGCAGGGATTGGAAATCATGCCCCCCGCCCCTGTGCTCAGCTGCCTTCAGGGGATACCTTTTCTTTCCCATTCTTAATACCCCCAGACTTCTAAGAGTCAAATCCCCTATGCCTTCCTCTCCTGCAACAGACACACCACACATAGAACTCCACTGGCCTCCAAGGGAAAGGAAGGGAGGCCCTGCCCTCCTCCATCCAGGAAGGGCTCTGATGCCCTCTGGCCAGGGCAGGCACCGCCAGCCACACTGAGGGTGGAGGATTACTCCTAACAGCATCTTGAGGTAGGGTAGGGAGAGCCTTGGGAAATACTTGTGAGCATTTCCAACACACAAAATAGGGTCTGGTTTCATGTGAAGAAATGTCTCTCTGCAACTAAGGGAAACCAGGCAAAATATGACCAAGCCTTACAAATACTTGTCCACCTAGTGAAGACGTGAGAGTGTGGTCCTCAGAGGCAGCCTCTGGCTCCCACATCCATATTCCACTTACCCTGAGACCCACAGCCAGTCCCTTCCCCTCCCTGGGCTTCCATTCCCCAGTTCTGCACCGAGCAGCTCAGGCGAAGGATCCCTCAGCAACCTTACAGGTTTTGGTTTTTGTTTTTGTTTCTGAGACATAGTCTCACTCTTGCCCAAGCTGGAGTGCGGTGGCGCGATCTGGGCTCACTGAAGCCTCTGCCTCACGGGTTCAAGTGATTCTTGTGCCTCAACCTCCCAAGTAGCTGGCATTATAGGTATGCACCACCATACCTGGCTTAATTTTTGTATTTTTATTTTATTTTATTTTGAGACAGAGTTTTGCTCTTGTTGCCCAGGCTGGAGTGCAATGGCACAATCTCGGCTCACCGCAACCTCCACCTCCCAGGTTCAAGTGATTCTCCTGCCTCAGCCTTCCCAAGTAGCTGGGATTATAGGCATGCGCCACCAAGCCCGGCTAATTTTGTATTTTTAGTAGAGATGGGGTTTCTCCATGTGGGTCAGGCTGGTCTCGAACTCCCAACCTCAGGTGATCCGCCCACCTCGGCCTCCCAAAGTGCTGGGATTACAGGCGTTAGCCACTGTACCCAGCAATTTTTGTATTTTTAGTAGAAGCGGAGTTTCGCCATGTTGGCCAAGCTGGTATCCAACTCCCGACCTCAGGTGATCCACCCACCTCGGCCTCCCAAAGTGCCAGGATTACAGGCGTGAGCCACCGCGCCAGGCCCCTTACTGGTTTTTATTTTGTTTGTTCATAAAGCAAAAAGAGTACTCGCTCTGGAGCCTGGAGAGTGTGGACTGGAATCCAGACTAGACAATTTAGTACAAGAAGGACAACAGCTACTACTGAGTGCTTGCTCTGTGCCAGCCACACTCCAAGCTCTTGCATACATTATTCCAATGCATCCTCCCTACAACCCTGAGGTGGGTACTATTATTATCCCCATTTTATAGATGAGGAAACTGAGGCACAGAGACCTTCAGGAAATTCACCAGAGTCATAAAGTCTGCAAGTGCTAGGGCCAGACGTGTGATCTCAGATAGGTTTACTCAGCTTCTTTGACCCCAGTGGACTCATCCGTAAAATGGGAACCCATGCCCAACTCTCACTGTTACTGTGAGAACCCACAAAGGGAATGAAGGGAGAAGGCATGGAGCCCTGGAACTGTTCTTTTCCTTTCCTTCCTCTCGCTTGAATGACAAAGGTCTTCACGCCTGCTCCCCAGCCTCACAAAGCAGGTAGAAAAGTCATTGCGATGGTGGGGGGTGGGGTAGCAGGCTCAGAATTCAGTGACAGGCATCCTCATACATGGGGTATTATTATTGCTGTTATTATTGACATGAAAGGCTAGAAGGCTCTGATTTAAGTAATTGGGCCACACCAAGCTCTAGCTCCAAACAAAGAAAGTGAAACAAGGCTACCAGAGAAGGACCTCATACCAGGGGCTCCCCATGGTGCCAGATTCCAAAAACCTGACTCCATCAGCCCCGCTCTCAAGGTGTTTTTCTACCTCCAGTGGCTTTGGGAGAAGGAGGCCCAGGCCCGCCAGGCCTGGCTGGCCTCTCCCCTAGCCCCTTTGAAGTGCCCAGCATGGGGTGGGCTGGAAGGAAAACCCTGGGCCACAGAGGCTGTGACGGCACCTACCCACCCCCACCCGGCTACCTCCCCCTCATTGTGCAGCCTGACTGGGCCTTTGTTGCCAGAGTCCTGGCGGGGGACAGCCAGGGACCTGGCCTCATTAAGTGCCTGACCTCAGGCAAGCCCCCCCCACCCAGGGTGGAAGGTTAATGTGGCTGCCCGCCATGCAGGCCTGGGCCTCCAGGAGGCTCCTCGAAGGGACAAAGGACCAGCCCCCTGTCTCCTCTCCAGGCCCCAAAACAGCTGCCAGCCTGCAGAGCGCTTTCAGGAGGGGGGCTGGCTTTGATGGCTCAGAAGTCACCAGGGGGGCCTCCTTTCCAAACCCTCCTTCCTCCCACCCTGTCAAGGAGACAAAGCTCACAGGGAATCGCCGGAGGGTTGACGCAGGAATGCAGTCCATCGTGGGGGAGGAGGCTGGCTGGTGACGGGCTGGCCCACACCTTTCTTCGACCTTCCAGAATTCCCCAGGGCTCAGGACCTTGCTTCCAAGCAAGACTCATTTCAGCCCTCACCAAGGTGGGATGGAGTAGACAGGACAAGTGGTCAGAATAAGTCAGAAGCCTCTCAGTCCCTAACCCACCAGGTCCTTCTGTCACCTGGTTTCTGGGTACAGAACTGATGTCACCTAACCAGAGATGGGCTGGGAGCAGAGCAGCTCCCAGAAAGAGAGAGAAGGCCAGGAATCCTGTGCAAGGGAACAAGCACATGATGTTTTTTAAAAGTCCCTCTGGCTTATCACATCACCTTCTAATAGGAGGGCTCACTCCAAAATGCTAATTACCTACCAAGTAGGCTCCTGGAGTCCAAGCCAAGCACCAGGTAGAACCACCTAGAAGGCCATTCCTGATCAATTCCCTCATACAATTTCCAGTTATTTGGAGGCCTGCGTCTCGTATGCCAGACTGACACGCAGGTTTACAGCACACTGATTTTAATTTCAAAAGACTCTAGGGAAATTTTTTGGAGTGTTTTATTTGCTTAAGATCCTGGAGCAAACACAGGGGCTCCCTGGGGCACAACAGGACTGGCCCAGGAAGCAGTACCCTGGACCGTGCAGTGGGATGGGCAGGAGTGCCAGAGTTGTGCGTTCACGCGTGTTTCTGCAAGCAGGTGTGTCCCAGCGTGTGCACGTTGTCAGTGACACAACAAAAGGCCAGCTGAAAGCCTTACCTACGGTGCGGGCAGGCGGCATGAGCCCGCGGTGATGCGAATCAGCCTTAACCAGCCCATTGTTGGGGAGCAATGCCTTTCAAGGGACAAAAGGCAGAGGGGGCAGGAGGATACACGGGGAGAGGCGGGCACATCTGTCTGTGGCATGAACCACTGCCCCATTACGCCGCCTTTCCCCACAGCAGCATCTGGGGGTGCGTGTGTGTGTGTGTGCAGGGACCAGCCCGACTCCACATTGTCCTGCCCAGCCAGGAGATGGAGAGTGCGGCACTCTTACAAAGACATCGATTTTCTTCCTTCCCTTCCAGAGCAAGATCAGATGAGCTCCCGGAGTGACACGTCCTTAACTTTTCAGTGGGGTTTTCTTTTTCTGACTTGTTTGTTTGTAACATTTTTTTTTAAACCAGGTCTCTAATTGTGTCTTTTCTTGGCTGCATCTCCTTTGCTCCCGCCCCCCGAAGCAAGGAGGGCATGTGCTGATTATCTGAGTGTGCAGCCTGCTCACGGGGCATCCTGGGCTCTAAGAATGCCAGGGGGTTAGAAACTGGGGAGGGGTGGGGGAATTAATTGCCAAGAAAACACAAGGCTGTGCTGCGACTTTGATTCCATCAATTACCATTATCTTTCTCCGCAGGTCCGCCAACCATCCCCCGATCCGGCCGTGTTTAACTTTCTTTGCCAGTCGTGATACCCCGTCAGATTTCTGGCGCTGCCACGCCGCCCGCCTGGGCTCCTTCTGGGCTCTTATCAGCCTCTCCCAGTCAGTCTGGCCCGCCACAGCTGTTCCAGGCCCTCAGCCCCTCACTTTATCTGCTCGCACAGACCTCGGCCTGGCAAGCGGTGGGCCCGGCGCCTGCTCCACATTCCCCAGGAAGCCAGCTGGGAACACAGCCGCCCTGCTCCCGGACCCTCTGAGAGTTCATTACCAGCCAGGGTACCCCAGCCCGTCAGCCAAGGTGCGGGCCGCGCTGCCGAGCCCGGCCGCCGGAGCCGCCTGCATCATTAAAACTCCAACCTTCTGAAGAGAAGAAAGAACAAAACCACAAATTTAGATTAATAAAGCATTTGTTGATTCTACAGCAATTTAGCAGGCCTCTAAGAAACCCACCAGAGACCCGCGGAGCTCCAGTAATTTTCTGTTATATTATCTTTCTTGTAAAATACTTCCCCAGACAGAGTCCCCAAAGGGGCTCAAATATCACTGTGACTAACCAAAATCAATGTGCACTCACCTATTGACATTTTTACATAGTTTTTGGATTTAGTATCCAGCCGAAAACACAATCACCTCCTCTGCCAAGGAGCCGACAGGCACTTAGCTAGTCAGCTATTAGTGTTACAAAGGGAAAAATGGAAGCACCCAGGGGAGCTGGGCGAGGCGGCACTGACGTCAGGGGGTAATTGGGTGTCTGAGAGAAATTGCCAGCGGCTGGCCGGCTCCCCCGGGGGCCGCACAAAGCTGAGCTGTAACTCTAATAAAGGAAAGGAAATTCTAGAAAAGGGGGCTTTGCTACAAAGGAGCCCAGGCAGACGCCAAAAATAGCCCTTTGGAAATAAATAAATAAATGCGGCCAAAACATCTAGATCTAAAAAATAAAATAAATCACTGCTCCACGGAAGCTTTCTGGCCTCGCCTCCCTGGACATCTGTTTGGGGGCGCAAAGGCTCCTCCCACACCGTCCCCCGCCCCCTGCCCCCGTTCTTCCCTGGAACCACATGGATTTTGATGCTGGAAGGAGGTTTGCCATCTGATTTGGCAAATAGTATGTGTTTTCAAAAGAATCTAAGTTTGTCATGTCCTCTTTCCCAGAGGTGGTATCTTCATTGTTTACTTTGGGGCTCACAAGGAAAAGGAATTTCTATTGTCCGGCTTTTAGTTGTTTTGATGTTTTCAGTTTTGATTTGTTTATTTTTGAGTGCTCTTACCATGCCATCCCCACTGGATGAAAATTGAAGGGGCTCTGGCTGCCTGGTTCAGGCCTCCTTAGGAAAAGTCTGTGTTCTTGGGAAGTGGGCTAAATTTTTATCTTACGGCTCTTCCACCCACTGACCCTGAGGCCAAGTGAGGGCCAAAGTCTCCAAGAGGGAGGAGGACAGAAAAATAGTGGACCCCACCCCACAGCAGCTCCCGAGCCAGGGCCCCAGGCCAGGATATCAGCCTCCCTGGGGAGTCTGCAGCCCTCAGAAGACAGGGGCGAGGGGCTGGGCTAGAAGCAGGGTTTCAAGGCCAAAGACCCTCTGAGACCCAGAGGCTGCCAGGAAATCCAGGCCTCCTTGATCAGGCAGAAGAGGGTGGCTTGGGGAAAGAGATGGCAAGAATGGGATTCCCAGGGTCAGATTCTATTTCATCGCTTTGAAAGAAAAAGGAAAAAGAGGCCCAGGATTTCAAAAAAAAAAAAAAAAAAAAAACAAGAAGAAGAAGAAGAAAAAAAGAAAAAGAAAAAAGCAGAATGCACTCCAACCCCAAGCTACTTGGAAATTGGTCGGAACAAAGGTCTTCAGCTAAAAATGTCAAATCAGCACCACAGGGCTCCCTGCCCTCTCCGTCTCCAAGCCCCTGCTGAAGCCCACAGGGCCTGCTGGGAGCAGAAAAGGCCCCTCCTGAGGTCTGCTCATGGCCCACAGCCCCACCCATCATGACACCCCAGGAGGCACAGGGCTTCCTGACTGGGGCGGAGGGGCAGCTGGAATACAGGGGGCCGTTCCTTTCCTGATGGAACATCCAGGATTGGCACTGGGGAGGAAAATCAGGCTGGAGAAAGGAAAGGGATCCTGCAACTCACAGCCCAGGGAGGGGAAGCAATGCTCAGGAACGCAGCCGCCAGCGCCCTGGCACCAAATCACAAACCTTGAATCAATGATGCAATTGCTTAATTAATCAGCCTGCTCGGGGTGGGTGCAGAGGATCTCTGTGAGCATCTGACCCAACCAGCTCCTGATGGGCAAACCCCCCTCCTTGGGCCCCCTCTGCTGGGCCCACGGGACCACAGATGGTTGAACACCGTCTGGGAGTCTCACCAAGGGGGGAAAATGTGAGTTCCTGAGTCCCCTGTGTGATCCAGTCACTCTGGCAGAAAGGAGGGAGGAGGCAGGAGAAAGGAGGAGGGAGGAGGGAAGAGGGAGGAGGGCAGAGGAGGGAGGAGAAGGGAGGAGGGTCTTATCAGCAACTTAGAATTTCTTGGCCTTGGCTGCTGTAAGTTAGCTCTCTCAATGTTATTTTCTTGTCCCAGTCAATGAGATTGTAATAGAAATAGAGAGGCCTCTTTTCAGCAAGCTAGTCAGTGCCAGATTTAGAATGAAAAAAGGCAGCTTAAATTAACCCTAAGGCTTAACATGTTTAAGTCTTGTAACTTTTAAAAAAACAGAACCAAAGGTGAGTGTGCAGGTGATGGAGGCTGAGATGAGTCACACGTGGAAGCCGGTATATGCACGTGTGCGTGCATGCGCACGTGTGTGTGTAGGGTGGGGGACAGGAAGGCACCCCTCTGTCTTTTCAAGACTTCAGCAGCAAAATGCTTGCAAAAAAGTAGCAGCCAGCCTTGATATTTCCTACGCTGATGGCCCCAACCAGCGACGAGGATTTGAAACCAGTTCGCACGGGAGATTGGACCATCTCCAAGGTTGATTTTCTCATCTTTAATGTGCAGAGGGGAGGTGAGAGGAGGAGAGGGGAGGGGAGGGGAGCAAGTGGGCCAATATCTCAAACCGACCCCAAACGGTTAATGATAATGAGACGGCAGCGCGCTACAGGAGCTTAACAGCTCTAAGGAAGAGGGGAGACCCAGGAGAGGGGCACGGCAGAGGTGTTTTCAATTACCAAAAAGAAAAATAATTTATTTTTAAACAATACCTCTTCGACACTGGGTGTTTAAAGAGAACATACTCTGGCCCCTAAAATATCAAAGTGAGATTTAAAAATAGAAAAGTCATTTCCCCCCTTCCCCGTTGCAGATTTTACTGTAGCGTTCTAGAAGGCAGATTAAATGAAGGAAGCTCAAACACACTCAATTTTGTCCTTTAGCAAATTCTTCTCTTTCACTCTTGCATGAAGAAAAAAAATCTCCCCACAGAGTTTTTCTCTTCTTCCTGGTGTGGATCTGGGCCCCTGCAGTGCCCTGTGTAATTTCCAGTTCCTCAGAATTCAGGTATTAATAAAGACCCCATGGGGACTTCCAACAATATAACCCTACATTTTGAGGCATTATGAAAGGAAACCCCCAGGGGTCTGTGGCTCAAATTTCTGAAATGTAGGCATTGTAAAAGGCACCCCAGGGGATGCCCGCAATAGAAATCTGCTGAATTCAAAGCATTTTGGAAGTCCTGGTGGGAGTCATTACTCCCACTGGAAGCTTTTTACAAAACATGTGTTGCTGACATGTTGACAGATTGCTCAGTGAAGTGTTTAGGTGCATGCACAAGGCGGGCCTTTGGAGACGCTCACACTGCCAGCGAGTCTCTGAACGCTGGAACCGGTACCATCCATATTTCATAACAGGGGAGGCCAAGGCAGCCAGGGACGGGAGAAGTGTTCTCCAAATCAGCAGCGAGCCTCGCACCCCTCTGCCGAGGAGCCACTTCGAGTGGGCCAGCCCCATCCTCGCCTTTGGAAGCTGGTTTGTGCAGCACAGCTGTGACGGCCCTTGTATCCCTGCCGAGGGCTTTACTGAAGGAATCTTGAGGCGACCTCACTGATCACTGCAAGGCGTCATGCCGATCAAATTGAGGAGGGGGCAGGGTGGAGGCGGGGGGCTGGCGGGCCCCTCACCTCCACCCCCAGCCCTCAAGGAGAGGCTGGATGGCGGGAGGGGGTCAGAACAAGGGGCACGCTTGGTCTTGACAGCATTAAGCTCAAGAAAGTGATCTGTGACTTTAATAAGGCTGAGAGGCTCCGAGGAATTAGCTGCCTAGGTGATGGGGGCCAGAGATGGATGGAAATGTATTCATGGCCTGGTGGGCCAAGGGCCAGGCTGGGGCCCTGGGGAGGCTGGCTCACCCACAGCCCCACACGCTTCCAAGCTCTCATCTCCAAAGGAGTTTCTCGGCCACAGACCCATGTGTGCTGGAGGAGCGAGTGCCAAGCCAACCTGCCTGTGTGCACACGCACACACACACACACACACACACACACACACACACACACACTCCATGGCAGGATAAAGCACCATATGCTCATGTTCATAAAATTTTAAAGGTAAAAGCAGATGTAATTTGATAAATGTGTACATGTGTTGATACGAACACATGCACCAACACAGGCGCGCAGGCATGCACACGCCCGCATTCCAATGCTGGGCCCTCCTCCCTCCTGGGCTCTGCGGTTACCGCTAGAACCTCCCCACAGGTGCACCAGGACCAGAGAGGCGACCTGCTTAACCGTGTCATGGCCGCTGGAACACACAAAGAAATCTCCTTTAGAAATTTCTTTCTTGAAAACATTTATTCTTTTTGAACTGTACTCTATCCATTACGTCAGCTTGGGGTTTTCCTTCATTGAATTTTTTTTAAAGCATGTGAAGGAGTAAAAATCATTTCTGACTTCAATTTAATTTTTAGGCACAACGGCATTTAGAGTCAGGGATGGGGTGGGGGTTTCCCAGGGCAGGGTGCCCATCCACCCAGCCCTACATTTTTCAGGGACTTTACCTGCAGGCTGGAAATTTACTCTGGATCTGGGACCAGAATCCTATCCTCAACCTGGTGGCCCTTCCTGTCTTTTTCCTCCTTTCAGGAGAAAATTACATTTCAATGGACAAATGGCTCTTCCTAGAGAAGGGTGCAAGATTCCACTCTCCCAAGGCCCCTCACAGACTTCTAGGGACAAAGGCTCCAGAGAGGCACCTAGCAGGGGAGCCCCATGGGGTCAGCCCAGGGAGGCCCAGCAAGGGTGGATCCGGCTCTGCTGACTTAATGGATTCCTTCCCACCAGCTGTCCTGGGTGAGAAGCTGCTAAGGCTTCTGGAGCTGGCTGGCTCCTAGGTCGCCCTAACTCGCTGGGCTGGCAGGGGTTGTTTATCTCCCAGCTCCTCTATGCCCCACCCTGGGTTCAATGCATCACCAGCTTGTGCCCAGCCCAGTGCCCGGCACATAAGAGATGAACAGGAGCCCTGTGGTGAGTGAAGAGGTGAGTGAAGCAACTGATGAGTGATGCGCCCAGGCCATAAATAAAAGCCATTTAAGTCTACCCCAGTAGACTCCATTCAGTGCAAGGGAGGAAGGGCAGGTTTCCCCTTCAGAGTGGACTTCAGAGAACCCTGTTCTTCAAAGAGGGCCTGGAGGCAGAAAGGGATGACTGAGCCCGGGTCTCAGGGATCCACTTTCCAGAGGGCAGTCTTAGCCCCTCTGGAACACCCTGGCTGTGCCAT
Source organism: Homo sapiens (assembly GCF_000001405.40). Taxonomy (NCBI): domain Eukaryota; kingdom Metazoa; phylum Chordata; class Mammalia; order Primates; family Hominidae; genus Homo; species Homo sapiens. Next base: position 49,704,171 of record NC_000016.10, read on the forward strand.
AGCCAGAGGGGGAACACAGGAGCAGGGGCATAAAGAACTGAAAAGGAGAAGGGAAGAATCTTCGCTAGAACCCCCTTCTAGGGCATCTCAACTCCACTCCATGACACTCCACGAAAACTCCCACTAAGCATGCCACACCTATAACAGGAAATCCAGAGGTGACCTCCCTCCTCTGGGTCCCTCAGTCCTACCCACAGGGCTCTGACACCTTTCTCCTTGGATGACAGTAACCCAGTGACCAACTTGTCCCAATTTGTCTAGGACTTCCCCAATTTTAGAACTGAAAATGCTACATACATACCAGGAAGCCCATTAGTCAGTCAGTCATGAGCAAACTGGGATAGCTGTACCCTCACCCCCAAGACTGTGAGCTCTGTGAGAGCAGGAACCAGCATAGAGCCTGATAGAGAGGAAGATGCAGTGAACATTTGCTTACTCCATGCATGCATGCTTGAATAAATGAAGGCTTTGTTCCCAGGCTCCAGTAGATCTGGAGGGAGTATGAAGGTTTGTGTCTCATCACACACAGAGGACAGAATTCCACTCCCATGTAACTGCTATGCAGAGCACACACACACACCAGACTCCCAAACACCACAGTGCCACCTCAGCTGCACTGTGGGCCTTCAAATATGGCTGCCAGAGCTTGGAACCAGGCATGAAAACTTCCCAGCTCCAAGGGACCTCCACTTCCAACTGGAGTCTCTCCTGCTCATCAGCAGCCCCAGGCCACCTAGAACTCCCTGGGCTCCCTCCTGGCCTGGAAGCCACTTACAAACCTGTGCCAACACTGCCACCTCCAGGAGGCCACCCTTTGCACCCACTCCTGCCTAGCCCTTCCAGCCTCTTTGTTGCCCGAGCTATTGGCCTGCACTTTTAAAGGTTAAATGACAGCACGGTGGGCTGTCCTGTCTTCTTTCTGGGAAAAAGGTGGGAGGGCACTTGGGATGGGAGAATAAGAAGGCCTTAAATACAGGCTTATCTGGTACATCAGGAGACAGATGTGAATGCAGGAGAATTCATTCATTCAACAGAGTCAAGGCCCCAGCCCTTCACAAAGCCTGCCATGGTCACAGCATGGCAGGTGGATCACTGGGATGGGGAGTGCCCTCTGTCTAGCTATAGGGCACTGTAATACACACCTGAGCACAACCTCACAATGGAACAGTATAAAGCCGATTAAAAGGAGGCTTTTGGACAATATTAATATGATAAGCTGTTTACAACCTATGGGTAAACAAAAACAAAGCAGATTGCAGAACAAGAATGTGGATGGATGAATGCCAAAATGACTCTCTGGATCTCTAGGTTATAACTGGATTTTCTTCTTTTCACTTCTCTGTACTTAATAGACCTTCCACAGTGAGTTTATTTTATTTTTTGTGCGTGATTTTGAGACAGAGTTTCACTCTTGTTGCCCAGGCTAGAGTGCAGTGGTGCGATCTAGGCTCACTGCAACCTCTACCTCCCTGGTTCAAGCGATTCTCCTGCCTCAGCCTCCCAAGTAGCTGGGATTACAGGTGCCCACCACCACGCCAGGCTAATCTTTGTCTTTTTAGTAGAGATGGGGTTTCGCCATGTTGGCTGGGCTGGTCTTGAACTCCTGACCTCAGGTGACCCACCCACCTTGGCCTCCCAAAGTGCTGGGATTACAGGCATGAGCCACTGCGCCCGGCCCCACAGTAAGTTTATATAGCAAGCATAAAACAAGAAAAATGTATTTTGAGAAACAAGGGAGTGTCCAAGTGCTCCATTGCTTCTGGGAACCCCAGAGAAGGCACGTGGACGACCATCTGTGTAGAGGTCAGGAAAGGCTTCCAGGAAGACTGGAAGGATGGGATGGCTTTACAGGGAGGCACACTGCGGGGTGGTGTTTAACGCAGAGAGAACAGCGTGGGCAAGGGCACCACACACTTCAAAGGCAAGGGTGAGGTGGGGAGTGGTAAGATAGCCTGGAAAATAGGGCCAGACATGACCACAAATGGCCACCCTAGGAAAAAAAATGAATTTTGGTCTCATGGGCACTGGAGGCTGTCAGTCCTCAGAACTGACCCCTCACCACTCCCCATCAAAGGTGAAGCCAGTTTGCCTTGAAGAACTAGTTTCCATTTAACAATTGGACCCTCCGTAAGATGGGCAGGACTGTAGTCCCAAAAGGATAGAGCCTTCAAGTTCTCACCTCCAGGCCAGCCATGGCCACAGCTGCCTGGCCAATCAGACAGACACGCTGGAAGAATCCCATCCCTGGGTACCAGCATTGACCCTCCAGTCCTGTGCTCTAAAGGGGGCTCACTGCCTTGTGGGGACCAGGGCATGCTGCCCCACCATTCACAACAGAGCCAGGTGTGAACTGGGCCCAGGGCCACTCCACCGCCTGGAGGCAGACTTCCAGCCACTGGTGGGATGGCTGCCACCAAACACAGAATCCAGGTGTCAGAAGGAAATTAAAACAAATGACCCTGCCACATTTTTTATCATCCATTCATAAAAAATACAAGAGCAACATGGAAGAAAAATAGGTCACTTCAGTGAGATTTACAGCAACTTAGAGATCTAAACATCACCCGAAGGTCTTCTGCCTCCATCTGGCTTCAAAAGGCCAGGTCTGATTGACCCAGAAACAGAAGAGAAAGTCCAGAACCCAGACAAAGTGAGGTAATGGCTCCGGGCACCAACAACACAAGGGCACCTTCGGCCTCACATGGCAGGTGGTCCCAGGACCCATGACTGCCAGCCAGGAAGGAGAAACCTATAAACAAACCCCCAGGACAACCCACACACCTGCCCATGCTATCCACAGCAGCCAGAGGGATCTGTTAAACACACACACCGGATCCTGTCACCCTTCTGCTGACCTCTTCCAATGGCTTCCCACTAGGCTTGGAATAAAATCCCCACCCCTTTCCATGGCCTGCGAGGCACTATGTGATCTGGCCCCAGCCCCATGCCATGCCCTCACCTCACCGCTCCCTGGGTACCTACCCCCGGGGTCCCTGCCGGTACCCCGACGCCCTGTGTCACCTCTGCTTCCCCAGGGCCTTTGCACATGCTCTCCCCACTGTCTGCAGTACTCTCCCCACTAGGCTCCACCCACTTACCTCTTGCTCCTCTCAGACCCAGGGTCAAGATGTGGGGAGAACCTATATACAGAAAAGAGCATTTGTCAGGCATGGTGGCTCACGCCTGTAATCCTAGCACTTTGGGAGGCCAAGGCGGGTGGATCACCTGAGGTCAGAAGTTAAAGACCAGCTTGGTCAACATCTTGAAACCCCGTCTCTAATAAAAATGTTAAAAAAAATAGCCAGGTATGGTGGCAGGCGCTTGTAATCCCAGCTACTCGGGAGGCTGAGGCAGGAGAATCATTTGAACCCAGGAGGGGGAGGTTGTAGTGAGCCGAGACCACGCCATTGCACTCCAGCCTGGGCGACAGAGTGAGACTGTCTCAAAAAAAAAAAAAAAAACAAAGAGCACTTTCCCTACTCATAATTCAAAATAAAAAACACTAAATTATAAAATAACTATAAAGAAGCCTTGATAAAATTTACGTATTATTTACTTATGCATCCTCTAATGCTTTAAAAAAAAATACTAGTGCCCTAAGCACTTCCTTGCAGATTTGCAGATCTTATTTTACTTACTTATTTATTTATTTATTTTTTTGAGACAGAGTTTAGCTCTGTCACGCAGGCTAATGTGCAATGGTGCGATCTTGGCTCACCGCAACCTCCACCTCCCAGGTTCAAGCGATTCTATGATTCAGCCTTAAAAAAGAAGGCGGGCTGGGACTGAGCTCATGAGGGCCTGCAGAGTGGAGACTTAAATCCAAGGTCAGGGCAAAACATCTGGAGTTCATTGCCAGGACTGTGATGTTACAGAAAAGGACCGTGAAAGGTGCGTGCGGGACCCAACACAGAATCGTGGCCATGAATGGGCTCGCTGAGGACATTCGACATCAGCGGTGCCATGAGAAGCCATGCCACCAGCAACAGGGGAAAGCTACGGAACCTGCCGGCAGATCTACAGCATGGAGATGGCTCCAAAGATCAACCTCTTGGTGGAAAAGAACTGGCTGGATCGGCGGAGCTGCTGAGCCTGTGGATACGACACCCACCACTTTTTTCTTTTCTTTTTTTTTTCTTTTTTGAGGTAGAGTCTTACTCTGCCCCCCTGGCTAGAGTGTAGCGGCAAGATCTCAGCCCACTGCAACCTCTGTCTCCAGGGTTCAACCGCCTCAGCCTCCCCAGTAGCTGGGATTACAGGTGTGTGCCACCATGTCCAGCTAATTTTTTTTGTATTTTTAGTAGAGATGTGGTTTCACCATGTTGGCCAGGCTGGTCTCAAACTCCTAACCTCAAGTGATCTGCCCGTCTCGGCTTCCCAAAGTGCTGAGATTACAGGCATGAGCCACCATGCCCTGCTCTTCCTTGCAGAACTTAGCTCCAACTCTACCACCTCAGGGACCCCTCCCCGACATCCTCCACTGCCCACATGCCACAGGGACCCAACACGTGCTACCCGCACAGCCTTTCACAGGCCATGGATGTACCTTCCCCTAGAAGCACTTGCGGAGGCTGTCATTTTCCCACTGCTTGTCTGATTCTTGGACTAATGTCTGTTCCCCCCAGCACACCCTCAGCTCCACAGTGAGGACAATGCCTGCCTCCTCCTGCTTCAGCACAGGGCATGGGACCTAGTAGGTGCTCAGTAAATATTTGTTGAATGAATGAATGAACTAATAACCCCATGAATGAATGGGCGGGGGGTAAAGATTCACATTACAAACTTGCTCTTCAGTGAAACAGAAAGATCCATCACTGAGCTCCTGGGAAGAGCTGATTTCCCTAAGGAATTCAAATAGTTATTTCAGCAAACATTTACAAGACACCTACTATGTACCAGGCCCTGAGGACATAAGGATGAACAAGACAGGCCTTATCCTCCAGCAGCTCGGCCCAGAAAAGACAAACGCATAAAAAACTCAAACGTTCAGCAGCCGTTTATATATATATATATGAAAACGGAGCTTCGGAGCCCTGGGGGAAAGCCAAGGAAACAAAGCTGACTTCAGAAGCACCATCATTTCCTGCCTCTTGTCTCCCCCAACCATCCCTCGAGGTCAGGACGCTGCTGTTCTCAGCAGGTGCCACCCTGCTCGGTGTAACAGAGGCACACAAATCTGACTCTTCCCTGAAGCAGGGGTTCTTCACAATGACATCATCTTAGTGCCCGAGAGGCTGCCTTTTTTCATGGAAGACACGTTTATCAGGTTCCTACACCACGCCAGGTACGATGCCAGCCACTCCAGGTATGGAAACGAGACCATGGTCCCCGCCCTCAACAAGGGGTGCATCTAGTTCAGCAGCTCTCAGCCAGGGGCAGCAACCGCCCTTCAGGAGCATTTTTCAAGTGCCACTGCTATCGTCTGAATGTTTACGTCCCCCCAAAATTTGTATGTTGAAACCTAACCAAGATGATGGTATTAAGAAGTGGGGCTTTTGGCGGGTGATTAGGTCATGAGGGTTCCATCCCTACGAGTGCGATCAGTTTCCTTATCAAAAAGCCCCAACATAGCTTATTAGTCCCTTTTTGCCCTTGCACCAGAGGGCACATAGAAGTCTCCATCTATGAGGAGTGGGCCCTTACCAGACACGGAATCTCCTGGCACCTTGATTTTGGACTTCCCAGCCTCCAGGACTGTGAACGACAAATTTCTGTTGCATGTAAATCACACAATCAGTCTCAGATATTTTGTTATAGCAGCCAGAGCGGACTGAGGCAGCCACAATAATCAGGGAGGTTGCTACTGGCATCTAGTGGGCAATGCCAAGGATGCTGAATGTCTTGCCAAGCAAGGAACAGTCCTCAGAATGAAGAATTATGCTCCACTACATGCCACATGTAGAACAGTTGAAACTCTAGAACAAATCTATCAGCCTAAAATAAACCAACAAACTCTCCCTTGACTTGCACACAGTTGCTAGAGATAGCGAGCCAAAAGTACAAATAACAATAATGACAATAATCTATAGTCCGAAGAGGTGACCTGCTCGTCATGTCTAGTTTTGGACCCTAAAACACCTCAGCTCTCACCAAAATTCTTCTTCCACACTTCCCAGGTCCTCCCTGCCTCCATAGTTGGCCTATCCTTCCTAAAGTCCTTGCTACTCCGGTGTGGTTCAGTAGCATCTGCATCCCCAGGGAGTTTGTAAGAAATGTAGACTCTCCGGCACCCCAGGTCTGTTCAAATGGAACTGCATTTTCATAAGATTCCAAGTGATCATAAGGACCTAAACGCCTAAGAAGCACTGCCTGAAGTCACTTCAGGGCCGACTCTGGCACTTTCTGCTCAAAAGTCACCAGGCGGCAGAAGTAGTGAGGGAGACTCCATCCCTGCATCCTCTCCATCCCCGGCATCCTGGTGAGATGGCACAGCACCTCTGTGCAGAGCAGCCGGGTGCCACTGGAATGACAGGTGGCTCTTAATGGTGGGAAAACAAGAGAGGGGACTCCACAAAAAGTCAAACAGGTGTCCAGCCTTAAGGAACCCACCTGGGGAAGATTCTCATTTAAGCTCCATACCAGTCAAGAGGTGACAACACGTGGCAATGCTAAGGAACACTGTTTAATTCCCGAGGGGCTTGCCAGCCTGAGAGGACCCAGAATGAGTGTAAAATGAGGTTGCAATGTCTCCCTCAGCACCAGACAACACCTGTGCCCCACCCCCAGGCTTCACTTGGGGACATGGGGCTCAGATCCAAGTCTTATTTCAGGGTTTCTCTCCCAGCTGCACCAGAAGCTGCCGGGTAGGCAGGTACTGACTCCCCTCTGTGGGCCCCTCAAGCACAGTATGTAAAGCCAAGTTGGTACTAGGGTGACGACTGTGGAACGGGGTGAGATGGGATGGGATGGGACAGGATAGGATGGAATGAGAGGGGTGGAATGGGATGAGTAGAGCAGGTGGGATAAAATAAGATGCAATGGAACAGAATGTTGGAATGAAGGAAAGAGAAGGTTACAGAGGCTGGGCCCAACGATGCCCCTTCTCCTTATCAACCATGGAAAAAAGTGTTCCTACAGGGAGACGTGTACAAGAATGTTTACTATAGTGAACAACTGGAAACACCCTAAATACCCCCCACCAGGGGCCTGCTGCATAAAGCACGGGGCATCCACACTACGCAAGCCCCACAGCAGCTAATAAGAAGTAGGGAGATGTACCCGCTGAGGTGAGAAGCTCTCTGAGGTCTAATACTAAATGGAAAAAAAGCAAGTTGCAGAATGATAGATCCAATATGGTATCATTCATTTTTTAATCAAAAATCAATATAACATTGTTTCTGTGGATACACATAACACTATATTTCACTGAACGTAAGACACCGTGGATGGTAAAATGCACCATTATTTTACAGACCACTGAAAAAGAAAAACAAAACCCACTGTCAATTAAACCATGACAAGCCACTAGTTGAAAGATGCACCTCAATTTCAGAAATGTTAAAATGTGTCTTAGAATCTATGAAATACAGTATTACGTAAAGGTGTAGGAGAAGGTCTGGAATCAAGAAAGCCAAAATGGTAATAACAGTAGTTAACAAGGGGGTGGGGACAGCCTGAAGCCTATCTTTGAAATTTTTACAAACAGAATACATTTATGGCCAGACGCAGTAGCTCATGCCTCTAATCCCAACACTTTGGGAGGCTGAGGCAGGAGGATGGCTTGAGCCCAGGAGTTCAAGAGCAGCCCTGGGCAACACACGGTGAGACCTCGTCTCTAGAAAAAATAAATAAATAATTTAAAAATTAGCCAGAAATGGGGCCACATGCCTGCAGTCCCAGACACCTGGGAGGCTGAGGCAGGAGAATCGCTTGAGCCCAGGAGGCTGCAGTGAGCTATGTTCACACCACTGTACTCCAGCCTGGGCAACAGAGCGAGACCCTGTCGCTATTTAAAAAAATAATAATAATAAAGAATACATTTATGTATTACTGTGATATTTGATCACATTTAATTGTTTTAAAATAATGAGGGAAGGCCTTCTCTGCTCCTCACTTGGAGGCAAAGTGATGCTGATAACATAGGGGCCTGCATTGGTCACAGAAGGAACGGGCGCCCGCACTGCTAATGCACGGTGGGGCTCGCGTGCCTGAGCAGGTGGGGTGCCGCAAAGCTTTGTGAAGAGGAGAAAAAAAGCTCTTAGGAATGTCCAGAGGGGAAAGTGCCATTGGAAAAAAAAGAAACAATAGAAAGAGAATTTGATTTCGGGAAACAAACAATTCATAATCCACTGATAGAGGGCTACTCAGGGGCTGAGGGTTGGCCCCCAAAACAGCTCCTTCATCTCCCCTCACTGCCCTCTGCAAAAGCAGTTTGGAAAGTCATAATGCCATCCTGAATGCATCCCTCGCTAGGGACCTCCTCAGACTCAAGCTTCTAATTCCACCTTAATATCCAATTCTGTGTGTCAGGGACGGCTGAACCTCGGCCTGCAGCCGCCACATCACCTTGCCCTGCACACAAATAAAAATAGCTTTGGTGCTCAGAGCACCGGTTCCCTTGTCTTATCCTCTGGGGGTCCCGGGAGCGGCGCGATCCGCGAGTGGAAACCACGTGTGATGGAAATACATAATGAACAAAGAGGCTCCGCGGATGCATCCTTGACCTTCCTGCTTTTCCTTGACCTCTCCACTGCCATTGTCCCTATGAAGCCACAAACAGAATGACACCGTCGTGCAGGTGACAGCCACAGAATGCCTTCCATTGCCAATTTCTCCAGGAGTTAAGCAGAAAATGGATTTAATCAGAATGATAACTGATTCATGTCGCCATTTATGCAAATAAAGTTTTGGCAGCTCAGGCCTCCATTTGTACACCTCCACTTGCCAGGCGCTGGGCCTCCAGTCTGACAAATCTGCTCCTCTGCTCCATCATCTGTGGCCTTACAGAGCAAGACCAAAGTGCTGGCAATTGGCTTGTCCCAGGAAAAGGGACCACCAAAAGCTAAAAGCCCACAGTCACCTGACATAGCCTCAGGGTCCAGGAGAAACAGGGCACCACCCACTCCCCCACACAAATCACACAGGAAACTGCTATAAACTGGGGCTGATCTCCAAAATCTGACTTCTGAGCATTTGCTCATCCGCAGGATCTAAGAGAGCCCAGGGAGTGGGGTGGGTACAAAGGATATTTGCCACTGTCCCCTCTAGATCCGCCCCCACCTTGGTCCATTCCTGCTCTGTGTTCCTGCAGCGACTGCAGTGGGGGAGGAGACAGATTTGGGGTAGTTATTCTCCCAGCCTCTGCCCTGCCCTGCTGCACCCCTCTCCCTCAGCAGCCTCCCTACAGCCAGTCTCTCCAGGTGGCCTAAATGCCCCTCCCCGCACCCTGGCAGGTTCTCAGGATGATGCCCCACTCCTGGACAGCTCCCCTTCTTCCCCTGCCCGCTTCTGCAAATGGGCCCTTTATTAAATGCTCCTCCATCTCCCGGTTTGAGTGCGCCATCTGTTTTCTGTTGGGACCCTGACCAAGGGGGTATTCTTTAAAGAATTTTTAAGTAAATATGTCTGCAAGGTGTTTGTTGAGACTGTGATAAAAAGGCATTCGAGGAAGCAGTGTGAAAGATGCCATCCGTGAGACTGGAGAGACAGAAAGTCAGTGATCAGACACGCAGGCCCAGAGAATGTGGGCGAAGAGGGAATCTTCCAGTAACTCACTCCCCCGCTGCCAGGGCCCCCATCCCTCCCCTGTGATCTGGCTGTGTGGAGTCAATGACCAGTGGCTTTCTCCCTGCAACTCCATCACGCCTCCCACAGGGCAGACAAGTCAGCCCGGCAGTGTGGTAAAG